>NC_000001.11:44705350-45008380 GCF_000001405.40 Homo sapiens
GGGGTAGTGGCATGTGCCCATAATCCCAGCTACTTGAGTGGCTGAGGCATGAAAATCACTTGAACCTAGGAGGCGGAGGTTGCATTGAGCCGAGATCTCGCCACTGCACTCCAGCCTGGGTGACAGAGCAAGATTCTGTCTCAAAAAAAAAACAACAAAACAACAGCAATAACAACAAAATAACCATAAGAGTACAAACCCTGGTACATATTAGGTATTCAAATGTTTCCATGAATGAATGGTAAAGATACGTATTTTTATGTTTTTCAAGATACAACAATAAAGCACAGAGAGATTAAGTATGCTTCCCAAGGTTACACAGCTATTGGATTCTAGCCAGATCTGCCTGACTCTAAAGTTTATGCTTTTAACATATAGCGCATGGCAGATATTTAAACGATATAATTTCCTTCCCTTTCCCTATAGTGGTTCAGAGGAAGGAGATTCTATTTTCAACAGGAGGAGATTAAGGAAGGGTTCACCGAGACGGTGGTGTTTGAACTGAGCCGTGGAGAATAGGGAGGATTTGGGAAGGTCGAAAGGAGGAGAGGAGTTCGTTCTGGAAAGGGGAATGGTAGAAAGGAAGGCAGACAGGGAAGTACAAGGTGTGTCCTGGGAATAATGGGTAGGTCATTTAGAGAAGGGATGGTAAAGGTCTATGTCTAGGAAAGGTAGGCTAGGAGCAATGGAGGGGCACCTTGAATGCCATGTAGGTAGGTGGCAGTCTCTCCAGTATGCAGCATGGAGCCGCTGAAAAGTGAGCTGTGCACAGGTGAGGGCTGAGCAAGTGCAGTGCCTCCGAAGATGGCCTGGGTGGTGCTATGCCAGGTGGGCCAGAGCCACAGGGAACCACTTGAGGCTGGAGGCCAATTAGGAGGAATTTGGGGTGGTTCAAATGACAAAATAAGAATGTGCTGGCCCAGCTGGGTACATAGCCCCAGGAAGAGAGCATGGACAGCACAGGGGACTGCCTGGTGAGGAGAATGAAGCAGCTTATGGATGTCAGAGTAGGCAGGGCCCAGGAGACCAGGACAGACAGCCCCAGTAAGCAGGAATGGTCTGGGCATCAGTATAGGGATAGGGACTCCTGTGTCCAGGATGACAGGCTGAGCCCCAGGTTCAGGAAGCCCGGGGAGGAGAGCATAAGGAGCAGCCAGGCACTGAGGTTCACGTACGCAAGTGAGATCCTGGGGAAGATCAACAAAGCTCTGGAGGCCACTTCCAACCTAGGTTATTTTTGAGCAGCAGTGCTTAAACTGAATGTCAGGCATGTTATTCCTTCAGCAACATTGTCGGTTTTGTATTTTTTGACCCCTGCAAGGTCTGTGTGCATATGTGGGCCTTGTATGTTGAGAAATAATGCTATGCTAAAATCTGTTAGCAGCTGGAGCAGAGTGTCCTGGCTGGAGAGGAGTTGCCAGTGAAGGGGTAGAGTGGTACAGGGACCTAAGTAATAGTCAGACCCTGCACCAGAGGGTTGTCACTGGCATTGGAGCAAGGGGATGACCTGGTAGTAGAATCATGTTAGGAAGCTTAATCAAACAATCCCAAAGACTAGATTGGGTAGCACTGACACCTTCCTCTCCCCACCTCACCTCTGTGTGGCAAACTTGCCCACTCCTCCTCATCCGTCCATCACTTCTCAGCTTAAGCATTGACTCCCTAAGCCCTTCCCTGACCCTGCCTTCAACCCCTGCCCAAATGTCAGCCCTTCTTCCTTTGAACCACCCCTGCCCCCACCTCCCCTCCTTTAACCCCCCTCCATCAGAGCACTGTTCTCTCAAATGGTACCTTCCCCTTACATAGACTGTGTGCAATTTCAGCTCAGCCATCATGGCTTTTATCCTTATATCCTCAGCACAGTCCCCAGCATGTTAGGTCCTCATTGCATGTTTGCTGAGTGAGTGAGTGAGTGAGTGAGTGAGTACTGCACATATGCACTGCATTAGTGATTACTCACCTCTATGCCTTTCTCCTCCAGACCTCTGAGCAACTCCAGGGAGGGACTGGGTCTGATTCATCTTTTTCCAACTCAGGACCTGGAACACAATGGGTGCTCAGTAGAAGTCTGTGAAAAAAAAATCTTATTTCTTTTTTGAGGCAGGGTTTCACCCTGTTGCCCAGGCTGGAGCACCGTAGCACAGTCATGGCTCACTCCAGCCTCGACCTCCTAGGCTCAAGTCATCCTCCCACCTAAGCCTCCCAAGTAGCTGGGACTACAGGCACAGCTCACCATGCCCAGTTAATTCTTTGTAAAGATGGGGTCTCCCTATGTTGCCCAGGCTGCCCTCAAACTCCTGGGCTCAAGTGATCCTCCTGCCTCCACATTCCAAAGTGCTGGGATCACAAGCGCAAGCCACTGCACCCAACCAAAACAAAACCTCTTATGCTGATGAAGTCCTCCAGAGTTGTAACTGGCCACAGCTTCTTCCAATATCGGCCTAAGTTAGAGTCCTTCTGCATTTATTCAGTAACAACTAACAGCGTGGAAGAGGCAGTGGGAACGTGACTCTGTGACTGCATTTGGTTTGTTATAGGATCATGTGATAACAATGAAACTACATGCCTCAAGGTAATTTCAGATATACCAGACTCATAACAGGTGCGCACAAAAAAAATGTCTGTTGAATGAATGTATTATTATTTTTTTAACCAGGCGCTTCAAAATAGTCTTCCTATAACTCCAAATGTAGAGAATGCGTATGCAATGATTTCCCACTAGGGAGCACTGTTTCACATGGTCAGAGTAGACGGGAAGTTAAGGGAGAGAAGAAATTCGCACGCCTTCAGTTTCCACTGAAACTCCGCCCGAGGGAGGGAAGGAAAGTTCCTACGGGTCCTACATGTGGTCCTAAACAGTGGGTGACCGGAGAGGATTAGAGAGTAATTTCTTTGAGTTTGAGTATACCAAATTGCAAAACCAGAGTGAGGCCCTAGGATGCTGGCAGCAGTCAGCATGGAGAAGCAGCCTGTGTCCAAGAGGAGCCTGAGTGACTGCGGGGAGAAGAGTTTAGTAGGTGACAGGGACTGATCTCAAAAGGGCAGGGTTGGTTTGTTTCTTTAAACAAATATTTACTGAATATCTGTGATGTGCCAAGAACTGTACCAGACACCGGGGTTTTGTGTTTGCTTGTTTGCACTGAGAAGGGGAAAACTGAATGTCTTGGAAGAAGGGTCAGGGGTGCCCACTCCACTCCCATGTGGCATGTGTGTGGGGCAGAGTGGGAGGTTATTGGCATCCTTCCCTTAGAAAGCTACAGGGAAAGTGGCATCCTCAGGACAACAGGAGGCGGAGGGGCTTAGGGGGCCTGGCGATTGTTTATCTTACAGTGGGTGTCAGTGATGGAGGAAGCTGCTGGTGGTGTCACCTCCTTTTCTATGAAGAACGCTACCTTCCCCCACCAACCTGCCTGACCAGTGAGTCAGGTTAGCCACGTCCTCTGCTCTCCTTCCCATTATGAGAGTGTCCCTGGTTCCTATCACAGGCCCTCTCTTCTGCTTATTCTCTGAAGCACATTCCCTCAAAGACTTCCCTTCTGTAGCTCACCTCTCCCTTTTTCTCTGCTGGACCATCTCCATTGACGTGCAAATATGCTCTCTATCTTCCATTGTTAAAAGAGCCCCTCTTTGAGAATTTATGGATTAAAAGAGACTTAAAAGACATGTACCAAAAAGGTAAAATTATAGCATTTAGGGATGTACACCCCTCCTTGACCCCAAGTTGCCCCCCAGCTATTCATTTCTTTACCATTTCCTTCCTACTTGACCTCCCAGCTGCTTTCGACCCAGTTGATCACTCCCTCACTTTCTTTTGTTGGCTTCTGTGATAGAAGTTTTCCTCCCACCGTCTGGTTTTGCCTTAGTCTCCTTTGCTTGTTTCTCCTGTTTCTCTACCAGACTGTTAGGTCACCCTCTTCCTTCTCATCTCTGTATACTTTTTCCCTAAGTGGTTTCCCATGTGGATGTCTAACAGACATCTTAAATTTATGGCCAGAATTCTTGAGTTTCTTCCCAAAGCCTGTCCTTGTTTTCCCTATCTCAGGCAGGCGCGGTGGCTCACGCCTTTAATCCCAGCACTTTGGGAGGCCAAGGGGGGCGGATCACGAGGTCAGGAGATCGAGACCATCCTGGCTAACACGGTGAAACCCCATCTCTACTAAAAATACAAAAAATTAGCCGGGCGTAGTGGCATGCGCCTGTAGTCCCACCTACACGGGAGGCTGAGGCAGGAGAATAGCTTGAACCCAGGAGGTGGAGGTTGCAGTGAGCTGAAATCATGCCATTGCACTCCAGCCTGGCAACAGAGTGAGACTCCATCTCAGAAAAAAAAAAAAAAATTATCTGAGCATGGTGGCGCGCACCTGTAGTCCCAGCTACTCAGGGAGGCTGAGGCAGGAGAATTGCTTGACCCAGGAGGCGGAGGTTGCAGTGAGCCCAGATCATGCCACTGCACTCCAGCCTGGGTGATAGAGGGAGACTCCATCTCAAAAAAAAAATTGCTGAAAATATGCTAACAAATACGTATAAGAATCAAGTCCATGGTAAAATGGAACTGTTTATGAATTTGGAAAATGGTCATTTGTAGAATACAATTTTTGTCTACTTGACCTAGAACCTGGAATTAACTTGACTTGCTAATCAAATGATCATTTCATATATTAATAGCGAAGTTGAAAGTATGGTTCATCAGCCCCAAAGTACAACAGTGGGGCTTGTAGCTGAGCGAACTCTCGCACTAACACAGTGGAATCCTCTAGAGATGCTAGTGCAGGGAAACAGTGGCCCTAACTGACCAAACCGAACAGACATGGACAAGGCTTTGAATGCGTGACACCTCCTCCCCTGGCCCCCTGAAACCTGGAGAGACTGGTGGTCGCAAGAACCTCATTGTTAGTTTCCTTCGGTTCTTGGCTGTGTAAAGTTACTTAGGTTCCTAATTCTAAGAGGTATGATTGATCTAGAAATTAATCACAGATTGGCCGGGCATGGTGGCTCACACCTGTAATCCCAGCACTTTGGGAGGCCAAGGCAGGTGGATCACGAGGTCAGGAGATCGAGACCATCCTGGCTAACACGGTGAAACCCCGTCTCTACTAAAAATACAAAAAATTAGCCGGGCGTGGTGGTGGGCGCCTGTAGTCTCAGCTACTCGGGAGGCTGAGGCAGGAGAATGGCGTGAACCCAGGAGGTGGAGCTTGCAGTGAGCCGAGATCATGCCACTGCACTCCAGCCTAGGCAACAGAGCAAGACTCCGTCTCAAAAAAAAAAAAAAAAAAAAAGAAAAGAAATTAATCACAGATTTGGTTTACTTCTTTCTTCATAAAAGCACATTTTTTAACTGAGATGACATTCACATAACATAAAATTAACCATTTTAAAGTGAACAATTCAGTGGCATTTAGTATACATTCACAGTGTTGTACAACCACCATCTCTATCTAGTTCCAAAACATTTTCATCCCCCCAAAAGGAAACCCTGAATTCAGCGAGCAGCTATTCCCCTTCCACTCCCTCCAGTCCCTGGGAAGCCCCAATCTTCATTCTGTCTCTATGGATTTACCTATTCCATATATTTCACATAAATGGAATTATACAATACATGACTTTTATGTCTGGCTTCTTCCACTTAGCATAATATTTTCAAGGTTCACCCACATTGTAACATGCATCAGTACTTCATTCCTTTTTGTGGATGAATAATATTCCGTTGTATGTATCTACCACAATTTGTTTATCCATTCATTCATTATTAGACATTCGGGCTATTTCCAGCCTTTGGCTCTTGTGAACCAGTGCTTCTATGAACATCCACATACATGTAATTGAGTACCTGTTTTCAGTTCTTTGGGGTATATTACCTAGGAGTGGAATTGCTGGATCATATGGTAATTCTGTTTAACTCGTTGAGGAACCCACTAAACTGTTTTCCACAGTAGTTGTACCATTTTACATTCCCAGTAGCAGCAATATATGAGGATTCCAATTTCTCCACTTCCTCACCAAACTTGTTATTCTGGGGATTCTTTAATTATAGCCATCTTAGTGGATGCGAAGTGCATTTTCCTAATGAATAAGGATGTTGAACATAGACGTGTTTCATAGACTTGTTGTCCATTTGTATTTCTTCTTTGGAGAAATGTCTATTCAGGTCCTTTTTCCATTTTAAAATTGGTTGTTGGGTTGTAAGAGTTTTTCATATATTCTAGTTTCTGTGCTCATCAAATATATGGTTTCTCCCATTCTGTAGGTTCTTTTCACCTTCTTGATAATGTCCTTTGTTGTTTTCATTTTCAATGATTTAAGTTTCTCATTTATTCATTTACTTATTCAAAAAGAATGGCACTGGGGTGGGCACTGAGAGTATAGTGACAAATGAAACAAGTCCTTGTTCTCACAGAGCTTTGTTACAACAGTGATACTAATGGTAATGTTAACTCATAACTACTACTAGTGACCAACAATGACTGTGTGCCCAGCATTGTTCTAAGCTCTTTTACCATCTCATCTATTCCTCAGAACAACTCTGTGAAGTAGGTACTATTTTCATCCCCAGTTTACAGATGAGGAAACTGAGGCACAAAGCAATTAAATAACCTGTCCACAGTCTCAAAATGATAAATGAGAAAGCTGTAGATCAAACCCAGTCAGTCTGCCTCCTGCGCCCATCCCCTCACCACCACACTATTCTTTCTTCAGTATTAGAACAAGACTTGCCTTGTTTTTACCAGCTTTGAGAAGTAGATAAAAACCCAAGGACACCCTTTTAATCCCAGCACTTTGGGAGCCCGAGGCGGGCAGATCACTTGAGGCCAAGAGTTTGAGACCTGGCTGGGCGCAGGGGCTCTCACCTGTAATCCCAGAACTTTGGGAATCCAAGGCGGGCGGATCACCTGAGGCCAGGAGTTCGAGACCAGCCTGGGCAACAAGGTGAAATCCTCTCTCTACTAAAAATACAAAAATTATCTGGATATGTGGCAGGAGCCTGTAATCCCAGCTACTTGGGAGGTTGAGGTAGGAGAATCACTTGAACCTGGGAGGCAGAGGTTGCAGTGAGCCGAGATCGTGCCACAGCACTCCAGAGTGGGCAACAAGAGTGAAACTCCATGAAACTCTGTCTCTACTAAAACTACAAAAATTAGCTGGGCATGGTGGCTCACACCTGTGGTCCCAGCTACAGGGAACCGCAAAAAAAAAAAAAAAAAAAAAAGGACAGACAACATTGTTAAGATTACAGTAAACCATATTTTTAAAATTATGTTTTCTTAGCTTCATACCCCTCACAGGGTTAAGCAAATACATCAGGATTTCTTCTTTTTTCTTTTTTTTTTTTTGAGATGGAGTCTTGCTCTGTTGCCCAGGCTGGAGTGCAGTGGTGCGATCTTGGCTCACTGGAACCTCTGCCTCCGAGGTTCAAGCGATTCTCCTGCCTCAGCCTCCCAAGAAGCTGGGATTACAGGCATGTGCCACCACGCCCAGCTAATTTTTATAACTTCAGTAGAGACAGGGTTTCACCGTGTTGGTCAGACTGGTCTCAAACTCCTAACCTCAGGTGATATACCCGCCTCAGCCTCCTAAAGTGCTAGGATTACAGGCGTGAGCCACTGCACCACCTGGGTCTCATTTAAAAACTAGTGTTTTTGCCTTACAGAACGTTATGCCTTTGCTTTGCACTTTTTTTTTTTTTAAGACGGAGTCTCGCTCTGTCACCCAGGCTGGAGTGCAATGGCAAGAGCTACTGCGCCCGGCCTTTTTTTTTTTTTTTTTTTTTGAGACAGTCTTGCTTTGTCACCCAGGCTGAAGTGCAGTGGCATGATCTTGGCTCACTGCAACCTACACCTCCTGGATTCAAGCAATTTTCGTGCCTCAGCCTCCCGAGTAGCTGGGACCACAAGCATGCAGCACCATGCCTGGCTAATTTTCATATTTTTAGCGGGGATGGGGTTTCACCATGTTGGCCAGGCTGGTCTCCAACTCCTGGGCTCAAGCGATCCACCTGCCTCGGGCTCCCAAAGTGCTGGGATTACAGGTATGAGTCACTGCACCCGGCCCTGCTTTGTACTTCTCAGCTGACATGGGCAGTAATTTTAGCCTTTCCTGCTGTATAAGAGGCCACCTGTCCTGTACAGCTTCATTGAACAGCAGTCAGAAGGCTCTGACACTGAGGGAGACTTTCACATAAAAACCTGCTATTTTTAAAAGATGCATTACTTCCCCAAAAGTATATGAGCACTTCAACTGTGACACTTTATTCAGCGTTTATAAAAGTCTATAAAACAGTCTTCCAGGGGATTTAAGTGAAAATCTTGGGGGGAAATCTTATTTCTAACTTCCCCATTTGCCTGCCCCTCAAAACATCTGCATCCTGCCCTTGCCTTATACTGCGTCCTTTTTGAGGACACTGGTGCTTGACTCGAGTCTCAGGGATAGTTCAAAACATCAGTACACGGACTGGTTGGGCTGGGTGAAAGCAGATACCAGTGGAAGACACACCATAGTAATTCTTTGTCCAGCAATAAAAATACCACCATAGCACATACATTAGTTACTTTGTTGCCTGGCTTTAAAAACAAAAGGTGTGCATAAAATATATTTTTATTGTTTCAACATTGAGCTTTGAACAGAATGTAGTTAGAGAGGTAGCAGGGGGCCTGACGCAGTGGCTCACGCATGTACCCAGCACTTTGGGAGGCCGGCGGATCACGAGGTCAGGAGATCTAGACCATCTGGCTAACACGATGAAACCCTGTCTCTACTAAAAATACAAAAAAAATTAGCCGGGCGTGGTGGCGGGTGCTTGTAGTCCCAGCTACTTGGGAGGCTGAGGCAGTAGAATGGCGTGAACCTGGGAGGCGGAGCTTGCAGTGAGCCGAGATTGCACCACTGCACTCCAGCCTGGGTGACAGAGCGAGACTCCGTCTCAAAAAAAAGAAAAAAAAAAAAAAGAGGGAGCAGGGGCCAGGCCTGGTGGCTCATGCCTGTAATCTCAGCACTTTGGGAGGCCGAGGCCGGCAGATCACCTGAGGTCGGAAGTTCGAGACCACCCTGACCAACATGGAGAAACCCCTTCTCTACTAAAAATACAAAATTAGCCGGGCGTGGTGGTGCATGCCTGTAATCCCAGCTACTTGGGAGGCTGAGGCAGGAGAATCCCTTGAACCCGGGAGGCGGAGGTTGCGGTGAGCTGAGATCACGCCATTGCACTCCGGCCTGGGCAACAAGAGTGAAACTCCGTCTCAAAAAAAAAAAAAAAGGTAGCAGGGTATACAGAAATCAGAGACAGAATTAATTACAGAATGTCAGGAAGATGGCTGACACTGGTCTCTTCCTTTTTTCTTGAGGCAGGGCCTTGTTCTGTCACCTAGGCTGGAGTGCAGTGGCGCATGCACGGCTCACTGCAGCCTCAACCTCCTGGGCTCAAGTAAGTAGCTGGGACTACAGGCACATGCCACTATGCCTGGCTAATTTTTTTTTTAATTCTTTTTAGAGATGGGATCTCACGATGTTGCCCAACCTGATTTGACTGTCCCCGGCCTTTTTTCTTTTTTTGTTGGGGGGGAAACAGTTTTACTGTTTCCCAGGCTGGAGTTGAGTGGCTTGACAGCTCACTGCAGCCTCAAACTCTTGGGCTCAAGCGATCCTCCCGCCTCAGCCTCTTAAAGTGTTGAGATTGCAGGCATGAGCCACCACGCCTGACTGGTCTGTTTCTTACAGCAGTGCAACATGCTAAACACGTTCATGCTAGTGCCCTGCTGGAAAAGGAAGCAAACCTCGGTAAGGAAGCGCACTTCTCATATGTGTCCAGTAGGTGGCAGGCTTGTCTGGACCTGCAGAGAAAGACCCGGAACCCTGGTTTTGCAAGGCTCTGGGATCAAAGAATTATAAATGATCAGTGCTGTTAGCACCCTGGAAATGGCTGCATGGAATATCCACAGTTCCCAGGTACAATGCCATTTCTATGGCTCCTTCTGCCAAAGGAATACTAAGCCTGCTGCTACAGCCCTGTCTCTTGTTCATTGTGGTTTCCTGGGCAAGTCATTTGTTCTTGGTTTCTTCGTCTATTCAATGAGATGATCAGACCAGTGATCACTGAGGTTTCCTCTAATGCTGATAGGCTGTGGATTCCAAAGTTCCTCTTCGGATTGGAGCAATGAATTTGTCTCCTGCACCATTAAAGAGTTTCCATGGAGTGTGAGTGGCTAGGACCTCACATCTGTTTTTTGTTTTTTTGAGATGGAGTCTCACTCTGTCACCCAGGCTGGAGTGCAGTGGCACAATCTCAGCTCAATGCAACCTCTGCCTCCCGGGTTCAAGCAATTTTCCTACCTCAGCCTCCTGAGTAGCTGGGATTACAGGCGCCCACCATCACACCTGGCTAATTTTTGTATTTTTAGTAAAGACAGGGTTTCACAATGTTGGCCAGGCTGGTCTTCAACTCCTGGCCTCAAGTGATCATCTGCTCGCTTCAGCCTCCCAAAGTGCTGGGATTACAGGCGTGAGCCACTGCACCCAGCCACATCTGTTTCATTTACTGCTGTTTCATCAGCACCAGCACTGCACCTAGCACGTGCTCAATCCCTGTTTGTCAAATGCATGAGCATGGGCCCCACAGAGCATCCTCTCAGCTTCATGGGGCCTGAACTCTCAAACATTCAAACCCTCCTGATGATACCTCCTCCTTGAATACTCTCATCCTCCTTCCCAAACCCATACTCTCCTGGCTTCCTCCTATGGCTCTAGAAACTGCTTCTCGGTCTTTTATACATTCCCATTCCTCTACCAGTCTCCTAGGTGTCAATTTTTTTTTTTCAGCATTCAACTCCAGGTCTTCTTCTCCTTCTTTGCTGTCTATGGCACCTCGTCCGCTCCCACAACTTTAATTACCACGACTTTATGTACCACCTACCACCTTGATGACAGAAACAATAGTCGCTAATCTTTATAGAGTGTTAACTCTATGCTGGATACTGCCCTTGATCTTTACTCATTTACCCCTCACAGCAAGCCAAGGAGGTGGGCACTATTATTTTCCCCATTTTATGGATGGAGGACAGAGTAGTGGAGTGACCTCTCTATAGCTCTAGACCTGTGTGTCCATTTGCCTTCTGAACACCTCCCCTCAGATGTCACCAGTGGACTTCTGATATTCCAGTTCCAAAGCTTTTCTTCTCCAAGGTCCCAATCTCAGTGGAAAGTACCCAGCTGCCCAGGCTAGAAATATTGGTAATTGTCTTGTCTTTTTGCTTCCCACCTTCAACCAACTTCTAACAAGACCAGTCAATTCTAACTCTTCAATATGCAGATGCGTTCCCTCTTCCCCATTCTGTCTCCACTGCTGTAATTCAGGTCTTCATACTGCTCACCTGCACTGGCCTCTACACCAATCTTCATCTGTCCAGTATGGCGCCCACACACAGTTCATTTTCCTAGTCCACCACCAGAGTGGAGGCAGTAGACTTAGTGGTGAAGAATATGGGATTTGGAATCCGAACTATTCTTTTTTCTTTTTTTTTTTTTTTTTGAGACGGAGTCTCACTCTGTAACCTAGGCTGGAGTGCAGTGGCGCGATCTCGGCTCATTGCAACCTCTGCTGCACAGGTAAAAGATATTCTCCTGCCTCAGCCTCCCAAGTAGCTGAGATTACAGGCACCTGCCACTGCGCCCAGCTAATTTTTGTAGTTTTAGTAGAGACGGGGTTTCACCATCTTGGCCAGGCTGGTCGTGAACTCCTGACCTCGTGATCCAACCGCCTTGACCTCCCAAAGTGCTGGGATTACAGGTGTGAGCCACCGCGCCCGGCCTGAAATCAGAACTATTCTTATTAGCTATCTGATCCTGAGCGAGCTACTCAACTTTTTTGAGCCTTCCTTTTCTCTGAAATGAAATGAGAAAAATGCCTGCTGTATCGGGTTGTTGGCACATGCATAGCCCTGCAGAAGCTGGGGCTGGCCTGCCTCCACAGGCTTAGCTCTGATGCATGACCCAGCATCCCTGTTTCCCAGCCAGATCTCCCTTGCCTGGCCACAAATGTGACATGGCACTATCCAACATGGCACTTGCCACATTCTACATTCCAGCCCCTCCCTTCTCCCTATGGTTTTGCCAATTCACGCATCACCGTCTCCAAGGAATCCTTCTCCTGATTCTCCATCCCCTATCATCTCCACTCCATCAACCAACCTGGCTTCCTTTGTGTTCCCATGGCCCTGATAACACTGCCTCATAAATGCCAGTTTCCCTATTGGTATCCCCCACTCAGCTGTGATGTCCCTAAGGCCAGTGATTAGATCTTAGTCCTCTTCATAGCCCTAGCCCAGAGGCCTGGCACAGACAAGATGCTCAATGAGAATTTTGTTAAATAAATGAATGAATCAATGAATAAATCAGTGATTGCTCAGCTTTAGGACATTTGGGTGTTATCAGCACCACAGGCTTTAGGCAAAGCTGCCAAAGATAGTCTTTTGTTGTCCTTTGCTTTCTGAAGGAATTGCCCTTCCTAGTAACTAGCACGATATATAAAGAGTTGTAACTGGCTGTGGTTCCTGTGAAGACATTTGGGCAGAGACCAGTACTTTCACTTTGGGTATAAACAGTGACAGCTGTGAATTTTAAAACTCAGTCAGAAATGATTCAGTGAATAAATCTTCATTTTTCTAAGTAGCTCCAAGTGTTACAAATACATAATTAGCAAAAGATTAAGCATTTAGGTAAAGTGAATAGTCAGAACTAGACATTTGTCTCCTGGAGTATTTGGTTCTACATGGGCAGAAAATGCTATTTGTGGTCAAGAAATTTTCATAAAAATATCTTCACCTGTTCGTTTCTACCCTGAGTGTCCACCAAGTCATGTCTTGCTGCAGGAAGAGCTCTTGGGCACAGGCAGACATTTGCCCAGGATGTCCTGGCATTACGCACTGCCAGCTTGTGCCTGGGAAGAGCCCAGCTACTAATGAGGGACGTGCTGCAGGCGACAAAGCCAAGTGTCATCAGATGCATGAGGGGCCAGACCACTTGGCTCCAAAAAAATGAGCTGCACCAATTCAAGAAGAGGGAAGAAACCAAATGGTAGAACAAGTGAGAAATACTTTGGGGTTTCAGGCAGCAGCCGGTGCAGGCTACGGCTGCCAAGCAGCCAGAGATGTCCGGTCTGCCATTTTGTCCAGATCAGAGAGTGTTTGGGGGAAGCCAGGGAAGCTCAAGTGCTTTGCCCCTTCCCGGGGCTGGTCCCTTTCCCTCCACAATGTTGCTGGGCCTTTGATTCCAAAATAGGACCACATCTGGGCAACCAGAGGCTGCAGAGGGTGGGCAGATGGGATTGCGAGGGCTACCTTAGAAGACTTAGAAGAAAGAGGCAGCCCAGCAGCAGTGGCTGGTTGGTCATAAGAAGCGTTTCTGGGCCGGGCATGGTGGCCCATGCTTGTAATCCCAGCACTTTGGGAGGCCGAGGCAGGCGGATCACCTGAAGTCGGGAGTTCAAGACCAGCCTGACCACCATGGAGAAACCCGTCTCTACTGAAAATACAAAAAATTAGCTGGCCAGTGTGGTGCATGCCTGTAATCCCAGCTACTTGGGAGGCTGAGATAGGAGAATCACTTGAACCTATGAGTCAGAGGTTGCAGTGAGCTAAGATCGCACCATAGTACTCCAGCCTGGGCAACAAGAGTGAAACTGTCTCGGAAAAAAAAAAAAAAAAAAAAAAGGCATTTCTGAATGAAGCCACTATTTCTAAATCAGGAAGGTCCTCAGAGGAAAGGGTCTGCCCCACAAGGTCTGTCCCCCAAAGGGTGAATAAGTACTGGAAGGGGTAGCACAGGATGTCTTTGAAGATCTTCCACCTCCAGGTGATTTTTTAATTCTGTGATTGGGAAAACCAGGATGAGACAAAACTAGCTTTTATAGGGCTTCAGGACCAGGCCCCCTCTAGTGTGCCTCAAGGCTCTGGAGCCTGAGGATGATGGGCAAGAGGCAGAGGAGAGCAGGATCTGGCACAAGGGCAATTTCGAGGAGGCAGGCTGGTTCTCTACTAGTAGCCTTTCCATGCCTTTCCTTAGATTGACACACCAGCCAAAACTCATTCTCTTCTTCCTGCCGAAGGGCACTCTGAGCCCTGGAGTGGAGAAGTCAGCTCCCCATCCCTCCGCCGGTGTTTTCAGCACCCAGGAGAGCTGAGCATGCAGCCTGCAGCACACAGGATGTGGCTGCTCCCTCTGCCTTCCCAGACCACTGCTCTTTTGGAAATCATCAATGATAGTTTTCTGACAAAGTTAGAAATCGCCAGCATGTGTTCCTTTTTAGGCAGCATATGTCTGTTTGGAGTTAAACAAGTAAAGTTTGCAGGAGCTGAAGCAGAGACCTGTTCTGTGTGCTCTGTAAATCCACGCAGTCCACATCTCTGACCATCTCACCAGGTGCCCTGTGTCTCCCACTGTGAGAAGGACCACACTCTTCCCCTTTCTGTTGTGCCTGGGTTGTATGATATGAGCATCCATAGAGTGGTGCCCAGTTCTGGGGTGGCCAAGAAGTATAAGGTCCTGGCTTCAAAGCACTCTCAAAGTTGGCCATGGGGCCAGGTGCAGTGGCTCACGCCTGTAATCCCAACACTTTGGGAGGCCAAGGTGGGTGGATCACCTGAGGACAGGAGTTAGAGACCAGCCTGGCCAACATGGTGAAACCCCGTCTCTACTAAAAATACAAAAAAATTAGGCAGGTGTGGTGGCGGGCGCCTATAATCCTAGCTACTTGGGAGGCTGAGGCAGGAGAATTGCTTGAATCCATGAGGCAGAGGTTGCAGTGAGCCAAGATCGTGCCATTGCACTCCAGCCTGGGCAACAAGAGCAAAACTCTGTCTCAAAAAAAAAAAAAAAAAAAAAAAGTTGGCCATGGGGTATACGGGGAGACAGCTGCCACAGTTCTGGCTCTCCAGCCTGTCCAAGATTCAAGCTAGGAAAGTTCTGTAGCTGTGTGAATGAGGACCACAGTGGCCACTGCAGAGCCTCCTCTGGGGTCATCCACCACCAGGCTGGTGGTTTCTAAGCGTGGTCCTAGGCTGCCATGACCCAAGCCTCGCCTGTTGGAATGCAGAATCCAATGAGGTCTTTTCAACAAGATGTATGGAGCATGCATTGTGTACATGGAATGGTTTCAGGCTCTAGGTAAACAGAAGTGAGATGTGTCAGATATGTTCATTGGAGTTCACACACTAGTGAGGAGACCATTTAGTGGATAGTACTAGAATTCTATAGCAAGAATTCTATACGGTGCTACGGGTTCAGAGACATAGGACATCTACTCCTGAGTGAAGAGTGAAGGCAGAGGAGAGCAGGCCAGGGGCAGCTTCCTGAAAGTTGATTTCTCAGCTGAGCCTAGAAGAATGAGTAGCAATAGCCAGATAAAGAAGACTTCTCAGGCCGGGCGTGGTGGCTCACACCTGTAATCCCAGCACTTTCGGAGGCCAAGGCAGGTGGATCACTTGAGGTCAGGAGTTCAAGACCAGCCTGGCCAACATAGTGAAACCCTGTCTCTACTAAAAAATACAAAAATTAGCCAGGCGTGGTGGTGCGCACCTGTAATCCCAGCTACTCGGGAGGCTGAGGCAGGAGAATCCCTTGAACCCAGGAGGTGGAAGCTGCAGTGAGCCGAGATCGTACCACTGTACTCCAGCCTGGGTGACAGAGTGAAACTCCATCTCAAAACAAAACAAAACAAAAAAAGGGCAAAAGAAAGAGAAGGCACTGAGATTCTGCTCTCGGTGGGAAGTCTGATACCTCTAGCATACATACTTTAAGTTGGACCCCAGAAGACAGTACCCTCAAGGTCAAGGTGGGCCAAAAGTAAGCCGGCCCTCAGGTGGTCTTGTATGGATTATATAACTACCAGGTGGTCCAGAGAACCTCAAGTGTTGAATGTGGACAAAGGTAGTCCAGAATTGTTTGTGTCCCCAGGTACCTGATAAAAACAAAAGAAAACTATCTCTGGAAGAAAGTATCATCATCCTAACTCTTAAGTTTTTCCTACACTTAATTTTTCAAATATGAGACCAGTCCAAAGTATAAGATAATCATGCACACAAAGTCATCACTATAAATTGGAACTAGCACACTAGAAAGACTCACAAGACTTCAGCCAAATTATTAGATACAGACTGTCAAAAACTAGGTTTTCTTTTAAAAAAAAAAATCTTATAAACATTTAGCTTCCTAAATGTTTACAAGAAGCTAAAAAAACATGACAGTAGGCCGGGCACTACAAAAAGTACACAAAATTAGACAGGCTTATGAGGCTGAGGTGGGAGGATTGCTTGAGCATGGGAGATGGAGGTTGTAGTGAGCCGCGACCACACCACTCCGCTACAACCTGGGTGACATTTGTGGAGCTACCCCAACCTCCCAAAGCATGAAACACCCCACCCACACGTCTCTCTTTAGTAACAGAACATTCAGCCTTGCCTAGGCAAGACTTCAAAAAATTTAACCATAAACTCATAGTTGTTTTTCTCCACGGAAATCTTTAGTAAAAGGCGAAAGATTTATTCGTTATGAAGAGAAACCAGAGATCTGCCTGTTAGCCTTTTGCCTGGCTTCCCAGCTATTGACTGGTCTCCCTCTACTTACGGTGCCTTTGGACCTGCAGACAGAAGCTTTTCTTCCACTGTAGAAAAGTGTCCTAAACATGTTCTCACTGGGTAAAATCTCCTGACAAAGAAAAAAAGTTTAAATATTATTATTCAAACAGATAACCCTGGTAATAATTCTCGTATCTACAATGCATTCTGGGATGCAAATGAGCTGAGCGCCGGAACAAGAGTTCCTCTAAACCCTCTCTCTCTTACCAGTAAATGGAGAGAGGCACTTGACTACTGAGCTGGGGAGAGCACATGGCCAAGTCCTGTCTTCCATGTAGCCACATGTGTTCAGAGTAGCAGTGCCCGGTGCACAGTGACTCACACCTGTAATCCCTGCACTTAAGGAGGCAGAGGTAGGAGGATCGCTTGAGCCCAGGAGTTCAAGACCAGCCTGGACGACAGAGTAAGACCTTGTCTCAGAAAAAAAATAAAATTTAAATTTAAAAAAAAGTCCAGGCGTGGTGGCTCATGCCTGTAATCCCAGCACTTTGGGAGGCCGAGGCAGGAGTTCTCGGTCACTTTGGGAGCACTTTGGGAGGCCTGAGCACTTTGGGAGGCCTGAGGTCAGGAGTTCAAGACCAGCCTTGCCAACATGGTGAAACCCTGTCTCTACTAAATACAAAAATCAGCCGGGCGTGGTGGCAGACGCCTGTAATCCCAGCTTCCCAGGAGGCTGAGGCAGGAGTATCGCTTGAACCCGGGAGGCAGAGGTTGCAGTGAGCGATTGCACTCCAGCCTGAGTGATGACAGTGAAACTCCGTCTCAAAAAAACAAACAAACAAAAATACTAGCATTTACTGGCTGGGCCCACCGGGCCCAGTGGCTCATGCCTGCTATCCCAGCACTTTGGGAGGCCGAGGCGCGTGGATCACGAGGTCAGAAGTTCAAGACCAGCCTGGCCAAGATGGTGAAACCCCATCTCTACTAAAAATACAAAAAAAAAAAAAAAAAAAAATTAGCCGGGTGTGGTGGCGGGCGCCTGTAATCCCAGCCTACTCGGGAGGCTGAGGCAGGAGAATTGCTTGAACCCAGGAGGCGGAGGTTGCAGTGAGCCGAGATCGCGCCACTGCACTCCAGCCTGGGCGACAGAGTGAGGCTCTGTCTCAAAAAAAAAAAAAAGGTAGCATTTATGCTGGTGTGCCATCATCTTAGCATCTCCTTCTCCTCCTGCCCCCTCTAGCTCTGTGGTTCCTTTCTCTTCTTTACAAAAACATTCAATCCTTGCCGATTTTCTCTTGTGCTCCCACAGCCCAATCACTGACTCCTTCCACAGCACCTGTCACCATATCATCGCTGCCTGTTTGTGCACGCTTAAGGAGGGTTGGTCGAATGAATGAATTCAGTCTGTATCCTCAACACCCAATGCCGCGCCTGGCACCATAGGCGTTCACATGCAGCCGTGCCGAAAGACTGAGTGAATGCTGGACTGAATGAATGACTGCCTGTAAAATATCTACAGGAAAGCCCTGCAGGAAATGCCCTCCATAAATTCTAGTCCCCTTCTCCTTCCTAACCAAATCCTCCCCTCCTTCTGCTTCCATCACTTCCTAGCTGTGTAACTTAGGCAAAGTGGTTTACCTCTCTGTGTCTAATTTCGGCAAAGGTAAAATGGGGAAGTGAACCTCATCTGGTTCTGGTGAGCTTCCACGGGTGCTGTATGGAAAGCCTGGCACCCTGCCTGGTGGAGAGGGCTCGATGATGGTTAGAAGGAGAGTTTCTCTAAACTGCCGCCTACCTTCCTTCCCCTTTCTCATTTCCTGCCACAAGTCTCCCACCCACTTTCTCTGTCTCCCTCTCACCCCTTGTCTTTCTCCATCTTGTCTTCCCGTAAAGACCCAGCCCTTCCCTCCTCCATGAAACCTGGATTCCTCCAAGGCGAAGGCCCCCCTCTCTGGGGTCTCAGCCTCCAGCGCTGACATCCTAGGCCGCCTCGACAGGTGGGCTCACCATCCAACCCTTCCTCCTCCCCCTTCAGCCCCCTCCTCCTGCTCTTCAACTGAGGTTCGCCTTCCCAGCTCCCCCACGCCCTGCACAGTGCTGATCAGTAAAAGAGGAGGACACTGACGAGTGGCGACTTGGTTCACGGGGTTCTTTGCTTCCTCGGTGGCGGAGGGGCCTGGGGCCTCTCTCCAGCACCTCTGCCCTTCCGCAGCCATCGAGTTGATCAAAGACCTGGTCGGTTACGATGTGCGCCAGGCGCTGCTCAAGGGCCTCGTGGCGCTGCTGATACCGTCGGTCAAGGAGATCTCCAAACTGCAGGCCAAGATCCTCAGTGGTAAGGACCTGCTCAAATGGGGCTGCCTGGGCCACGGGAGGGCGGTCTCTTGCCTCACGGCTGCCCCCTCCTCAGACCCCTCGGTTCTCCAGCTCACCCCCAGCCTGCCGATGTTTTTGCAGCAGGCCGCGGCCGCCAAGGCCATCGGGTAAGCGGGCAGGGGTTAGTGGGTAGCTGCAGCAAGCCTGGCTTGGCGCTGCCGGCGGGCCCCGGGAGCGCTCCGTGCGCCGGGTGGGCGGGGGTGTGCGCCGGGTGAGCCCCAGGGCGTCGCCCCAGCCCGAACCCCCGGCCCAGGGTCCTGGCGCGCAACGACATGAGCATCGCCGAGGAGCTGCTGTACCTGCGCGTGGTGCGTGGCCTAATGGCCGCCATGGGCAACACGGACCACAGCAACAGCCAGCGGCTGGCCAGCCTCACGCTGGAGGTGCGCGCGGCGGCTGGTTAGGGGGCGGGAAGGGCGGCGGCACCCGCAGCCCCGTCGCCCCCGCAGTCACGCCGCCTCGCCCGCGCGGCGCAGTGCTTCGTGCAGATGTTCCCCTTGGTGGCGGAGCACGTGCGCAAGTGCATGGGGGAGGAACTCTACCAGCTCTTCCTGGTAAGTGCGCCCTTCCTGCCCCGCCGCAATGAGCAGATGGCGGCTCGGACAGTGTGATGCCCCTTCAGACAGTCCCCATCCTGGAGCGCGCCACATGCAGAGTGGACCTGGCCACCAGCTGCAGGAGGGACTGCTCTGGCGTAGGCTCCTCCACCCGCCACCTTCCTGTTCCCTTTCCTGCCCTTTCGGTCAGGCTGCCGACCCGCCCCCCACCTGCAACATCCCTCTGCCAAGCCCAACTCCAAGTCCAGACTGCCCTGGCACCCCAGCCGGGTCCCCCTTGCTCCTGTCCTCAGAGCAACGCTGAGGACTTGTACATGAAAATAGACAGCATTCAGGCGGACATCTTGGCGGCCAACACAGTCAATGTTACCAAAGGTGAGTGTGGGACGAGGGAAGCCGGGCGCAGGCGCCGCCAGCACAGCCTCACGCCCGCCTTTCCTGCCTGCAGCCCTGTGCCTCCATGGCAGCTCCTACAGCATGAACACTCTCTATGGCTCGCGCGATTCGGCTCAGATGGCCTACCTCACACACTTCGAGGAGGATGTAGAATCAAAGGAGTAACAGCCCCTGTGGCAAACCAGGAAGGCCAAGGCTGCGGGGCAGGGAAGCCTGGCAAGAGGAAGGCGCCTGGGGTCAAGCTCAGAGCCACTCCACTTGGCTCCAGGGGGGAGACGGGGATTAGGCATCCCAGAGGGGCAGAGGAAGAGCCGCTGGCTGCGAAGAGTCAATAAACAGCCTTGATACCTGTCTGTTCTTTGTGTGTGTGGAGGGGGAAGGGAGGTCAAGTGAGAGCTATGATGCTAGATTGTGGTGCCTGTGCTCCTCAAGTTAAAAAGCAGGTCCAAGTTTAGGACGGTGGCTTGCACCTGTAATCCTAGCTACTCTGCAGGCTGAAGGAAGAAGATCTCTTGAGCCCAAGAGTTGGAAGCCATCATGGACAACAAAGCAAGACCCCATCACAAAAACAGGCCGGGCACGGTGGCTCACGCCTGTAATCCTGGCAGTTTGGGAGGCTGAGGTGGGCGGATCGCCTGAGGTCAGGAGTTCGAGACCAGCCTGGCCAACAGGGTCAAACTCCGTCTCTACTAAAAAATAAATAAAAAATAAAAAATTAGCCGGGTGTGGTGGCACACACTTGTAATCCCAGCTACTTGGGAGGCTGAGGCAGGAGAATCACTTCAACCCGGGAGGTAGAGGCTGCAGTGAGCCAAGATCACACTACTGCACTCCAGCCTCCTGGGCGACAGAGTGAGACTCATTCTCAAAAAAAAAAAAAAAAAAAAAAAGCAGATCCAGAGGGAAGGGCCACCAACACCCTAGAAGGTTCAAGGGCATAGCCTGAATAGAGGGCCTCACCTCCACTCCCTGATGGCCTATGCACCCTTTCCTCCAGAACACCCTACCTACCTGGTTTTTCTCCGGTTGTTACAGACATTAAAGGGGGTCGTTTGATCCTAATGGGTCCTTTCCTTGCCTGGAACCATTTGCACCAATAGAACAAGGCCAGGTTCCATAAAGCAGAGCAGAAGCTTTATTCATTGATCTAGGAGATAGCAACAGGAGGCAGCCAAATGCCTAGGCAGATAGGGGTGGGTCCCCAGTGAACCCCACCTTCAAACCAAAAACAGCCTGAAGGCTGAAAGACCGACTGCTGGTCCTGGATGAAACCCACAACCCAGAGTGAGAACTTCTGTTTCTGTTTGCCTGCCCTTTCCTGATTGATTCTTTCTGAATAATGCCTTTTAACCAATTGAATGTTGCCTTTTCCAATACTACCTATGGCCTGCCCTTCCCCCATTCTGAGCCCATAGAAGCCCTGGACTCAGCCATATTAGGGGGACTTTCCCACTTTCAGGTAGGGGGACCACCCCCCACAGCCACCGAAAGCTGTTTTATCACTCAGTAAAACCCCACCTTGCTCACTCTTCAATTGCCAGTGCATCCTCATTCTTCTTGGGCTCGTGGGACGAGAACTCGGGAACCAGTGCATAAGCTAGACTCCGCCAACTGGACTGAGCGGGTGGGTCGTCTCCTGCAGCAAGTAAAGGCCATCTCCTGCAGCAGGTAGCCTGGCGAGTGAGACCTGGCAGGGCATTGCTGGCCAGAGGTCCCCAGCTTGCAAAGTGACCAAGAAGAAAACCTTACATCATAGGAATGGAGGAAGGGGAGCTCATGCTCAAAGCACCTTCTCCCAGGGGGAGGGGCCTGGTAAAAAGGGAGTCTCAAGGGAACTTAGGGCAGGTAGGTGGAGACTGGGTTGAGGATTTCTGGAAAAAGGTAGGTTCTTCCAGGAGGGGCTGGAGTGTGCATAGTCTTTTTTTTTTTTTTTTTTTTTTTTTGAGACGGAGTCTCGCTGTGTCACCAGGCTGGAATGCAGTGGCACAATCTCGGCTCACTGCAACCTCAGCCTCCTGAGTAGCTGGGGCTACAGGCATGCACTACCAAACCCAGCTAACTTTTGTATTTTTAGTAGAGATGGGGTTTCACCATCTTAGCCAGGCTGGTCTCGAACTCCTGACCTCATGATCTGCCCGCCTCAGCCTCCCAAAGTGCTGGGATTACAGGCGTGAGCCACCACACCCAGCTTTTTTTTTTTTTTTTTTTTTTAGACAGGGTCTCTGTTGCTCAGGCTGGAGTGCAGGGGTGCAATCTCGACTCACTGCAACCTCTGCTTCCCAGGCTCAAGCAATTCTCATGCCTCAGCCTCCGGAGTAGCTGGGACTACAGATGTGCACCACGACCACATTCAGCTAATATTTTTTTCTTTTTTTGTAGAGATGAGGTCTCACTATGTTGTCCAGGCTGGTCTCCAACTCCTGGGCTCAAGTGATCCTCCTGCCTTGGCCTCCCAAAGTGCTGGGATTGTAGGCATGAGCCACTGTGCCTGGCCTGAGTGTGCATGGTGTTGTTTTTTCTTTTGAAGATTTCTCCTCTTCAATCCAGTCTCATTCAAGTTGGAGTGAGGCAGGGCTCCTGGTCTGGAGTCTCTCTTCTATCTGCTTTTACACCCTGCTGATTTCATCCTGTCTCAGAACTTTAAATATCATTATAGGCCAATGACTCCTACATTTCTATTTCCAGCTAAACATTTCCACCTCATCGTGTCTAAAACTGAACTCCTAATCCCGTGCCACTTTCCCCAATTCAACTCATGGCAACTCATCCTTCCTATAAAACAAAACAAAATAGTGGAGTGCTTTTTAATGTCCGTCTTTAGCACCCATATCTATTATGTCTGTTGGCTCTATCTTCCAAATACATCCAGAATCCAACCATATCTCACTACCTCTATTGTTAATACTCTGGGCTGAGCCACTATCATCTCTCTTCAACGTTATTCTGCTTTTCTCCCTCTTCCTGTTCTCTTTTCTTTTAGTTTCTTTTTTTTTGAGATGAAATGTCACTCTGTCACCCAGGCTGGAGTGCAGTGGTGTGATCTAGGCTCACTGGCACCCACCACCTCCTGGGCTCAAGCAATTCTCCTGCCTCAGCCTCCCGAGTAGCTAGGATTACAGGCTTCTGCCACCACGCCTAGCCAATTTTTGTATTTTTAGTAGAAACAGGAGTTCACCATGTTGGCCAAGCTGGTCTCAAACTCCTGACCTCAAATTATCCACTCACTTCAGCCTCCCAAAGTACTGGGATCACAGGCGTGAACCACTGTGCCCAGTCAATACCTGTTCTCTTTTTAATACGACAGCCAGGGTTATCCTTTTAAGCTTCAGATTCTATCACTGGGCTCAAACCTTGGAGGGCTCCCCATTTCGCTGAATGAAGACCCTAGGTGCTCAGGTTTCCCATCACCTCTCTAAACTCTTCTGCCTCTGTCTGTCCTTCACTCTGCTCCAGACACACTGGACTCCCTTGCTGGTTCTTTTTTTTTTTTTTTTTTTTTTAATTGGCAAAGAGGCCGGGCGCGGTAGCTCACGCCTGTAATCCCAGAACTTTGGGAGGCCAAGGTGGGCAGATCACGAGGTCAAGAGATGGAGACCATCCTGGCTAACACAGTGAAACCCCATCTCTACTAAAAATACAAAAACTTAGCCGGGCGTGGTGGCGGGCACCTGTAGTCCCAGCTACTCAGGAGGCTGAGGTAGGAGAATGGCGTGAACCCGGGAGGCGGAGCTTGCAGTGAGCCGAGATCGCGCCACTGCACTCCATCCAGCCTGGGCGACAGAGCAAGACGCCGTCTCAAAAAAAGAAAAAGAAAAAAAGAAATTGGCAAACAAGCTCTTGTCTCAACGCTATTGTACTGACTGTTCACTCTGCCTAGAACTTCATCCCATATATCCACAGGGCTCACTCCCCCATCTCCCTTCAACTCTACAAGAAGGCCTACTCTTTTTAAAATTGCAATGCACACTACCATTCTCTATACTCACCACCTCCCCTCCCACCTTACTCTGCTATTTTTTTCCATAGCATTACCTTATTATGTTTATTAATAGTATGTCCTCCATCTGACTGTAAACTCCACGAGGACAGGGATACTGTTAGGACAATACCTGGCATGCATGAATCAGTGACTGAGGTATTGTGAGGGAATAGTCCCTCCAAGTCGGAGGAAATGAAGTCAGATGGCAGTAATTCTCCAGGATGCCACAAGAGGGCATCACCAGCCCTGACATTGTTGGTCTAAGGCAGTTCTGCTTTCCCCACTTATTTTGAGCCTCAGCTTTCCTCTTTTTGTACCTACAAAGGAGAGAAAAGTTAACAAAATATATTTATGTTTTGTTGTTATGTTTTCTTTAAAGCTAAATGGATTTCCTATTTTATTTTTGCTGATTTTATTTATTTATTTATTTATTTATTTATTTTTGAGACGGAGTCTCGCTCTTTTGCCAGGCTGGAGTGCAGTGACGCAGTCTCGGCTCACTGCAACCTCCGCCTCCCGGGTTCAAGAGATTCTCCTGCCTCAGCCTCCCAAGTAGCTGGGATTACAGGCATGCGCTACCACGCCCGGCTAATTTTTGTATTTTTAGTAGAGATGGGGTTTCACCATGTTGGCCAGGCTGGTCTTGAACTCCTGACCTTGTGATCCACCCGCATCGGCCTCCCAAAGTGCTGGGATTACAGGCGTGAGCCACCACGCCTGGCCTTATTTTTTTATTTTATTTTATTTTATTTTATTTTATTTATTTTATTTTATTTTTGGGGACGGAGTCTCACTCTGTCTCCCAGGCTGGAGTGCAGTGGCGCAATCTCGGCTCACTGCAACCTCCGCCTCCTGGGTTCAAGCGATTCTCTGCCTCAGCCTCCCAAGTAGCTGGGATTACAGGCGCCTGCCGCCATGCCCACGCCCAGCTAATTTTTGTGTTTTTAGTAAAGACGGGATATCATCATGTTGGCCAGGCTAGTCTTGAACTCCTAACCTCAAGTGATCCACCCGCCTTGGCCTCCCAAAGTGCTGGGATTACAGGTGTGAGCCACCGCGTCCACCGCGTCAGGCTGAGAGATCAAGTCATTTTTAGTTTTTAGTCTTTTTTTTCTTTTTATTTTTGGTCATTGTTTGGTTTTAGTTTTTAGTCTTGAAATGTTTTCTTTTGTATAATGGTAAAAAAATAGTACCCCAGAACTTTTTCGGAAATTTTAATAATTGGGAAATCCAAAAATCTAGGAACCACTGGGCTAAAGTGATCATAATTTAAAAAAAAAAAAAACCCTTTAAAAACTAAACTGGCCAAGCGGGAAGCGGTGGCTCACGGGAGGTTGAGGTGGGTGGATCACTTGAGGCCAGGAGTTTAAGGCCGCAGTGAGCTATAATCGTGCCACTGCACTCCAGACTGAGTGACACAGTGAGACCGTTTCTAGAATAAATTAATTAAAAACAAAACAAAACAAAACCACAAAACAAAACCAAATTTTCGCACGGTGGCTCATGCTTGTAATCCCAGCACTTTGGGAGGCCAAGGCGGGCAGATCAGCCTGGCCAATGTGGGAAATCCCCATCTCTATTAAAATACAAAAACTAACAGGGAATGGTGTTGCCACCTGTAGCCCCAGCTACTTGAGAGACTGAAGCAGGAAAATCCCTTGAAGCCGGCAGGCAAAGATTGCTCACTACAGTCTAGTCTAAAACCCCACTTCCAAAAAAATAAAAAACGCACACTCACACCATTACAACAGCCCAAAATAAATGTTCAAACAAAATGTTGTCTCACACCTCGCAACAAACACACAACTTTCTATCTGATTTTTAAACACCGTTGATGAACCCCACCAACATAGGGCTTCAAAAAATTTGCTTGAAACTCAAAACGGTTTCTCTCCACGGAAATCTTTAGTAAAAGGCGAAAGATTTATACGATTTGAAGAGAAACCAGAGCATGTGTTGGAATGGTTGCACACAGTCCTCGGGGGACGGTCACTACTAGATTAGCAATGGTTACTATTAACCCAAAAGAGTGACTTCTGTTTTTGTCTCAGACGATTGTGTGAAAGGAGCTTCGTTATTATGGTAAAGGAAAAGAGGGGGAAAAAAGGGAGAATCTCCTTTTAAAGTAGGACGTGGTCTGTGTGCAGTGCATTGTGGGTATGTAAATGACGCTGAGTCACCACCCCCTCGGTTTCCAGAAATACCTTAAATAGTTCGTTACTTTTTCTAGGCGTTAGGCCACCACCAGGGGGCAGAGCGGAAGCCAGATTTACAGAACTGTAGATGCCTGGTCCAACTAGACAGTGACTTTATTTTATAATTGGCACTTAAAGTAAAAAAAAAAAAAATTAAAAGCTTTAAAATAATTGTATTCATAGGCCTGGCGCGGTGGCTCACGCCTGTAATCCCAGCACTTTGGGAGGCCGAGGCGGGCGGATCACGAGGTCAGGAGATCGAGACCATCCTGGCCAACATGGTGAAACCCCGTCTCTACTAAAAATACAAAAATTAGCTGGGCGTTGTGGCGTTCGCATGTAGTCACAGCTACTTGGGAGGCTGAGACAGGAGAATTGCTTGAACCCAGGAGGCGGAGGCTGCAATGAGCCGAGACTGCACCACTGCACTCCAGCCTGGGCAACAGGAGACTCCACCTCAAAAGAAAAGAAAAGAAAACCACATCATAGCAAATACTGAATTTTGTATCATCCCTCTGCCTTCCACAGTATGTAACAAAGACTCCAAAAAGAGTAGCTTGAACAAGCAAGAAGTTTATTTTCACCTTACCTGAAGGAAGCCCGGAGAAGAAATTCTGAGTTGTTACAGAGGTGTCAGGGCTTAGAACATGATACCCCAACATATGGCACCTTGGCATACTGAGTATTTTAAGCCATCAAAGAAACTGAGAAAACTATATAAGCAGGAAGTTATTTTTGACCTTTTCCTTCTCTTCTCCCATGAAGACCTTCGTGTGACCAGTGTCCTGCCTTATGCCCACAGGGAATGAATGTCACACAGAGGCCAAGAATAATCTGAACAAACAGGCTTTGCCAAGTACCCCCCCCACCCATCCAGTTTATTACCATTCGATCATACACTTTTTTTTTTTTTAAAGAGTCTCGCTCTGTCCCCCAGGCTGGAGTCCAGTGGCGCGATCTCTGCTCACTGCAAGCTCCGCCTCCCGGGTTCATGCCATTCTCCTGCCTCAGCCTCCTGAGTAGCTGGGACTCAGGCGCCTACCACCACGCCTGGCTAATTTTTTGTATTTTTAGTAGAGATGGGAGTTTCACTCTGTCAGCCAGGATGGTCTCAATCTCCTGACCTCGTGATCTGCCCGCCTTGGCCTCTCAGAGTGCTGGGATTACAGGCGTGAGCCACTGCGCCTGGCATTTTTTTTTTTTTTTTTTTTTGAGACAGTGTCTTGCTCTGTGTCCCAGGCTGGAGTGCAGTGGTGCAATCGAGGGCCACTGAAGTCTTGAACTCCTGGGATCAAGCAGTCCTCCTGCCTCAGCCTCCCAAGTAGCTAGGACTACAGAAGCATACTACCACAGCTGGCTAATTTTTAAATTTTTTGTAGAGATGACATCTTGCTATGCTGCCCAGGCTGGTCTTGAACTTCTGACCTCAAGCAATCCTCCTGCCTTGGCCTCCCAAAGTGCTGGGGTTACAGGCATGAGCCACTGCACCTGGCCAGAAAATTTTTGATCATTCCTTTATTAGCTATTAAAGCAAATGGAATGATAAAACATTTACTAAATATTCTAAAATTTACTAAAAATTTTACTAAAAATGTACTAAATTTTCTTGTGCCAGTTTTGACATTTTTGACTTTTTTTTTCTAGAAATGTAGAAACTTATTCACACAACAAGAAGTATGGAGACAGGTGGATCAGGAGGTCAGGAGATCAAGACCATCCTGGCTAACATGGTGAAACCCCATCTCTACTAAAAATATAAAAAATTACCTGGGCATGGTGGCACACGCCTGTAATCCCAGCTACTTGGGAGAATTGCTTGAACCCGGGAGGCAGAGGTTGCAGTGAGCTGAGGTCTCACCACTGCACTCCAGCCTGGGCGACAGAGCGAGACTCTGTCTCAAAAAAAAAAAAAAAAATGACATATGGAGATAGAAATTAAAAATGTATATATATGGAAGTAGGTAGTCGCTAGCATTGGTTCAACTACTGAACCATCAAGAACCCTCTTAGGCTCTTCCTGCTGTACTTGGCTGTCCTGAGCATGTTGGCTTTTAACCAAATTACTGTCTCCTGCCTCATGACCACAAGGCAGCTGTCACAACTCCAGAAAGAACATCCCATGTCCAAGCCAAGAAAAAAGGGATGACACCAGGAAAGCATTTTCTGTCATTCCCTTTTAACAGAAAAACAACAAGTCTTGCCCACAAGCCCCCAGAACTCTCCTGCTTACATCTCATTGGCCAGAACTGTGTCCCATGGCCAGCTCTAATTGCATGGGAGTCTGGGAAAGGAAGTATAGTAACTATAAAGCTTTTTCAGTCTCTAATGTGGAAATGATTTAGGAAGAAGGGGGTTGAGAATACCTGCTGAATTAACCATCAACAGTGTATGTCACAAACAGTTGGTTCATTTGTTTTCTACCCTATTTTCTTTATCCCTTCCTGATGTCTTTTGGGTGAATCCTCACCCTTGATCCTGTTGCTCCTCATTTCATTTTGGCTGTAACCATTCTGCTATTCAATTCATGTATGGATTTCAACTATTAAATTTTTCAAGCCTGGTATTTTCAGTTGCTTCTTCCTGCCTTAACAATATCCTTCCTTATCTTTTGAAGATGTTCATTATGCTTATTTCTTTTTTCTTTTTTTGAGATGGGGTTTGGCTCTTGTTGCTCAGACTGGAGTGCAGTGGTGCAGTCTTGGCTCACTTCAATCTCTGCCTCCCGGGTTCAAGCAATTCTCCTGCCTCAGCCTCCCTCCTGAGTAGCTGGGATTACAGGCGCCCGCCACCACACCCGGCTAATTTTTGTATTTTTAATAGAGATGGGATTTTACCATGTTGGCCAGATCAAGTGATCTGCCCGCCTCAGCCTTCCAAAGTGCTGGGATTACAGGCATGAGCTACCACGCCTAGCCCATTATGCTTATTTCAAACTATCAGATCTATTAATTCTGCTTCCTCTAATATCAGTTTCTGACCAGATGTGGTGGCTCAAGTCTGTAATCCCAGTATTTTGGGAGGCTGAGGCAGGCAGATCACCTGAGGACAGGATTTTGAGACAGGCCTGGCCAACATGGCAAAACCCCGTCTCTACTGAAAATACAAAAATTAGCCAGGTGTGGTGGTGGGCACCTATAGTCCCAGTTACTCAGGATTCTGAGGCAGGAGAATCGCTTGAACCCGGGAGGCAGAGGTTGCAGTGAGCCAAGATCATGACACTGCACTCCAGCTCAAAAAAACAAAAACAAAAACAAAAATCCCAGCATTTTGGGAGGCTGAGGCAGGAGAATTGCTTGAATCTGGAGGCGGAGCTCGCAGTGAGCCGAGATCATGCCACTGCACACCAGCCTGGGCCACAGAATGAGACTCCGTCTCAAAAAAAAAAATTAGTTTCTCAGTCTGTCGTTTTCCTATTATTGCAAATGTGTTCCCCTTTAACTTCACATCACCCTGGGGGCATCAGTGATTGTGACAGGGGAAAACAAAAGCCCAGAACCCAGGATACACAGTATAGGAGGAGGTACAGAGATTATGTCTAAAGTCAGGTATGTTCCTACGTGGCCAGGCTAGGGCACTGAGACAGCGCTGCTGGTTTTCTGCCTCACAGTGGCAATGGGGCAGTTAACGACCCACCCACGGCCTTGGGGGATAAGAGTGGTATATGGAGGGAGGGGCGATGGTGAGCACAACTAAAGAGCTCTCCCTCAGCCTGCCCCGCATGTCAGGGTGTCTGACCCTCTTCCACTCTGGCTGCAGTCACAGTCTCCCCACAACTGGCTCCTGGCCGCCACCTTCTCTTTTTTTGAGATGGAGTCTCGCTCTGTCACCCAGGCTGGAGTGCAGTGGCGCAATCTCAGCTCACTGCAACCCCGCCTCCCGGGTTCAAGCAATTATCCTGCCTCAGCCCCCAAGTAGCTGGGACTATAGTCATGTGCCACCACACCCGGTTAATTTTTTGGATTTTTATTAGAGACGGGGTTTCACTGTGTTAGCCAGGACGGTCTAGATCTCCTGACCTCGGGATCCACCTGACTCAGCCTCCCAAAGTGTTGGGATTACAGGCGTGAGCCACCGCGCCCGGCCTTTTTTTTTTTTGAGATAGAGTCTCTGTCACCTAGGCTGTAGTGCAGTGGTGTGATCTCAGCTCACTGCCACTTGCAACTCCCGCCTTCTGGGTTCAGGTGATTCCTGTGCCTCAGCCTCCCAAGTAGCTGGGATTACAGTCTTGTGCCATCACACCCAGCTAATTTTTATATTTTTAGTAGAGACAGCGTTTCACTATGTTGGCCAGACTGGTCTTGAACTCCTGGCCTCAAGTTATTCTCCTGCCTCAGCCTCCCAAAGTGCTGGGATTACAGGTGTGAATCACCACAGCTGGCCCACCTTCTTTTTTTTTTTTTTGAAACAGGGTCTCATTCTGTTCCCCAGGCTCAAGCGCAGCTGCACGATCATAGCACACTGCGGCCTCGAACTCCCCAGGCCCAGGTGATCCTCCCACCTCAGCCTCCTGAGTAGCCAGGACTACAGGCATGTGCCACCACACCCAGCTAATTTTTGTATTTTTTGCAGAGATGGGGGTCTCACTGTGTCACCCAGGGTGGTCTGGATCTACTGAGCTCAAGCAATCTGCCTGTCTTGGCCTCCCAAAGTGTTGGGATTACAGGTATGAGCCACTGCATCCAACTTAGTCCATTTTCTGTTGCTATAACAAAATACTGGAGACTGGGTAATTTATAATGAACATAAATTTATTTCATTCATGGTTCTGGAGGCTGAGAAGTCCAAGAGCATGGTGCTTGGATCTTGTGAGGGCCTTTTTGCTGCATTATAACATGGCAGAGAGCAATAACATAGTGACAGGGCAAGAGCGTGTCAGCTCAAGTCTCTCTTCTTCTTCTTATAAAGCTACCAATTCCATCACAGGGCCCCATCCTGATGACTTTATTAATCCTAATTACCTCCCAAAGGCCCCACCTCCAAATGCCATCAATATGTGAATTGGGGGATTAAGTTTCCAGCACATAAAATTTGGGGGACTCATTCAAACCACAGCATATCCCTAAACAATATTCCATCTATTCTTGTCTCTCTAGTCTGGTTCTCACCCTCAATAGTTCACCAAGACTGCACAAGGTCAGCAATGACTTAGGTGCTAATAAATCCAAAGGATACTAGAATGTCCTCATCTTATTTGGCCTCTTGAGTAGCTCTTCAGAGTTACTTTCACCTTCTTCATTCCATCCCTTGACTTCTAAGGAACTCCCCCCAACTCTTTTGTTTTCTTCATCCCTTCAAACCACCCTAATCCCATCTCCTTTGCTGGCTCCTCCTCCCCTGCCCTACCTCAAAATATTGGCAAGTCCCATGGCTCAATTATACATGTTCCTCTCATCTCCATCTATATTCTTTTCCTAGATAGTATTCAGCTCATGACTCCAAATACCATCTACATAATGCAGACTGCCAAATCTCAATCTCTTGCTTTGACCTCTACCTTAGCTCCCAGTTTGTATATCCAACTGCTCAGTTGACACCTACACTCAGATGTCTTGTAGACATCTCAAATTCAAAATGAACAAAATGAAACCCTGGACTTAACCCCCAACTCATTCCTTCACAATCCCACTTTCCCTTTTCAGGACATGGTCCATCATCCAGCCAGGTGCTCTAGCCAGAAACCAGGAGTCATCCATGACCACCCCTGTCATTCACATCCAACTCATCAGCAAAACCCATTCACTTCACTTCCCAAACATGGGGTATCTTGAATCAGTTCTTTCAGCCATACTTCCAATCCAGTATCACTACCCTGGCCTATGCCAGCATAATCTCTTGCCTACTAAGCGGTCTCTGCCTTCTGTCTTGCCCCTTTCAAATCTACTCTCCACACAATAGCAAGTTTGACTGACATAAAAGTAAAATGTAGGCTGGGCGCAGTGGCTCACACCTGTAATCCCAGCACTTTAGGAGGCCGAGGTGGGCGGATCACCTGAGGTCGGGAGTTCACGACCAGCCTGACCAACATGGTGAAACCCCGTCTCTACTAAAAATACAAAATTAGCCGGGCATGATGGTGCATCTCTGTAATCCCAGTTACTTTGGAGGCTGAGGCAGGAGAATTGCTTGAACCTGGGAGGCAGAGGTTGTGGTGAGCCGAGATCGCACCATTGCACTCCAGCCTGGGCAACAAGAGTGAAATTCTGTCTCAAAAAAAAAAAAAAAAAAAAGTAAAATGTAAATCAGATCATGTTAGTCCCCTGCTTAAAACTTTTCAATGACTTCTCATTAGCATAAAAGCCAAAATTATTACTACAGGCCACAAGATGCTCTATGATTTTGCCCCTCCCCACCTCTTCAACTTCTTCTGATGCTCCTCTCCCCCACTGCCTTCCAGTCATCAGTTCTTCAAACAAGACCTTTCCTGGCCAGGCACAGTGGTTCATGCCTGTAATACCAGCATTTTGGGAGGCTGAGGCAGGCAGATCGTCAAGAACAGGAGGCCGGGCTTGGTGGTTCACACATGTAATCCTAGCACTTTGGGAGGTTAAGGAGGGAGGATCTTTGAGCCCAGGAGTTCAAGACCAGCCTGGGCAACATAGCAAGACACTGTCTCTAATTAAAAAAAAAAAAAACCTCTCCCTTTCCCCCTCCCCCTCTCCCCGGTCTCCCTCTGATGCCAAGCCGAGGCTGAACTGTACTGCCGCCATCTCGACTCACTGCAGCCTCCCTGCCTGATTCTCCTGCCTCAGCCTGCCGAGTGCCTGGGATTGCAGGCGCGCGCCGCCGCACCTGACTGGTTTTCGTATTTTTTGGTGGAGATGGGGTTTCACCGTGCTGGCCGGGCTGGTCTCCAGCTCCTGACCGCGAGTGATCTGCCAGCCCTGGCCTCCCGAGGTGCCGGGATTGCAGACGGAGTCTCGCTCACTCAGTGCTCAATGTTGCCCAGGCTGGAGTGCGGTGGCGTGATCTCGGCTCGCTACAACCTCCACCTCCCAGCCGCCTGCCTTGGCCTCCCAAAGTGCCGAGATTGCAGCCTCTGCTCGGCCGCCACCCGGTCTAGGAAGTGAGGAGCGTCTCTTCCCGGCCGCCCATCGTCTGGGATGTGGGGAGCGCCTCTGCCCCGCCGCGACCCCGTCTGGGAACTGAGGAGTGTCTCTGCCCCGCCGCCACCCTGTCTGGGAGGTGAGGATCGTCTCTGACTGGCCGCCCCGTCTGAGAAGTGAGGAGCCACTCTGCCCGGCAGCCGCCCCGTCCGGGAGATGAGGAGCGTCTCCTCCCGGCAGCCGCCCCGTCCAGGAGGTGGGGGGAAAGCCCCCGACCGGCCAGCCGCCCCGTCTGGGAGGTGGGGGGCAGCCCCCTCCCAGCCGCCGCCCTGTCTGGGAGGTGGGGGGGGGGGGCGCCTCTGCCCGGCTGCCCCATTTGGGAAGTGAGGAGCCCCTCTGCCCCGCCGCCACCCCATCTGGGAGGTGTACCCAATAGCTCATTGAGAACGGGCCATGATGACGATGGCGGTTTTGTCGAATAGAAAAGGGGGAAATGTGGGGAAAAGAAAGAGAGATCAGATTGTTACTGTGTCTGTGTAGAAAGAAGTAGACATAGGAGACTCCATTTTGTTCTGTACTAAGAAAAATTCTTTTGCCTTGGGATGCTGTTAATCTATAACCTTACCCCCAACCCCGTGCTCTCTGAAACATGTGCTGTGTCCACTAAGGGTTAAATGGAAAAAAAAAAAAAGGAGGACAGGAACTATGTGTCTAGTTCATTATCTCCATTTCCTGGTACCATGCCTAGCAGGTGGTAGACTTCACTCAATAAATATCTGGTGAATCAGTGTCTTTCTGGAAATTTATACATAACTCCTTGAATGAGGCAACATGCTTCTGCACTATTTAATAAGAAAAACTAAGTCAAGTTTCTAATCTGTGGTTTTGTTTTGCTTTGAGAACAGGGTCTTGGCTATGTTGCCCTGTCTGGTCTCGAACTTCTGATCTCGAGCGATCACTCCCACCTCTCCCTTCCTAAGTGTTGGGATTAACAGGAGTGAGCCACCGCGCCCGGCCAAGTCTCCAACTTGCTCGAGGTCACTGAACTTGCAATTGAAGAAGCTACGATTCGAACCCATGTCTGTAGGATCCCAGAGCCCTCATTGTCAAATACATACTGAAGTTTCCCAGTTTTCGGGAACCCCGCAGTACAAGGTGACCGAGGACAATACCAGAAATGGGAGCCCCAGACCCCACGTAGCGGCGAAGTTCCCAGAAGGCACAGCGCTCGGGGGTGTGGCCAGACGCATGGGCGGTGCCAAGCGTAGGAAGATGGTTGGGAACTGCGTCTCCCCCAAGGCTCCGCAGGGCGCCGCTGACTGGCGGAAGCGAGGGCGGGGACAGCGGAATGACGTTTTAAGGACGCTTGCGCGCGGGATTTAAACTGCGGCGGTTTACGCGGCGTTAAGACTTCGTAGGGTTAGCGAAATTGAGGTTTCTTGGTATTGCGCGTTTCTCTTCCTTGCTGACTCTCCGAATGGCCATGGACTCGTCGCTTCAGGCCCGCCTGTTTCCCGGTCTCGCTATCAAGATCCAACGCAGTAATGGTGAGGAGCGGGGTCCCTAGGTCAAGGGGACTCGTGAGCGGTGAGACGACTGAAATTACTGCCCGTCCCCGGACACACAGATGGGCTTTCACTCTCTTTCTCTCCCTCCCTCCTTTTCACACGCACTCACTCCGGGTCTCTGCACTGGCAGTCATTCTTGCCTACACAGGGGTGAGAGTCCCTGCGCTGTACGTGGTCCCTTTCGCAGTCCTCTGGGAGTGGGCGGACCTTCTCCAAGGCTGGTAGACCTCCCAGGGAAGTTGGGACTTCTAAATTCACTTCCCTTCCAAAATTCTCCCCTGAAAATGCCCTGCTCTTATGGGGACCTCGGTCTCCTGGCCCCTTTACTCTCGAATAAATATTGCGCAGTTGCGGTATGTCAGGTAAACGGGACAGACAAGAACCCTGCGCTTGAGGAGCTTGTAGTCGTTCTCTCTTTTGCTTAAGCAGGTACCGCAGTTCTGGCAGGTCTGATACCCGTGTCATTAGGGAAATGGACAGATATGACCGCCAGAAATGAGTTAGGAAAACCCCAAAAGGGCCAGATCCTCAATGCTATGTTGAGGAAAAGTTCATCTAAGGGTTGTGGGGAATCCTGTGCTCAAACATACCTTTTGTATGTTCTCTTTTGTAGGCTCTATCTCTCTTTTTTTGTAGGCTCTCTTGAGTAGGGGTGAATCCTTATCCCATGCAGCTCAGTTTAAAAACCTGTCCCCAGCCCACCTCACTGTGGATATTCTAAAGGTGAAGCCCAGGAGATTTATTTGTTTCTCTTAGTTTTTTTTTTTTTTTTTTTTAAGGTAGCTGCCTGTTCCTTCAGGTTAACTCCACTTTGGGAATCTCTGTGGAATCCTAAAAGTGAAGCTCTCAGGAAAGAGATGGGTAACTCTGGTTTTTTCATACTTTATAGGTTTAATTCACAGTGCCAATGTAAGGACTGTGAACTTGGAGAAATCCTGTGTTTCAGTGGAATGGGCAGAAGGAGGTGCCACAAAGGGCAAAGAGGTAGGTTCTATGAGAATTCCTCTACCACATTTAATGTCTTCCTACATAAAGGATCTGTGCAGAAGTGGAATCTGTGAGAGCCTAGTTTCTGATGCTGTGCTCTTCTCACTCACGCCTGTAATCCCAGAACTTTGGGAGGCTGAGACGGGCAGATCACCTGATGTCAGGAGTTCGAGACCATCCTGGCCAACATGGCGAAACCTGTCTCTACTGAAAATACAAAAATTAGCCAGTCGTGGTAGTGCATGCCTGTAATCCCAACTACTTGGGAGCCTGAGGCAGGAGAACTGCTTGAACCTGGGAGGCGGAGGTTGCAGTGAGCCGAAACTGTGCCGCTGCACTCCAGCCTGGGTGACAGTGAGAATCTGTCTCAAAAAAAAAAAAAAAAAAAAATTGGCTGGGTGCGGTGGCTCTTGCCTCTAATCCCGACACTTTGAGAGGCCTGGTCTGGAGGATTGCTTGAGCTCAGGAGTTCGAGACCAGCCTGGGAAAAATGTTGAGACCTTGTCTCTACAAAAAAATTAAAAATTATCAGGGTGTGGTGGCTCACGCCTGTGGTTCCAGCTACTCGGGAAGCTGAGGTGGGAGGATTGATTTAGCCTGGGAGGTTGAGGCTGCACTGAACCATGATCGAGCCACTGCACTCTGGCCTGGGCGACAGAGTGAGACCTTTCCTCAAAAAATAAAAATGGTCTTCTTGGCTGGGCACAGTGGCTCACATGTATAATCCCAGCACTTTGGGAGGCCGAGGTGGGCAGATCGCTTTGAGCTCAGCAGTTCAAGACCAGGCTGGGCAACATGACAAAACCTCATTTCTACAAAAAATACAAAAAACATTAGCCGGGCATGGTGGTGCATGCCTGTGGTCCCAGCTGCTCTGGAGGCTGAGGCTGGAGAATTGCTGGAGTCTGGGAAAGCACAGGTTTCAGTGAGCTGAAATTGCACCACTGCTCTCCAGCCTCCTGGGCAACAGAATGAGGACTTGTCTCAAAAAAAAAAAAAAAAAAAAAAAGAATGGTCCCCTTCCAGATGCATTGGGATTTTATTTAGTCAGGTCCATTCTAAATTGAAGCAATCAATAATTTTCTGGGTTTTTTTTGTTTGTTTGTTTGTTTGTTTTGAGACAGAGTCTCACTCTGTCACCCAGGCTGGAGTGCAGTGGCGAGATCTCAGCTCACTGCAAGCTCCGCCTCCCGGGTTCACGTCATTCTCCTGCCTCAGCCTCCCGAGTAACTGGTACTACAGGTGCCCGCCACTACGCCCGGCTAATTTTTTGTATTTTTAGTAGAGATGGGGTTTCACTGTGTTAGCCGGGATGGTCTCGATCTCCTGACCTCGTGATCCGCCTGCCTCTGCCTCCCAAAGTGCTGGGATTACAGGCGTGAGCCACCATGCCCGGCTCTGGTATGTTTGTAGAAAGCAAACTGCAGCCAGGCGCAGTGGCTCATGCCTGTAATCCCAGCACTTTGGGAGGCCGAGGTGGGCGGATCACTTGAGATCAGGAGTTTGAGACCAGCCTGGCCAACATAGCGAAACCCCCATCTCTACTAAAAATACAAAAATTAGCTGGGTGTGGTGGCACGGGCCTGTAATCCCAGCTACTTGGGAAGCTGGGGCAGGAGGATCACATGAACCTGGGAGGCAGAGGTTGCAGTGAGCTGAGATCATGCCACTGCACTCCAGCCTGGGCAACAGAGTGAAACTTCGTCTCAAAAAAAAAAAAAAAAAAACAAACTGCACAGAATTTTAGGTTTTAGAAAACTTTGCTTGCCCAAGCTAGGTTCTGCATGCACACTACCTGTGATATCAGTTTGGTGAATGAAATCAATAACCTGGTTGAGGAGACAAAAAGACGTTTCTGAATCACCAACTAACCAACTAACAGAAGACAACTTGTGATGAATGGCACAGATGAGCATTGCTAGAGCAGCTCAGAGGTGGAAACTTGCTGAGAATGGGCTGGGCTTAGAGGGTGGAGTGTGAAGGCTTAGCTGAAGCAGCAAGATGGCACACATGGGGACCATGAAGAAGCTGGCCACGAGCAGTGCAGGGCCCAGGATGCTTGGCAGCCGCAAAACAGCTGAAAAAGGAGACAAAGGTCTTCATGTCTGGCACTGAGCTGGTTAGGTTTTCTTCTGTAGGCAGTGGGGAACCTTGGAAGGATTTTGAGGAGAGCACTGTGACTAAGACATTTCTGTTCTAGTGGCATTGTGGTGTAGTGAAAAGGTCACTGGGCTAGGAGTATGAAAACCTGGATTCTAGTCTGGCTCTGCCACTGCTTTGTGTTCTCAGGCATGTTTCTGCCCCTCTTCGAAGTTTAGTTTCCTCATCTATAAAGTGAGGATGATAATAATGTCTACCTCACAGGGTTGTTGTGAGGATTTACTCAGCACATTTTTTGGACTGCTTCCAAAATGCTAGACACTTATTGGGTGCTAGGGATACAGAGGTGAAGGAGACAGACTCTTGGACTCTCTTCCATGGAGCTTAATAAAATAATACATGTAGCTGGGCACAGTACCTGTAATCTCAGCACTTTGGGAGGCTGAGGCAGGAGGACCTCTTGAGGCCAGGAGTTTGAGTCCATCCTGGGCAAATACAGCAAGACCTCATCTCTACTAAAAATAAAAAACAATTAGCCAGTCATAGTGGCTTGCGCCTGTGGTCCCAGCTACTCCAGAGGCTAAGGCAGGAGGATTGCTTGAGCCCAGGAGTTCAGGGCTACAGTGAGCCACTACACTCCAGCCTGGGTGACAGAGTGAGACCCTGTCTCAAAAACAAATAAATAAAAAAGATAAAACATGTAAAAAGCTTGCTTAGCATAGTACGTATAGTAGAGATATTTAGGTGGTATATTTGAGAAATAAAAGGATTGAATACTTTCCATTATCTGCCCCTAAAGAATTAAGAGGTTCCTAAAATTCCTTTCAACCAGCTATTATCAGTCTTTTGTGATTTGTTTTTGTTGCTTGTTTAGAAATATATCCCTTGTTTTACCTCAGATCAAATACTGCTTTTGGAATAAGATCCGAACTTCTTAGTGGGGCATTCAGAGCCTTTTCAAGCTCTGGTTTTTTTTTTTGTTTGTTTGTTTGTTTTTTGAGACAAAGTCTCACTCTATCGCCAGGCTGGAGTGCAGTGGCACGATCTCCCTCAGTGAGCCGATTTCGGCTCACTACAACCTCCATGCCCCAGGTTCAAGCAATTCTCCTCACTCAGTCTCCCAAGTAGCTGGGATTACAGGCACCTGCCACCACACCCAGCTAATTTTTGTATTTTTAGTAGAGACAGGGTTTCCCCATGTTGACCAGGCTGGTCTCAAACTCCTGACCTCAAGTGATCTGGCCATCTTGGCCTCCTAAAGTGCTGGGATTACAGGCATGAGCCACCACATGTGGCTCAAGCTCTGATTCTAATCACCCTTTTTCTTTGTACCACATACTCTTCTTCCACATATCCTATGCCCTGGCAAATGAGGCAGTTTACTGCTCTGTGACTGCCTAATTCCCTGCTGCCTTTACACTCTTATTCCTTTCTCCTGGGATGTTCACCCTGAATTATCAACATGAGAATCAGTTGATTGTCAGAGCAAGGCTTAAAACTCTGGTTTTCGCGGGTCGTGGTGGCTCACACTTGTAATCCCAGCACTCTGGGAAGCTGAAGCGGGCGGATCATGAGGTCAGGAGTTCAAGACCAGCCTGGCCAATATAGTGAACCTGCATCTCTACTAAAAATCCAAAAACTTAGCCGGATGTGGTGGTGCGCACCTGTAGTCCCAGCTACTCAGGAGGCTGAGGCGGAAGAATCGCTTGAACCCGGGAGGTGGAGGTTGCAGCGAGCTGAGATCGCGCCATTGCACTCCAGCAGCCTGGGCGACAGAGTGAGATTCCGTCTAAAAAAGGCCGGGCGTGGTGGCTCATGCCTGTAATCCCAGCACTTTGGGAGGCTGAGGTGGACGGATCACCTGAGGTCAGGAGCTCAAGACCAGCCTGGCCAACGTGGTAAAACCCTGTCTCTACTAAAAATACAAAATTAGCTGGACATGGTGGCGCATGCCTGTAATCTCAGCTACTCAGGAGGCTGAGGCAGGAGAATCACTTGAACCTGGGAGGCGGAGGTTCCAGTGAGCCGAGATCATGCCACTGCACTCCAGCCTGGGCACCAAGAGTGAAACTCCATCTCAAAAAAAAAAAAAAACCTCTGGTTTTCTTTGTTGTTTATGCTCTCTGTAGTTTAGGGGTTAGAAATGGGGGAGGTATGTACCAAGAGTCTGTGGCTGTCCCAGAAGTGTGGATAGAAGTGTGATTACTGAAGTGCTTGCCAGCTTTTGCATTTAGTGATTCTATCCTCCTTTTTTTTTTTTTATTTAAATCTCATTCTGCTTTGATTTCCTTTGTACATATGACTTATAATCCCCATTAGAAATTGAGCTCATGGTGGCAGGGGTTGTATATGTCTTTTTTTTTTTTTTTTTTTTTTTTTTGAGACAGTGTTTCGCTCTTGTTGCCCAGGCTGGAGTGTGATGGCGCTATCTTGGCTTACTGCAACCTCCGCCTCCCGGGTTCAAGCGATTCTTCTGCCTCAGCCTCCCGAGTAGCTGAGATTACAGGCATGCATCACACCTGGCTAATTTTTTATTTTTAGTAGAGACGGGGTTTTTCCATGTTGGTCAGGCTGGTCTTGAACTCCCGACCTCAGGTGATCTGCCTGTCTCAGCCTCCCAAAGTGCTGGGATTACAGACGTGAGCCACCACGCCCGGCCTATATATGTCTTAATTCATCTTTGACTACCTTCCCCCTGTAGGCTGCTGTCTTCGTGGTGCCTAACAAATGTTTGAATAGGCAGCAAATAACTGCAGATTTCTTTTTTCTTTTTCTTTTTTTTTTGAGACGGAGTCTCGCTGTGTCGCCCAGGCTGGAGTGCAGTGGCGGGATCTCGGCTCACTGCAAGCTCCGCCTCCTGGGTTCACGCCATTCTCCTGCCTCAGGCTCCTGAGTAGCTGGGATTACAGGTGCACGCTGCCACACCCAGCCAACTTTTTGTATTTTAGTAGAGACAGGGGTTTCACCGTGTTGCCCAGGCTGGCCTTGAACTCCTGAGGTCAGGTAATCCGCCCACCTCGGCCTCCCAAAGTGCTGGGGTTACAGGCGTGAGCCACCGCACCCAGTCCTGCAGGTTTCATCTCTAGGCAGTAAAGCCCTCACCCTAGAGTACATGCTTCAGCTCTGTCACATTTTGAAATACAAAGTTGGGACAAATTTAATATGTCTGAACCTGTTGTAAAGCTATCCTGGTGAAGTTTGAGTTGTTCCTGGAGAATTGCAGGACTCTGATGATGTAAACTTAGAATTGTGACCTCATTGCAGGCATCAACAGGAAATAGGTAAGGCATGGGCAGGAAGCCGTAACTGGGGAAGTTTCTGGGCCCAGAAGAAAATGTAGGTAGTCTTAGGGTTAGGTAGCAGCTGTCAGGAACTTGCCCCTGCCCATAAGATCCTAAAGGGCCCCCATTTGACTCTCACCAGACAGTTAGAACTTGTTTCCTCCTCCGTGTCAGCCATCAAGAGGTGCTTGGGGGGCTGTGCCCAGCAGGACCTCACTGCCCAGCAGATCAGCAGGGGAGCCAAGTGGCCTAGATCTGCTGTGGAGTACCCGACTGTTTGCCTGCCTGTCTGCCCTCCTCTTCACCTCATTCTCATCACTGACGTCTACCATTGGCTTGGAAATCAGAAACCCATATCCATCTAGATGGTAAACCATTATTAAGGAGTAACTATTTGTTTTATAGCTATTCATACTTAGTGGAACTTAAAGTTGGTAAAGTTTGAATTTAGGGGTACCCCTGTCTATAGAAATTTAATTTTTTCTATGTTGTTTTTTTGTTTGTTTGTTTGTTTTTTGTTTTTTGAGACAGAGTCTTGCTCTGTTGCCCAGGCTGGAGGGCAGTGGCTCAATCTCAGCTCAATGCAACCTCCGCCTCCTGGATTCCAGCAATTCTCCCGCCTCAGCCTCGGGGGGGCCAGGCACAGTGGCTCACACCTGTAATCCCAGCACTTTAGGAGGCCGAGGTGGGGAGATCACCTGAGGCCAGGAGTTTGAGACCATCCTGGCCAACATGGTGAAACCCTGTCTCTACTGGAAATACAAAAATTAGCTGGGCGTGGTGGCGCATGCCTGTAGTCCCAGCTACTCAGGAGGCTGAGGCAGGAGAATTGCTTGGACCCAGGAGGCAGAGGTTGCATTGAACCAAGATCGCACCACTGCCCTCCAGCCTGGGCGACAGAGCGATACTCTGTCTCAAAAAAAAAAAAAAAGAAAAAATGTATTTGGATTGAACAATGTTGTTTCATTGAAACTTTTACTTGCTCCTTGCAGATTGATTTTGATGATGTGGCTGCAATAAACCCAGAACTCTTACAGCTTCTTCCCTTACATCCGAAGGACAATCTGCCCTTGCAGGAAAATGTAACAATCCAGGTAGGTGCCTGTCATCTGGCTGCAGCCAGTGCGCCAGAGAATTCACTTTGCTTATTGACTCTTTGCTGATTGATTGTCTGGCATTTTAGCATAGTACATGGGCCCAGGATGGGCCCTTGAGAATTGATAAGAGCCATATATTGTGACAATTTGATTTGTTTTTCAGAAACAAAAACGGAGATCCGTCAACTCCAAAATTCCTGCTCCAAAAGAAAGTAAGTGGATTTCTACTAGCTTACTATCATGGAATTTGTGTCAGGAATTATGTTTCTAGGACTCAGAGTTGTGGAAGCTCCTCTTTTGCAGGTGGTTTCTATGTGGGTTGAGTCCTGCCTGTGTTCCAAGCATCTTTCTCTATGAGAAAGAATCCAATCTACAGCTATCAGGCCAACCTTTAAGAGACCTGGTGCATTTAGGAAATTTGCTGCCTGGCCTAGAAACCTTTTCTGTAGAATCCAGAGCCTGATGCTGAGGAGAGTAGGAATCAGCCATTGGTAGGCCTTTTTTCTTCCCTCGGGGCTCAGCCCCCTCAGTGGAACAGTATGCCTTGGAAAGAGATTTTGAAAATGGGAGACACTAGGCCTGTGGGTTGTTTAGAAGTACAGTTGGTGGCGCTATAGAGAGGGATGGCTGGGGCTGGAGAGAATAACAGCATTGCCTCGTGGTCTAGGAGGTTGGGAGTCTCTCTGCAGAAGTAGTCTGTGAAAACCTACTTTGACAACATGATAGACTGTGACTCTAGGGGGTAAGCTTCCCAAAAGATCCAGCTTAAAGCCAGTTGTACCTTGAAGGCTGGTGACCTGCACAGCTCTCCAGGTCTAGGGGTCATCATTGCCCTGAAATGATTCAGCTACCTCAGGGACTCACAGAATACTTGGCTGGAGCTTCAGGTTCTGGGGGCCCTGAGTGGAAGGTGGTGCCATTGCAAGCTTGGGCCTGACTATTGTGGTGCTGGCCCTTTCTTGCTGGGTGTACCGTAAGGTCATGCAGGAGAGTTGGGACTCGCAGCAGTCCCATTCCGTGTTCATGTCCTCAAAGGATATTGCCCCAGCTTTGTTTTGTTTTGTTTTTCAAAGGCAGGGTCTCACTTGGTTGTCCATGCTGGAATACCATGATATGATCGTAGCTCACTGTAGCCTTGAACTCTTGGGCTCAGGCAATCCTCCCACCTCAGCCTCCCATGTAGCTGGGACTACAGGTGTGCCCCATCACACCTGGCTAATTTTTTTTTTTTTTTTTTTTGTAGAGACAAGGTCTCACTATGTTGCCTGGGCTGGTCTCAAACTCCTGGCCTCAAGTGATCCTCCTGCTTCAGCCTCCTAAAGTGCTAGGATTGCAGGCGCGAGCCACCATGCCCAGCCAATAGCTTTTTTTCTTTAGGATGGAGTCTCGCTTTGTTGCCTAAGCTGGTCTTGAACTCCTAGCTTCAAGCAGTCCTCCTGCCTCAGCCTCCCAAAGTGCTGGGACTACAGGCACACACCACCATGCCCAGCTACACAGCTCATTTTAATGGAAAAAAAAATCTTTAAGGCCCTGAGCAGTAGCTCATGCCTGTAATCCCAGCACTTTGAGGGGCCAAGGTGGGCAGATCACCTGAGGTCAGGAGTTCCAAGCCAGCCTGGTCAACATGGTGAAACCCTGTCTCTATTCAAAATACAAAAAACTGGCCGGGTGTGGTGGCTCACACCTGTAATCCCAGCATTTTAGGAGGCCAAGGCGGGTGGATCACCTGAGGTCAGGAGTTCAAGACTAGCCTGGCCAACATGGTGAAACCCCTGTCTCTACTAAAAATACAAAAATTAGCCAGGCGTGGTGGTGGGTGCCTGTAATCCCAGCTACTCAGGAAGCTGAGGCAGGAGAATCGTTTGAGCCCGGGGGGGCAGAGGTTGCAGTGAGCCGAGATCATGCCACTGTACTCCAGCCTGGGTGACAGAGTGAGACTCGGTCTCAAAAAAACAAAGAAAAAAAATTACAGATCATTTGGGGCTAGATGTGATGGCTCACACCTGTAAGCCCAGTGCTTTGGGATGTTGAGGCAGGAAGATGGCTTGAACCTAGGAGTTTGAGACCAGCCTGGGCAATATAGCAAGACTCAGTCTTATTATAAAAATAAAAAATAAAATAAAATCATTAGGGAAATAGGACGATTGTAAAAATTCAAAACATGGATTATATATAGCCATCAGCCTGAACTTATAATACTCAGAAACTGGGTAGAAGTTGGTTTTGGCAGAGGTTGCAGTGAGCCAAGATCATGCCACTGCACTCCAGCCTGGGTGGCAGTGTGAGACTCTGTCTCTCAAAAAAGATGGGCTGGGCACGGTGGTTCACACCTGTAATCCCAGCACTTTGGGAGGCCGAGGCGGGTGGATCACAAGGTCAAGAGATTGAGACCATGCTGGCCAACATGGTGAAACCCCGTCTGTACTAAAAAAAAAATACAAAAATTAGCTGGGTCTGGTGGTGCACACCTGTAGTTCCAGCTACTTGGGAGGCTGAGGCAGGAGAATTGCTTGAACCCAGGAGGTGGAGGTTGCAGTGAGCCGAGATCGCGCCACTGCACACCAGCCTGGGCAACAAGAGCGAAACTCCTCAAAAAAAAAAAAAAAAAAAAGATTCATAATACTTTTTCTCAAGGACTTAGATTAGGTCTCTCTCTCTCCAGAAATGTTTTCAGGATAGCTATAGGTTCCTGTACTTACTCAAGACAGCCGCTCTTTGTGGGAGATATCCTTGCCCTCAGGAGCTCCTAGATTTGCACAATGTGGACAAAGAGGTTTTGGGGTTACTGGTACTTGGTCTTTCTAATTTTTCCTTTCTAAGGAATATGGGAAGTTGGCGAGCCCCTTTCCTGGTAGCTGGGACCTATTTCACCTTGTACAGAAACTTGGAGGTTTGCCCCTGACCACCCTCGAGATCGTGCAGCACTGACTGGCTACTGCTCTCGGTTCTCCAGGTCTTCGAAGCCGCTCCACTCGCATGTCCACTGTCTCAGAGCTTCGCATCACGGCTCAGGAGAATGACATGGAGGTGGAGCTGCCTGCAGCTGCAAACTCCCGCAAGCAGTTTTCAGTTCCTCGTGAGTAACGAATGTGCCCCCAACCACCATGTTTGAGGCCCTGGAGCACATTGCTTGGTCCCTGTGCTAGAATATCCTGAGATTCATCCATTCCCCCAGCTTCAGAACTGGTCTGCTCCTGCCCTACCAACACGGCTTTCTTATTTGGAAATCATCTCTTTTTTAAAAAAACTTAATTGAAACATTACACACACATAAACACAGACATGAACACATAGCATTGAGTATTTAGTTCTGTGAATTTTTGTAAACTGAACACACTTATGTAACTAACATGATCAGAGCATTACCAGTACTTCAAATCGCCTGAGTTCAAGCCCTGTTTGTCACATGGGGGCATGTTTTCCTGTGGCCATGGAATCAGTCTTTTGGAAGAGGTGAAAGACTAGGCAGAAGCCCTCTGAGATAGTTGAGGAGTCTAAGGTCTAAGTACACAGAGCATTGAGTATATAGTTCAGTGAATTTTCATAAACAGAACACACTCATGTAACTAACATGATCAGAGCATTAACAGAACTTCAAAAGTCCCTGTTGGGCATATTTGCAGCTCCTAATTCCCCCAAGGGTACCCATAATCCTGACTTCTAATAGCATTAATTAGCTTTTTTTCTTTCTGTATTTTATTATTTATTTATTTATTTATTTATTGAGACAGAGTCTCACTCTTGTCACCCAGGCTGGAGTGCAATGGCGTGGTCTTGGCTTACTGCAACTTCCGCCTCCTAGGTTCAACCAGTTCTCCCACCTCAGCCTCCTGGGTAGCTGGGATTACAGGCATGTGCCACCACGCCCGGCTAATTTTTGTATTTTTAGTAGGGGTGGGGTATCGCCATGTTGGCCAGGCTGGTCTTGAACTCCTGGCCTCAAGTGATCCGCCCACCTCGGCTTCCCAAAGTTCTGGGATTACAGGCGTGAGCCACCTCGCCCAGCCCTCTTTTTGTACTTTTTTTTTTTTTTTTTTGAGACGGAATTTTGCTCTTGTTGCCCAGGCTGGAGGGCAATGACGCTATCTTGGCTAACCTCAATCTCTGCCTCCCGGGTTCAATTGATTCTTCTGCCTCAGCCTCCCGAGTAGGTGAGATTACAGGCATGTGCTACCATGCCAGGCTAATTTTGTCTTTTTAGTAGAGATGGGGTTTCTCCATGTTGGTCAGGCTGGTCTCGAACTCCTGACCTCATGTGATCTGCCCGCCTTGGCCTCTCAAAAGTTCTGGGATTACAGGCGTGAGCTACTGCACCCGGCCCTCTTTTTATACCTTTTTTTTTTTTTTTTTTGAGATGGAGTCTCGCTGTGTCGCCCAGGCTGGAGTGCTGTGGTGTGATCTCAGCTCACTGCAACCTCTGCCTCCCCTGTTCAAGCCATTCTCTTGGCTCAGCCTCCCGAGTAGCTAGGACTACAGGTGCACACCACCACACCTGGCTAATTTTTGTATTTTTAGTAGAGACAGGGTTTCACCATATTGGCCAGGCTGATCTCAAACTCCTGACCTCGTGATCCACCCACCTCGGCCTCCCAAGGTCCTGGGATTACAGGCTTGAGCCACTGCGCCCGGCCTATATTAAATTGAATTTTTTTTTTTTTTTTTTTTTTTGAGACAGAGTCTCGCTCTGTCGCCCAGGCTGGAGTGCAGTGCTGCGATCTCGGCTCACTGCAAGCTCTGCCTCCCGGGTTCATGCCATTCTCCCTCAGCCTGCAAGTAGCTGGGACTACAGCCGCCTGCCACCGCGCCCGGCTAATTTTTTGTATTTTTAGTAGAGACGGGGTTTCACTCTGTTAGCCAGGATGGTCTCGATCTCCTGACTTCGTGATCCGCCCGCCTCGGCCTCCCAAAGTGCTGGGATTACAGGCGTGAGCCACCGTGCCCGGCTATAAATTGAATTTTAAGATTTTTTAAGTGAGTCAGATGAGGTGTGGAAAATTAGTAAATATAAATAAAAATTTGTAATGTGAATTATTTGTCAGTCTTTAATAGATTATATAAATTAGATGCAAATTGTGTAAGACACACAACCATTATACTTTACATATATCAAATTCAGCTCTAATACGATGAAGGTAAATGAATGGGTCATGACCACGTATGGGAAGTAATGAGGTGTTGTGGATTGGACCTTTCTGTATTGAATCAATCTGGTTAGTTATTGCCCCAGTTCCCTGTCACCCTAGATTTTCAGTCTTTGCTCCTGTTAACCACCTGGGTTCCTGAGGCTTGAGAGAAGTCAGAAAGGCCTGGCTTTTCTCCCTAAGACCAGACCTGGCCTGGCCTGAGAACCCATGCTTGGGTGAAGTCTAAAGAGTTCACGCTCTCAGAGGCTTTTCCCTTCATGTCAAAGCCCATACTGAACTGTTCACATACCCTTTAAGATATTTTGACCCCAGGAGCCAGCCCTTGCAGAAAGGGTGAGAGTGTGGGCTGAGGTGAAGGGAAAAGCACAAGCTCTGCACATACTGTAAGCCTTACCGAGCAGGCAGGTCGCTCTCCCGGCCCATAACCAGGGCCATGGGCTCAGGTGAGATGCCTGTGGTATACTTGCCTGCTTCTCCAGTGACTCTTGTTCCCCTACAGCTGCCCCCACTAGGCCTTCCTGCCCTGCAGTGGCTGAAATACCATTGAGGATGGTCAGCGAGGAGATGGAAGAGCAAGTCCATTCCATCCGAGGCAGCTCTTCTGCAAACCCTGTGAACTCAGGTAGACACACTGAGCTGTCTGCTGTTCTGCTTCTAGTGAGGCACAGATAGTTTACATCCTGTCCTAAACCTGGCCTACCTTGGCACCTGAGTTCAAGCCCTGTTTGTCACGTGGGGGCATGTTTTCCTCTGGCCATGGAATCAGTCTTTCATTATCAAGACAAAACAAGAACTGTTTCACTTCTGTGGTTGTTGAGAAAGTAGCCAAGATGCATAGGAAGAGCTTGGGTTAGAACTGGAGTGCAGTTATCACTATTTGACTTCATATTGGCCAGGCCACTACTTTGTGGACTTGTCCATCCCGAGAGTCACATCTATTACTTCTTTTTGCATATAGTGATTTAAGAGTAAGGATCTAGAGAAGGCCTCTCCCTGGGAAAGGCCCAGTACTCAGTAAATAGCCAGAGAAGAGTAGGCTGGCTTAAACTGGTAACAGAGTGGGCTTCCTTTTTTTTTCTTTTTTTTTTATGTTTTCATAGTTCGGAGGAAATCATGTCTTGTGAAGGAAGTGGAAAAAATGAAGAACAAGCGAGAAGAGAAGAAGGCCCAGAACTCTGAAATGAGAATGAAGAGAGCTCAGGTACCTTTCTTGGGAGACTAGGGTAAGGGTTTTTGGACAGGTGTCCTTAACCGAAACTCTACGGGCAACAGAGATACAGTTGGGCCCCAGCATTTCTGAGGCTCCAGTTCTTGAGGCCCCAATTCTTTTTTTTTTTTTTTTTTTTTTTTTTTGCTCTGTTGCCCTGGCTGGAGTGCAGTGGTGTGATCTCGGCTCACTGCAACCTCCACCTCTGGGTTCAAGTGATTCTTGGGCCTCAGCCTCCCAAGTAGCTGGGATTACAGGCATGTGCCGCTAATTTTTTGTATTTTTAGTAGAGACAGAGTTTCGCTATTTTGCCCAGGCTGGTCTGGAATGCTTGGCCTTCCAAAGTGCTGGGATTGTAGGCATGAGCTGTTGCGCCTGGCCTCTGACGCTCCAATTCTGATATCCAGGAAATTTAACTGGTTTATCAGGATTCAGAGAACAAATAATTCAGAAATGTTTCTGAAGGCCCTCAGATGAGGAACATTTCATGCTGACTGTCTAGTAAGCAAGCCCATCACATGCTCACATGGCGTGATGGCCAGAGGGGCTGCAGGGCACAATTGGTCTGCTCTCTCCTATCCTCCCCCAAGTTGTACGTATTTGGAGGGCAGGGACTGCAGTACAGTCCCCTTATTTGGGTTCATTGCTTCTGGGAAGCCCGATCTGCTGTGCCTCCTAAAATGTGGAACTGGCCCTAGTTCCAGTTCCTAGCGTGCTTTGGCGTATGCTTAGGCCCCTCTGCCAATCTCTTCCCCAGTGCTTTGTACCTGGCTTCTCAACCCAGAGCCAGGGCAGGGACTTTGACAACTATGAAGGGTGGTGAGCAAAGAGCTGTTGCTGCTGCCGCATAGGGGTCTGAGAGCACTTATATCTTAACAGTCTGCCCTTTTTCACTCTCGTCTCAAACCAGGAGTATGACAGTAGTTTTCCAAACTGGGAATTTGCCCGAATGATTAAAGAATTTCGGGCTACTTTGGAATGTCATCCACTTACTATGACTGATCCTGTAAGTACATCCAAAGAACTTCTCTTTCTTAAGTGTACAATTGAGAGACAGAAAACTTCTCTTTACAGGAATGAGGGCATGCAGGAATCTTTACTCACCTTTGAGGGTTTTATTATTATTTTTTTTTGAGATGGGGTCTCACTCTGTCACCCAGGCTGGAGTGCAGTGGTACGATCTTGGATCACTGCAACCTCCACTTCCCTGGGCTTGAGTGATCCTCCCCACCTCATCCTCCCAGGTAGCTGGGACCATAGATGCATTCCACCGCACCCTACTGATTTTTTGTATTTTTGGTAGAGACAGGGTTTCACCATGTTGCCCAGGCCAATCTGGAACTTCTGGGTTCAAGGAATCCGCCTACCTTGACTTCCCAAAGTGCTGGGATTACAGGTGTAAGCTACTGTGCCTGGCTGAGGTTATTTTATTTTACTTTTTTTTGAGACAGAGTCTCGCTCTGTCGCCCAGGCTGGAGTGCAATGGCATGGTCTTGGCTCACTGCAGCCTCCACCTCCCAGGTTTAAGTGATTCTCCTGCCTCAGCCTCCCCAGTAGCTGGGATTACAGGCATGTGCCACCACGCCTAGGTAATTTTTGTATTTTTAGTAGAGATGGGGTTTTACCATGTTGGTCAGGCTGGTGTCGAACTCCTGACCTCGTGATCTGCCCACCTCAGCCTCCCAAAGTGCTGGGATTACAGGCGTGAGCCACCATGCCCAGCCGAGGTTATTTTTTAATATCCTTTGGTGGGCTGAAGCTAGTGAGGCCCACATGGGGAGGGGTCTGATCTTTATAAACTGGGTTCCACCCCCATACCATAGGTTGGCTAGATTCCTGCATTAGTAAAAATCATGAAAGTAGTGCTGAAACTCTTGTAGGCAGCAGAGTGAGAAAAATGGGAACAAAATCCAGTGCTCCCTTCTTGTGCTCTGGAGTATCTAATGGAGGATGCAGGGGTCCTAGTGTTAGATCTTGGCCTCTGACTGGGCCAGACATGGGATTGGAAGGGGTGGGAGTTCTGGACAAGCTCGCTTTTGAAATTGCTCTGACCCTTTGCTGTTGGTTGCCTCCTCTCATCCGCTTGCAGATCGAAGAGCACAGAATATGTGTCTGTGTTAGGAAACGCCCACTGAATAAGCAAGGTAAGTCCTGTTCAGTCAGGAAGAGGCTTCAGACTGACTAATGGGCCTTCTGTTTCCAGGGAGCACCCCCTGAAATACTCTCCTTCTGCAGAATTGGCCAAGAAAGAAATTGATGTGATTTCCATTCCTAGCAAGTGTCTCCTCTTGGTACATGAACCCAAGTTGAAAGTGGACTTAACAAAGTATCTGGAGAACCAAGCATTCTGCTTTGACTTTGCATTTGATGAAACAGCTTCGAATGAAGTTGTCTACAGGTTAGTCCCTTGCATCCATTTTTCCCTCCTTGTGCCCTTCCATCCCCTTTTTTTGTGGGACATCGTGGTAACACTACTCACAGACGTGCTGAATTCTGAGGCTCTTCCTCGCTTCTTGTGTTTTCTTTGGGTCACACCCTTTGGCAGCTTAGTGGCCCATCCTTGAGTGGATACTGAATGAGGTATCACCCGTTACGTGCTGAGGCAGGGCTGGCCAGGCTCCAGGGGTTCTTCTGTGCCTTATGCAGCCACACCATTGCCCACTGGGGTTCACAGATTTGGGGAACTCCAGATCTGCTCTATCTGCTTTTTTTTTTTTTTTTTTTTTTTTTGAGACGGAGTTTTGCTCTTGTTGCCCAGACTGGAATGCAGGGGCACAATCTCGGCTCACTGCAACCTCCGCCTCCCAGGTTCCAGCGATTCTCTTGCCTCAGCCTCCCACATAGCTGGGATTACAGGCGCCTGCCATCACACCTGGCTAATTTTGTATTTTTAGTAGAAACAGGGTTTCGCCCTGTTGGTCAGGCTGGTCTCAAACTCCTGACCTCAGGTGATCCGCTCGCCTTGGCCTCCCAAAGTGCTGGGATTAAAGGTGTGAGCCACTGCACCTGGCCCCAGATCTGCTCTTTCTAATACAGCACCCAGTACCCTCATAGGGATATTTACTTATTTTATTTTTATTTATTTATTTGTTTTTTGAGACAGAGTCTCAGTCAGTTGCCCAGGCTGGAGTGCAGTGGCGAGATCTCAGCTCACTGCAACCCCCGCCTCCCAGGTTCAAGCAATTCTCCTGCCCCAGCCTCTCAAGTAGCTGGGATTACGGGCACGTGCCACCACACCTGGCTAATTTTTTGTATTTTTATTAGAGACAGTTTCACCATGTTGGTCAGGCTGGTCTCAAACTCCTGAGTTCAGGTGATCCACACACTTCGGCCTCCCAAAGTGCTGGGATTACAGGCGTGAGCCACTGTGCCCAGCCAGTAGTGTCTCTTCTGCTGGAAGCTGGATGCTGAGCTTAGGCTTTTATGCTGTGTCTCCAGGGTCAGAGGAAAGGTCAGATGGCTTAGAGTATGGGCCATCAGCTTGCTTCTGGTTAGTCGGCCCAGTGATCCCCCAACACCCATCCCACTGCCAGTTTGCTAGGAGTATTTCAGATTTGTAAAGTGGGGTTGGGGTCAGGTGGGACCACTGAGGCAGGAGAGGAGTGCTATTCTTAGAAGGAGGAATCGACCCTAGAACTCTGCAGTGGAAGGGTGGCAGGACATGTTCCAGGGAGCACAGTTTGGGAACAGATACAAATACTCTACCCCTCTTCTAGGTTCACAGCAAGGCCACTGGTACAGACAATCTTTGAAGGTGGAAAAGCAACTTGTTTTGCATATGGCCAGACAGGAAGTGGCAAGACACATGTGAGTATTGAGGCCTGGCGGGGAAAGAGCCTTTCCCTTGTGCACCCCTGGCTCCCTATAAAGGGAGACAATGAGTTTGTTGAGAAAGGCCCCTTGTTACAGATGCCCCATCACCAGATAGCCTTGCCATGTCAGATGCAGGGAGGGGCTTTAGGTCCAGCCTTCTGGCTTTGTTGTGGCCCACTGTAGTGAAGGAGCCAGTAGTGCTCTGCTCTAGGCCAACAGCCCTTTTCCATGGTCTTCTACCCCTTCCCTTTGCAGACTATGGGCGGAGACCTCTCTGGGAAAGCCCAGAATGCATCCAAAGGGATCTATGCCATGGCCTGTAAGTACTGTGTACTGCTGCTTCAGGGTTGGGCACAGAAAGGCAGGTTGTTTGCTTAGCAAAGTTCTCTCCCTCAGCCCGGGACGTCTTCCTCCTGAAGAATCAACCCTGCTACCGGAAGTTGGGCCTGGAAGTCTATGTGACATTCTTCGAGATCTACAATGGGAAGGTAGCTGGCAGGAAGCCCCTTGTTTACACTGTTGGGGCCCAGCACTTTTTAAAACCTTGAAGCTGGCTAGAAGTTGAGGCCAAAAACCTATTAGCTGATTAGCTGTCAAGCCACTGATGGGCCATTCTGCCCTGGCATACACATGTAGGTGGTTTAATCTGATGGTGAGATGGCACCTAAGTTCAAGAAGTATGGCAAGAATACTCCTCAGGGCGCCCTTTCAGGTGCAAGGTTTGCCTGTGTGTGTCCTGACCTCCCTCGGCCGACCTCCTTCATCCCTTCTTCCCCGATTGTGCACGTTCAGTCTCATATTCATTCTTTCCCTGCCCGCACCACCATATATCTCTTCCACCCCTCTCTCTATTCACTGTGTGCTTCTGCAGAGTTGCTTTCCTTAGAGTGGGATCTAGATAATAAAAATAGCTAATATTTATCATTAATAAGATATTAGGGGCCAGGCGTGATGGCTCACACCTGTAATCCCAGCACTTTGGGAGGCCGAGGCGGGCAGGTCACCTGAGGTCAGGAGTTTGAGACCAGCCTGGCTAACATGGTGAAACCCCATCTCTACTAAAAACACAAAAAATTAGCTGGGCATGGTTAGGGGCACCTGTAATCCCAGCTACTCGGGAGTCTGAGGCAGGAGAATCGCTTGAATCCAGGAGGCAGAGGTTGCAGTGAGCCGTGATCGCACCATTGCACTCCAGCCTGGGCGATACGAGCGAAACTCCGTCTCAAAATAATAATAATAATAAGATATTAGGAGCTATGCACTATTCTAAGCACTACCTGTCTCACCTTTACAGATGAGATGCAAGGCTAGAGTGGTTATTAACTTGCCCAGGCTCACACAGCTAGTAAGTTACCAGAGTCACAGCAAACTGAGGCAGTTCGGCTCAGATCCCAAGTATATTGACCTCTGCTAGGCTGACATCCATCAGTTCGTATTCTCTGCCTTTCCTGCTGCTGGCTCTTGTCCGAGCTGGGCAGGCTAGTAGGAGGAAGCAGTCGGGTGGGGTGCCGGGTGCCCAGTGGCCTTAGCCTCATTCCCCCTGCCTGGCACAGCTGTTTGACCTGCTCAACAAGAAGGCCAAGCTGCGCGTGCTGGAGGACGGCAAGCAACAGGTGCAAGTGGTGGGGCTGCAGGAGCATCTGGTTAACTCTGCTGATGATGTCATCAAGATGATCGACATGGGCAGCGCCTGCAGGTGAGAGTCCTGGTGAGGGGAAGGAGCGACCTTCTCATGTCTGGTTTATGAGTAAAGTCTAGCTCTGAGCACATTTCTGTTTACCCAGAGTGCTGCTTTGCCCAGTTTGGTAAGGGCTGCGAAGGCCTCTGCTTTACGGGGTCTCAATAAGACATATGACCCCAGGGCCAGAGGCTTATCAGAACCAAGTCAGGTCAGGCACAGTGGCTCACACCTATAATCTCAGCAGTTTGGGAAAATGAAGCAGGAGGATCACTTCAGGCCAGGAGTTAGAGGTTGCAGTGAGCTGTGATCGCACCACTGCACTCCAGTCTGCATGGGCAGAGCAAGATCCTGTCTCAAAAAAATAAAAATAAAAACAAGTCAAAGTGTTACCCCAAAGGCATGCTTCCTGGCTTCTTTGGGTTCTCCTTGCTCTTCCCTCCCTTTGTGGTGGAAGTCGGGAGCTCTGGGTCTGTTCTGGGCTGGAAGTAATGGGTTCATACCCCCTCTGCACAGAATTAGGGGAGCACTTTTCCACTAGGGCTGTAGACATTGGTACAGTGGGGCGCTACGCAGCTATAGAGGCCCAGGGAGGGGGCTGCCCTCTACAGGGTCCTCAAGTTCTGGCAGGTGGTTCATGACAGCTTCCCCCTTCCCTTTGGGCCCTTTAGCAGAGGGAATTTATCCTTCCCCGTGTCCTTCTAGGGCTCCAGGTCTGACAAAGGCCCTAGTCCAGAATCCAGTACTAATTTGGCTGCCAGGAAAATGTATTAGGTCCAGAGCTGGAGGGAGAATTGCTACCCAGGGAGGGCAAGATGGAAGCCTGGGACAGGAAAACAGGACTTTTTCGCCTCCTAACCTGTGTCCCTCCCTTCCTAGAGAACTTCTGTGGACTTGGGTGCCATGGGGGCTGGTGACCACAGAATCTCATAACCTTTCTTTACCACAGAACCTCTGGGCAGACATTTGCCAACTCCAATTCCTCCCGCTCCCACGCGTGCTTCCAAATTATTCTTCGAGCTAAAGGGAGAATGCATGGCAAGTTCTCTTTGGTAGATCTGGCAGGGAATGAGCGAGGCGCGGACACTTCCAGTGCTGACCGGCAGACCCGCATGGAGGGCGCAGAAATCAACAAGAGTCTCTTAGCCCTGAAGGTAGTGGGGCAGCTAGAGCTGGTTGGCCGGGAGAGCTACTGGGAAGGGATGGGGAGGGATCAGTGCAAGGAAAGAAGGGACCTCAGTTGTTCCTGCTGCCCCCACAGGAGTGCATCAGGGCCCTGGGACAGAACAAGGCTCACACCCCGTTCCGTGAGAGCAAGCTGACACAGGTGCTGAGGGACTCCTTCATTGGGGAGAACTCTAGGACTTGCATGGTGAGTAGGGTCACTTTGAAGGTGATGGTACAGGAGGAGACAGAGTTGCTTTCCACAGAGACACTTAGTCCTGTCCCTGGGCTGGAAGCTCAGCACTGCTGGCTGCCTGGGTTTCCAGGCTGTACCGTGACTGGGCTTCCAGACCCTGCTTTAATGCACGAGACTCCTTGTGGCCTAACCAAGCGTGGAGGAAAGGATCTATTCCCTTTAAGATGTGTAGGTGCAGCTCTTGGTTTGGGAGAGGTCATTCCTGCATTACCTGATGAAAAGGGGGTTCCAGAATTCGGAAGATGGGCCTTTGGGTCAGCAGGAGAGGGAAGTCCTTGTCTTTTCCATGGCCTCCCTCAGGTTCACTGGCTCCCAGCCTAGAAAATAGAAATAGCCTGGATCATAAGGCTGTGTCCTTGAATGACGTCCTCTTTCCTGTTTTATCCCCAAGCCCCTGTATGTGAGATCTGCCATCCTTCCCCTCAAGAGAATATTCTCCCCTACCCTTTGGGTAGGAGTCCTTTCATGAGGAAGGTGGGATTTTCTGACTAAGCTCTACCTAAGGCATTATCCTTTGGCCTAAGGGAACTGAAGTTTCCAGCAGAAGCCACAGAGCTTTAAGATAGGACCTTGGGCTGGGCGCGGTGGCTCACGCCTGTAATCCCAGCACTTTGGGAGGCCGAGAGGCAGGTGGATCACAAGGTCAGGAGATAGAGACCATCCTGGCTAACATGGTGAAACCCCATCTCTATTAAAAAATAAAAAAAATTAGCCAGGTGTGGTGGCAGGTGCCTGTAGTCCCAGCTACTCGGGAGGCTAAGGCAGGAGAATGGCGTGAACCTGGGAGGCAGAGCTTGCAGTGAGCTGAGATCGCACCACTGCACTCTGGTCTGGGCGACAGAGTGAGACTCCGTCTCAAAAAAAAAAAAGAAAAAAGAAAAAGATAGGACCTTGGTAGCAAGACTGTCTCAGTGAAGGAATAATGAAGCAAAAGATAATTAGATGTGTCTTTGAAAGCAGGAAACCAATGTCTGAGGCACCTTAATTTGCAGTGCCCATGGGGCAAGTGGCCTAGCACAGCGCGGTGCTAAATGACTCCTCCCACCAATACCATGTGGGTCTCCAAAGCTTGAAGAAACACCCTGACTGGAGGCCCCTCAGGGACAGGCTATATAGCATCCTCACCGTGCCTCTCAGCCTTTAATCACCCACCCCTCTTTTGCAGATTGCCACGATCTCACCAGGCATAAGCTCCTGTGAATATACTTTAAACACCCTGAGATATGCAGACAGGTACTAGTACCTACAGCTAGGTGGGATGCGGAACAGGACTGGGCAAGGGAAGGGCAGTGATGAGAGGGGAGGAGGCTCTGGGGCCTCAGGGCCTACTGTATACTCCTCTGTGACTCTGAACCTGAGGCTTGGGAGTTCCGCCGTGATGCTAGGTCTGTCCCAATCCTCTCCGGGCCCTGCTGGAGAGTCAGCTGGGTGAGGGGCTTTTCCAGTCCAGCTTTAGTTTTCTCTCTCCTTGGCTGAAGGCAAGGTTGCCATTCCATCCCCTTGGAGCCTCAAGCCTCGAAGCCTGGGCGGTGCCACATTCCTCTGGTGAGTACCAAGGGGGTGCTGTGGGATCTGAGACCTCCTTGTTTCCTCAGGGTCAAGGAGCTGAGCCCCCACAGTGGGCCCAGTGGAGAGCAGTTGATTCAAATGGAAACAGAAGAGATGGAAGCCTGCTCTAACGGGGCGCTGATTCCAGGCAATGTAAGGACCAGGATGCGGCCAAGCAAGACAGAAGTGTGGCCTGCTGAGGCGGCACCTGGGTCACATAATTGTCTTTCTTTTTGGCCCTCTCAGTTATCCAAGGAAGAGGAGGAACTGTCTTCCCAGATGTCCAGCTTTAACGAAGCCATGACTCAGATCAGGGAGCTGGAGGAGAAGGCTATGGAAGAGCTCAAGGAGATCATACAGGTAGGCAGCTGGCCCTGGACAGGGAGCTGGATGCAGCACGGCCCTCAGTATGCTCCACACCATTCCCAGAACATGACCTGGGCCTTGTTCCCACAGGTATTCACATAGCAAGAAGCAGCCCTCTACACCAGCACTCTTTAATTCTTTGCCTGTTAACCCAGCTGTTCTTCTAATTATCACAACCCCTTCTGCAGGTTGGCACACATAGGCTTTCTGACATCACACTAGCCAGAGCTAGTCTCTCCTCCACGCTCCTGATAGAGGATTTGAAGGGTGATCCATATGCAGGGATCTTGTCTTGTGTTTTGGTGAATGTTGCAACTCTTGTGCTGAATCCAAGGGCCAAAAAACATGAAGTATAGGTAATAGGCCCTAAGGGTATGACTTGAGATCAATCCTGTCTCTTCCATTCACAAACTGATTTCCTTGTGAAATTCATTTAGCCTCACTGGGCCTCAGTTTTTGCATCTCTGAAATGGTCAAGGTAGGATGGTTGTATTTGAGCGTTCAGTAATATGCTTATAAAGTGTCAGCACAGTACCCAGTGTGTGGTCAGGGTTCAGTAACTGGTAGGTGCCCCTGCTACTGTAATCCCTACTGTGGAAGAGCAAGTGACTGGGAGGCAGGAATTTACGTCCCAATGGTGGGGCGCTCAGAGGATTGCAGAGCAGGAAGGAAGAACTTGGGGCAGGTGTAACTGAGGAGGGACTGTGAAGGGTAAGTGCTCAGGCCTCTCCTCCCCTTCCTGGAGTGCTCAGGGGTACAGAGTTTTGTAAGCACATGGCACTTTCAGGATGAATGAGAGGCTCACCGTGGTCAGAGCAAAAGGAGTGAACAGGTGATGGAGGGTAGTTAAGGCTGTGGACAGGTCAACAGGGATCTGATGCTAGAGTCTTCTAGATGGTTCATCTCACAGGCCTGGACTGCATCATGAGGAAGCCTTTGGAGGGTGTTAAGCAGAGTGGTGACATGGGCATGTCAGAGCTTTAGATATATCATATGGCCACCATGTGGAGCCTGGTTTGGGGGCTTGAGAAAAGCAAAGGTAGAGGCAGTTAGGAGATTGTTGGAAAGGGTTCAAGAAAAACTATTGCCAGCCAGGCGCGGTGGCTCATGCCTGTAATCCCAACACGTTGGGAGGCCGAGGCGGGTGGATCATGAGGTCAGGAGTTCGAGACCAGCCTGGCCAACGTGGCGAAACCCCATGTCTACTAAATACAAAAAATTAGCCGAGTATGGTGGCGGGCGCCTGTAATCTCAGCTACTTGGGAGGCTGAGGCAGGAGAATTACTTGAACCAGGGAGGCAAAGGTTGTAGTGAGTCAAGATCGTGCCACTGCACTCTAGCCTGGGTGACAGAGCAAGACTCCATCTCAGAAAAAAAAAAAGAGAAACTAGTGCCTAGACCAAACTGTGTCCGTGTTCATGGGATTGGAATGAGGACATGAGATTCATGAACCATTTAGATATACAAGCATGAAAATCTTACAAGGTACCCCCCAAAATATGTACTCTCTCTCTATATATATATGTTTTTGAGACAGAGTCTCACTCGTCACCCAGGCTGGAGTTTAGTGGTGCAATCTTGGCTCACTGCAGCCTCCGCCTCCTGGGTTCAAGCGATTCTCCTTCCTCAGCCTCCTGCGTACCTGGGATTACAGGTGCGTGCCACCATGCCTGGCTAATTTTTTGTATTTTTAGTAGAGATGGGGTTTTACCATGTTGGCCAGGCTGGTCTTGAACTCCTGATCTTAAGTGATCCGCCTGCCTCAGCCTCCCAAAGTGCTGGGATTACAGGTGTGAGCCACCATGCCCAGCCTATATATCTGGTTGGTTTTTGTTTGTTTGTTTGTTTGTTTGTTTTGGGGGGGGATGGAGTTTCGCTTTTGTCCCCCAGGCTGGAGTGCAACGGCACCATCTCGGCTCACCACAACCTCCACCTCCCAGGTTCAAGCAATTCTCCTGCCTCAGCCTCCCAAGTAGCTGGGATTACAGGCATGTGCCACCACGCCCAGCTAATTTTGTATTTTTAGTAGAGACGGGATTTCTCCATGTTGGTCAGGCTGGTCTCGAACTCCCTACCTCAGGTGATCCTCCCGCCCCGACCTCCCAAAGTGCTGGGATTACAGGCGTGAGCCACCACGCCCAGTCGTATATCTATTATTTAAAAAGAATCATTTGACCGGGCGCAATGGCTCACGCCTGTAATCCTGTCACTTTGGGAGGCTGAGGCGGCCACATCAACTAAGGTCGGGAGTTTGAAACCAGCCTGGCCAACATGGTGAAACCCCGTCTCTACTAAAAATACAAAAATTAGCCAGGCATGGTGGCAGGCATCTGTTATCCCAGCTACTTGGGAGGCTGAGGCAGGAGAATCACTTGAGCCCAGGAGGCGAAGGTTATAGTGAGCCGAGATGGTGCCACTGCACTCCAGCCTGGGCAACAGAGCAAGACTGTCTCAAAAATAAAATAAAATAATCATTTGGCCAGGTGCAGTGAGTCATGCCTGTAATCCCAACACTTTGGGAGGTCAAGGAAGGAAGATCACTTGAGCTCAGGAGTTCGAGACCAGCCTGGGTAACATGGCCCCATCTCTACAAAAAATAAAAATAAATAAATATCCCAAAGGTGGTGTGTGCAGCAAAAATTATAATAAAAAGAACTGAGGGTAGGGATAGCATTAGGAGATATACCCAATGTAAATGACAAGTTAATGGGTGCAGCACACCAACATAGTTCATGTATACATATGTAACAAACCTGCACGTTGTGCACATGTACCCTAGAACTTAAAGTATAATAATAAAAAAAGAAAGAAAGAAAGAAAAAAACCATTTAGGGAGCAGAATTGAGGAGGATTTGGTGACAAGTACGGTGAAAGAATAAAGTCACTCGGGCTGGGCGCGGTGGCTTATGCCTATAATCCCAGCACTTTGGGAGGCCAAGGCAGGCAGATCACAAGGTCAGGAGATCAAGACCATCCTGGCCAACATAGTGAAACCCTGTCTCTACTAAAAAATAAAAAAAAATAGCCTGGTGTGGTGGCGCGTACCTGTAGTCTCAGCTACTCGGGAGGCTGAGTTGTATACCTATTATTTAAAAAGAATCATTTGACCGGGCGTGATGGCTCACGCCTGTAATCCTAGCACTTTAGGAGGCTGATGCAGGCAGATCAACTAAGGTCGGGAATTTGAGACCAGCCTGGCTAACAAGGTGAAATCTTGTCTCTACTAAAAATACAAAAATTAGCCAGGCATGGTGGCAGGCACCTGTAATCCCAGCTACTTGGGAGGCTGAGGCAGGAGAATCACTTGAACCCGGGAGGCGGAGGTTGCAGTGAGCCGAGATCACGCCACTGCACTCCAACCTGGCGACAGAGCAAGACTCCGTCTTAAAGAAAAAATAAATAAATAAATAAATTAGCTGGCTATGGTGGTGTGTGCCTGTAGTCCCAGCTACTCGGGAGGCTGAGACAGGAGAATCACTTAAACCTGGGAGGCGGAGGTTGCAGTGAGCCAGGATCGCACACCACTTCACTCCAGCCTGGGTGACAGAGTGAGACTCCATCTCAAAAAACAATAAAAATAAAATCACTCAAATTTCTAGCTTGGGCATCAGGACCAATGATGTTATTCATTTGACATAAGAGATGGGGATAAGCTTGGGATAGGAGGCCGGAAGTGGTGGCTCAAGCCTGTAATCCCAGCACTTTGAGAGGCCGAGGCCTGCGGATCACCTGAGGTCGAGAGTTCGAGATCAGCCTGGCCAACATGGAGAAACCCCGTCTCTACTAAAAATACAAAATTAGCTGGGCGTGGTAGCACTTGCCTGTAATCCCAGCTACTTGGGAGGCTGAAGCAGGAGAATCCCTTAAACTCGGGGGGTGGAGGCTATGGTGAGCCGAGATCACGCCATTGCACTCCAGCCTGGGCAACAAGAGTGAAACTGTCTCAAAAAAGAAACAAAGAAAACGAAAAAAACAAGCTTGGGGTAGGAAGAGGGTGAATTCAAGCTAAGGATTTCCTTGGGGAGAGGGTGAACAGCCAGGGTATGGGTCAGGGACCAGAGGTAAAGCATCTTACTCAGGTGTCTGCATTGCAGTTGGTAGGACCCCAGGAATGATTTGCTAAATGGTTATTGAACTGACAAGGTCCTCCCTGTGTTGTAGCAAGGACCAGACTGGCTTGAGCTCTCTGAGATGACCGAGCAGCCAGACTATGACCTGGAGACCTTTGTGAACAAAGCGGAATCTGCTCTGGCCCAGCAAGCCAAGCATTTCTCAGCCCTGCGAGGTGGGTGTGGCTGGATGGGGTGCAGGTGGACGATGGTGGCCTCTGCTGGCTCTTGGGCAGCTGCAGGTGATGGCAGCTCTGCCCTGAGTGAATGGGGGCTCCTCAGACTCTCACTAACCCCATATGTACCGCTACCCTTTCTTCCAGATGTCATCAAGGCCTTGCGCCTGGCCATGCAGCTGGAAGAGCAGGCTAGCAGACAAATAAGCAGCAAGAAACGGCCCCAGTGACGACTGCAAATAAAAATCTGTTTGGTTTGACACCCAGCCTCTTCCCTGGCCCTCCCCAGAGAACTTTGGGTACCTGGTGGGTCTAGGCAGGGTCTGAGCTGGGACAGGTTCTGGTAAATGCCAAGTATGGGGGCATCTGGGCCCAGGGCAGCTGGGGAGGGGGTCAGAGTGACATGGGACACTCCTTTTCTGTTCCTCAGTTGTCGCCCTCACGAGAGGAAGGAGCTCTTAGTTACCCTTTTGTGTTGCCCTTCTTTCCATCAAGGGGAATGTTCTCAGCATAGAGCTTTCTCCGCAGCATCCTGCCTGCGTGGACTGGCTGCTAATGGAGAGCTCCCTGGGGTTGTCCTGGCTCTGGGGAGAGAGACGGAGCCTTTAGTACAGCTATCTGCTGGCTCTAAACCTTCTACGCCTTTGGGCCGAGCACTGAATGTCTTGTACTTTAAAAAAATGTTTCTGAGACCTCTTTCTACTTTACTGTCTCCCTAGAGATCCTAGAGGATCCCTACTGTTTTCTGTTTTATGTGTTTATACATTGTATGTAACAATAAAGAGAAAAAATAAATCAGCTGTTTAAGTGTGTGGAAAGGGCCTGGGATGTGTCTGAGCCTTTTGGGACTAAGGACATGACTGTACCTTTGGCCTCTGGGTAGTACTGATTCTGTACTCCTTCCAGGAGGCCATATCCACACCTACAATTCCAATGACAAGCTGAAGACTCCTGTGACTTGTTTGATGTCTATGAGATGCTTACTAGGCCTGGGAACAGAAACTCTTAAGTAGAAGGAAGATGGCCGCCGGGCACGGTGGCCCACGCCTATAATCCCAGCACTTTGGAAGGCCAAGGCGGGCAGATCGCAAGGTCAGGAATTCAAGACCAGCCTGGCCAACATGGTGAAACCCCATCTCTACTAAAAATACAAAAATTAGCTGGGCATGGTACATGGTGGCACGCACCTATAGTTCTAGCTACTCAGGAGGCTGAGGCAGGAGAATTGCTTGAACCCGGGAGGCGGAGGCGGCAGTGAGCCGAGACTGTGCCACAGCACTCCAGCCTGGGAGACAGAGTAAGGCTGTCTCAAAAAAAAAGGCCAGGTGTAGTGGCTAACACCTGTAATCCCAGCACTTTGGGAGGCCGAGGCAGGTGGATCACCTGAGGTCAGGAATTGGAGACCAACATGGTGAAACCCCGTCTCTACTAAAAATCCAAAAAATTAGCCGGCCGTGGTGGCGCATGCCTGTAATCCTAGGAGGCGGAGGTTGCGGTGAGCGAAGATCGCGCCATTGCACTCCAGCCTAGGCAACAAGAGCGAAACTCCGTGTTAAAAAAAAAAGAAGATGGCACCCTATTACAGTCAGCCCAGGGCCTGTTAAAAGATTCTGTGGGGTTGAGGCCAGGAGTCCCCCTGACTGAGGGCTCCCTGAACACACATTTGCTTAAAACCTTTTAGTGATACCTCATTACCATTCACACAAAGGCTGATGAAAGCACTTAACTTGCTGGACAGGGAAGGATCCAAAGGGAAACACCAATTTGGTCTTGAAAAAAAGTCTGTCCAGTGGACTGAGGGCCCAGTCATAGGGCATGAACAGTTTAGGAACTGGAGAACTCTATATTCCATGTCATTGAGCATGGATTATCTGAATGGTAATGAGGTGCCACTAAAAGGTTTAACCTAGGAACCATACAAGCAAATGTGTGGGAAGCCCTCAGTCACAGAGACTCCTGGCCTCAAGCAATCCTCCTACCTCGGCCTCCCAAAGTGCTGGGATTACAGGCATGAGCCACTGCACTATGCCAGCAGTTCACTTTTATTTCTAGTTTGAGTCTTTTAATCGCCAAAGGGTATTGGATTTTGTCAAATGCTTTTTCTGTGTTTTGAAGTGATCAGGTGGTTTTGTTTCTTCCTTTACTCCATTTGTTTCTTCCTTTACTCCTTTACTCCATTAATATGGTACATTAAACCTGGGAAAACCAAGCAAATACAATGTGGTGAGTAGAACAATAATTTGCTCGAATATTTAGTGCCATTTAAATATTTATTGAGTGAGGCCGAGGCGGGCAGATGGCTTGAGCTCAGGAGTTCAAGACCATCCTGGGCAACAAAATGAGACTCAGTCTCAGCTGGGTGCTGTGGCTCATGCCTATAACCCCAGCACTTTGGGAGGCCAAGATGGGCAGAAAACAAGGCCAGAGTTGGAGACCAGCCTGGCCAACCTGGTGAAACCCTGTCTCTACAAAAATGAGCTGAGTGCTGTGGCTCACACCTATAATCCCAGCACTTTGGGAGGCCAAGATGGGCGGAAAACGAGGCCAGATTGGAGACCAGCCTGGCCAACCTGGTGAAACCCTGTCTCTACAAAAATGAGCTGGGCGTGGTGGCGCATGCTTATAATCCCAGCTACTCGGGAGGCTGAGGCAGAAGAACCGCTTGAACCCAGGAGGCAGAGGCTGCAGTGAGCTGAGGTCGCACCACTGCACTCCAGCCTGGGCAACAGAGCAAGGCTCTGTCTCAAAAAAAAAAAAAAAAAAAAGACCCAATCTCTACAGAAAATACAAAAAGGAGCCAGGCGTGGTGGCATGTGCCTGTGGTCCCAGTTCCTTGGTAGGGTAAGGTGGGAGGATGGCTTATGCCTGGGAGGCAGAGGTTACAATGAGCCGAGATTGCGCCATTGCACTCCAGCCTGGGCAACAGAACCAGTCCCTGTATCAAAAAAAAAAAAAGAAAAAGGCTGGGCACGGTTGGTCACACCTGTAATCCCAGCACTTTGGGAGGCCGAGGCGGGCAGATCACAAGGTCAGGAGATCAAGACCATCCTGGCTAACATGGTAAAACCCCGTCTCTACTAAAAATACAAAAAAAAAAAAAAAAAAATTAGCCAGGAGTGGTGGCAGGCGCCTGTAGTCCCAGCTACTCAGGAGACTGAGGCAGGAGAGTGGTGTGAACCCGGGAGGCAGAGCTTGCAGTGAGCTGAGATTGTGCCACTGCACTCCAGCCTGGGCGACAGAGCAAGATTCTGTCTCCAAAAAAAATAAAATTATTGAGTACTTATTAAATAGCAAGCATTATTCTATGTATAGGTGTTAGAAATATGGCAGTGAATAAGACTAAGTTTCTACCCTTATGCACATAGTATTTCAGTGGAGAAGACAGATAATGTGCATGTAAACAAATGATAGGTAGTAAGTGGGTAGAGAAAGATGAGAGAGTGTTGCTGCTTTAGAAAGCAGACTCAGAACTGTGGCCTGAGCAGTATAATGAGACCCTGTGTCTAAAATTAAAAAAAAAAAAAGGCCGGGCGTGGTGGCTCAAGCCTGAAATCCCAGCACTTTGGGAGGCCGAGGCAGGCTGATCATGAGGTCAGGAGATCGAGACCATCTTGGCTAACACGGTGAAACCCCATCTCTACTAAAAATACAAAAAATTAGCCAGGCGTGGTTTTGGGCACCTGTAGTCCCAGCTACTCAGGAGGCTGAGGCAGGAGAACGGCATGAACCCGGGAGGCAGAGCTTGCAGTGAGGCAAGATCGCACCACTGCAGCCTGGGCAACAGAGTGAGACTCCGTCTCAAAAAAAAAAAAAGAAAACACTACCCTTCTGCTCTACATTCCTTTCCAGCCAACAACCTAATTCTCTCTTTCCCCTTTAAAGTCATACCTCTCAAAATAATTGTCTACATACATTGGATTTTTTAACTTCCCATTCTATTTCAAGTTTTTTCCCACTGTACTGTACAGAAACTGCTCTCGCCAATATCACCAAGGACTTTCGGGTTACTAAATCCAATAATCACCTTTTTTTTTTTCTTTGAGACGGAGTTTTGCTCCTGTCGTCCAGGCTAGAGTGCAGTGGAGTGATCTCGGCTCACTGCAACCTCTGCCCCCCAGGTTCAAGCGATTCTCCTGCCTCAGCCTCCAGAGTAGCTGGGACTATAGGTGTCCACCACTGCACCCAGGTAATTTTTGTATTTTTAGTAGAGATGGGGTTTCGCCATGTTGGCCAGGCTGGTCTCGAACTTCTAACCTCAGGTGATCCACCCCCTTGGCATCCCCAAGTGCTGGATTACAGGCGTGAGCCACCGCACTGGCCTAATAATCACTTTTTAGTCTCATTTTAACTAGCATTCACAGCAGCATTAAGCTACGGCAGCACCCTGTGTTGGCTTTCCTCTAGTCACTCTAATTTCTCTTTCTGTGTCCTTTGCCAGCTATCTTTCTCTATCTGGCCTTGAAATGACAACATTCCTTTGTTTTTTTGCGGGGTGGGTATGGAGTTTCGCTCTTGTTGCCCAGGCTGGAGTGCAATGGTGCGATCTCAGCTCACTGCAACCTCTGCCTCCTGGGTTCAAGCGATTCTCCTGCCTCAGCCTCCTGAGTTGCTGGGATTACAGGCGTGTGCCACCACGCCTGGTTAATTTTGTTATTTTTAGTAGAGACGGGGTTTTGCCGTGTTAGTCAGACTGGTCTCAAACTCCTGACCGCAGGTGATCTGCCCATTTTGGCCTCCCAAAGTGCTGAGATTACAGTCGTGAGCCACCGCACCCAGCCGAAATGTAGATATTCCTAAAGCCTTGGACCTATGTTTTTTCTTGTATTTTTTTCTTTCTTTTTTTTTTTTTTTAATAGGCAGCTGGAGAGGCTGCTTAGGTCAATTATTTTCTTTTTTCTTTTCTTTTTTTTTTTTTTTTGAGACAGGGTCTTGCTCTGTTGCCCAGGCTGGAGTGCAGTGGCATGATCATAGCTCACTGTGACCCTGAATTGCAGGCTCAAGCAATCCTACAGCCTCAACCTCCCGGGCAGCTAGGACTACAGGCACATACCACCATGCCTGGCTCCTACATATTTTTTTTTTTGAGATGGAGTCTCGCTCTGTCGCCAGGCTGGAGTGTGACGGCGTGGTCTTGGCTCACTGCAACCTCCGCCTCCCGGGTTCAAGCGATTCTCCTGCCTCCCAAGTAGCTGGGACTAAGGTGCGCACCACCACACCCAGCTAATTTTTGGTTTGTTTTTTTTTTTTTTTTGAGACGGAGTCTCTCTCTGTCGCCCAGGCTGGAGTGCAGTGGCGCTATCTTGGCTCACTGCAAGCTCCGCCTCCTGGGTTCACGCCATTCTCCTGCCTCAGCCTCCCGAGTAGCTGGGACTACAGGTGTCCGCCACCACGCCTGGCTAATTTTTTGTATTTTTAGTAGAGATGGGGTTTCACCGTGTTAGCCAGGATGGTCTTGATCTCCTGACCTCGTGATCTGCCCGCCTCAGCCTCCCAAAGTGCTGGGATTACAGGCGTGAGCCACCGCGCCCGGCCTAATTTTTGTATTTTTAATAGAGACGGGGTTTCAACATGTTGGCCAGGATGGTCTTGATCTCTTGACCTCGTGATACACTTGCCTCAGCCTCCCGACATGCTGGCATTACAGGCGTGAGCCACCACCCCGGCCTCCTACATATTCTTTATAAGAAATGTTAAACACTATACTTTAGGGATCATTTCTATAGTTTGTTGCTAGGGAAGTTTCTCTGAACATGTACAGCACTGCACAAAAATCAAATCAAAATGGATTAAAGACTTAAATCTAAGACCTCAAACTATGAAACTATGAAACTACTACAAGAAAACACTGGGGGAAATCTCCAGGATATTGGTCTGGGCAAAAATTCCTTGAACAATACCCCATAAGCACAGGCAACCAAAGCAAAAAATGGACAAATGGGATCACATCAAGTTAAAAAGCTTCTGCACACCAAAGGATACAATCAACAAAGTAAAGAGACAACCCACAGAATGGGAGAAAATATTTGCAAACTACCCATCTGGCAAGGGATTAACAACCAGAATATTTAAGGAGCTCAGCTCTAAGCAGGAAAAAACTAATAATCTGATCAAAAAATGGGCAAAAGATTTGAATAGACATTTCTCAAAAGAAGACATACAGATGGCAAACAGGCATATGTAAGGTGCTCAACATCACTGATCATCAGAGAAATGCAAATCAAAACTACCATATCATCTCACCCCAGTTCAAATGGCTTATTTCTAAAACACAGGCAATCACAAATGCTGGCGAGGATGTGGAGAGAAGGGAACGCTCGTACACTGTTGTTGGGAATGTAAATTAGTACAACCACCATGGAGAACAGTTTGGAGGTTCCTGCACTGCTGGGTATATACTCAAAAGAAAGGAAATCAGGTTGGGCGCGGTGGCTCACTCCTGTAATCCCAGCACTTTGGGAGGCGTAGGCGGGCAGATCACTTGAGGTCAGGAGTTCAAGACCAGCCTGGCCAACATGGTGAAACCCCATCTGTACTACAAATACAAAAATTTGCTGGCATGGTGGCCCATGCCTGTAACCCTAGCTACTTGGCAAGCTGAGGCAGGAGAATTGCTTGAACCCAGGAGATGAAGGTTGCAGCGAGCCAACATCGCACCACTGCACTCCAGCCTGGGCAACAGAGCGAGACTGTCTCAAAAAAAATTAAAATTAAAGTTAAAAAAGACGAATGGCGCCAGGTGTGGTTGCTCACGCCTGTAATCCTAGCACTTTGGGAGGCTGAGGTGGGCAGATCACCTGAGGTCAAGAGTTCGAGACCAGCCTGGCCAACATGGTGAAACCCCATCTCTACTAAAAATACAAAAATTAGCCAAGCATGGTGGCGCATGCCTGTAATCCCAACTACTCAGGAGGCTGAGGCAGGAGAATTGCTTGAACCTGGGAGGCAGAGGTTGCAGTGAGCTGAGATCATGCCACTGCACTGCAGCCTGGGTGACAGAGCAAGACTCCGTCTCAAAAGAAAAAAAAAGATGAATGGATAAAATGTGGTACATATGTACAATGGATTACTATTCAGCCATAAAAAAGAATGAGATCCCGTCATTTGCAACATCATGGGTAGAACTGAAGGTCATTATGTTAAGTGAAATAAGCTGGGCACAGAAAAACACACTTATGCAAAGAGAATCGCATGTTCTCACTTATTTGTGGGATCTAAAAATCAAAACAATTGAACTCATGGTCCTAGAGAGTAGAAGGATGGTTACCAGAGGCTAGAAAGGGTAGTGGGAGGGTAGGGGGAAGTGGGGATGGTGGGGATGGCTAATGGGTACAAAAATAAAATATCATCATAAATAAGACCTACTATTTGATAGCAAAACAGGGTGACTATAATCAATAATAACTTGTGTATTTTATTTTTTTGAGACAGAGTTTTACTCCATCACCCAGGCTGGAGTGAGTGCATTGGTGCCATCTCGGCTCACTGGAACCTCCACCTCCCGGTTCAAGTGATTCTCCTTCTTCAGCCTCCAGACGGAGTTGCTGGAATTACAGGCGCCCGCCACCACGCCCGGCTAATTTTGTTTTGTTTGTTTGTTTTGTTTTGAGACGGAGTTTCGCTCTGTCGCCAGACTGGAGTGCAGTGGTGCGATCTCGGCTCACTGCAACCTCCAGCTCCCTGGTTCAAGCGATTCTCCTGCCTCAGCCTCCCTGAGTAGCTGGGATTACAGGTGTGCGTCACCATGCTCAACTAAATTTTGTATTTTTTTAGTAGACACGCGGTTTCACCATGTTGGCCAGGCTGGTCTCGAACTCCTGACCTCGTGATCCGCCCGCCTCCGCCTCCCAAAAGTGCTGAGATTACAGGCGTGAGCCACCGCGCCAGGCCTAAAAATTTTTTTTAATTAAAAAATAGATATCCTTCTAGCTCAGAAAAGTTAGCTGATCCCTCCTTTATACTCTCTTCCTAAGTTCCGTTCATTCTGGTGGCTTTAATTACCATTTATAAGCCAACGATTCCCAAAATAACATCTTCGGTGCAGATCCCTTATAAGGATGACCAGTCATTAATATTCAGCTTCCTATCTGTTAGTCCCACTCAACATGACTTAGCAAGATCTCAAAATGAACGTGTCCAGAACAGCTCCTACCTTAGCCTACCCCATCTCAGTAAATGGCCCCAATATTTATCCGATTGATCAAGTGACAATCTTAGGAATCCTTGACACCGCCCTCTCCCTCAATCCCCATGTCCAATCTACCACCAAACCCTTCAAAACAAAACCCAAGTCCACACTCGTTTCCAATTCCATTGCCTTCCACTCTTTTTCAACGCAGCCGCACCCACATCTCATCCTAAACGACCGCAGCAGCCTCTGAAACTAGTCTAAACACGCCCAGATCTGCCGACGCCGCAGACCCCCTTCCCCCAGCCCAGGGTCGGAGGCGAGTCGCCGGGGGTCGGCAGAGGTCAGCAGCCTGCGAGACCCTCCTAGGCTCGTGGCCCTAGGCGCGGCAGCTGACACGTAAGTCTCGTCGCCCGACGTTGTTTCGGCGCTCAGAAACAACGTAAAGTAAAGGGGCGGGGCAGCGTTTTACAAACCGAACCGTGAATCTTTGCGGTTTCTCTTTCCAGCCAGCGCCGAGCGATGGGTGAGTGTCGCTCTGCATTGAGGCGGGTGAAGGGAGGTTGAGCTCAATCAGGCCCCATCCTGCTTCACAGCCTACTGAGGAGTCCAGACGCCCCGACCCCCGGCCAGGGACAGCCACGAGGAGTGGTGGCCCTCGGGTTTCGGCCGCCCAGCCCGTCTCTGGGGGCTGCGAAGGCTCTGGGCTCCGGGTTCCGGGCCGCGGGCTGCGGGCTCCGAGCGGCGCCAACATGGCTGCCGCGAGGAGGAGGCCCCGGCCTGGCCGCACGTGTATGATGACAACTCGGTAATGCTGCATACTCCCGAGTGCGCGGTGGGGAAGCCAACCTTGGAGAGCTGAGCGTGCGACCGGCCCGGCGCGGGGGTCTCCGGGAGCTGGCGAGTCGCTAGCACCGAGTCACAGTGGCTCAAGCTTCCTTCCCCGCTTCCACATGCAGGCATCTCTCGGGACAACTGGCACAAGCGCCGCAAAACCGGGGGCAAGAGAAAGCCCTACCACAAGAAGCGGAAGTATGAGTTGGGGCGCCCAGCTGCCAACACCAAGGTGGGTGCGAGCGTGGGCCTGTCCGCCTGGGAGGTCGCCTTCCCCCGCTCTCCAGCGTGCTCGGGTCTTTCCGTGTGACAGTTGTGCGTTCTTTCTTGGGCTCTGATTTCTCTGTAGTAGGGCCTGGGTGTCCTGTCCCCCTTTAGCTGTTGGATAAGTAAGTACCAAAGAGGGAATGCTCCCTCAGGCCCCCAAACCTGGAGCTTAGGATTTCAGAGAGAAGGATACTGTGTGGGGACTTGAGCTTCTGGAGAGGGTGGCGCCTCGCGTCATAGTCAGAAGCCTAGTCTTGTTTTTTTTACAGAGGCTTAATTTTCAGCATTTGGGGTCAGGCTTTCCTCTTGGAGGCAAGTAGGGTGATGAAAAAGAATCCTTAGGCGTGGTTGTGGCCGTCTTGGTCACCTGTGTGCCACTTGCCAATGCAAGGACTTGTCATAGTTACACTGACTGTTGCCTCCTCCCGGCCCAGGTTCCTCTCCCTCACTTGCCTTGCTCTCCTTGGTAACCTAGTTCCTGTAACCTTGTGTTTTCCAGATTGGCCCCCGCCGCATCCACACAGTCCGTGTGCGGGGAGGTAACAAGAAATACCGTGCCCTGAGGTTGGACGTGGGGAATTTCTCCTGGGGCTCAGAGTGTGAGTGAGGCCCTTTGGGAGTGGGTGGGAAAACGCACCTAAACGGTCTTAAGATTCACCAAGTGGGCCTGGCGCGGTGGCTCACGCCTATAAGCCCAGCACGTTGGGAGGCCGAGGCGGGCGGATCACCTGAGGTCAGGAGTTCGAGTCCAGCCTGGGCAACAGAGCGAGACTCTCAGTAAAAAAAAAGATTCAAGTGCTTTTAGCAAGTAGTCTGTGGCTTAGACCAAGGCATTTGAAGTTTCTCCTTGCTGAAAGATCTTAAGGTAGCTGGGGAGTTCTCTCCACCCAGGCTGTCCTGCTCCAATCTCTTTTTTTGAGATTGGGTCTCTGTTGCTCAGGCTGGAGTGCCAGTGGCGTGATCTTGGTTCACTGCAGCCTCCGCCTCCTGGGTTGAAGTGATTCTCCTGCCTCAGCCTCCCAAGAAGCTGGGATTACAGGCGTGTGCCATCACACCCGGCTGCTTCTGTATTTTTAGTAGAGACGGGGTTTCACCATGTTGGCCAGGCTGGTCTCAAATTCTTGGCTTTAAGTGATCCACCCGCCTTGACCTCCCAAAGTGCTGGGGTTACGGGCGTGAGTCACCGTGCCCGACCTGCTCTGATCTTTCTGAACTCTGCAGCCTGAGAGATTGGGGCTGGTAAAGACTGCGGGTTGCCAAACATAACTAGAAACGTGGGTTAGGGGGTTGTGGAAGACGAACTGATGCCCCATGGCTTGTAAAGGCTGAGAGTTCCCTTATTTCTCCTTAAGGCCTCATGGGGCTGAAGAACCTGGAGGAGTGTGCCAGGGCCATTTGTCCTCCAGTTTACTTGATGCCAAATTTCTCCTGTGAGCAGGTTGTACTCGTAAAACAAGGATCATCGATGTTGTCTACAATGCATCTAATAACGAGCTGGTTCGTACCAAGACCCTGGTGAAGAATTGCATCGTGCTCATCGACAGCACACCGTACCGACAGTGGTACGAGTCCCACTATGCGCTGCCCCTGGGCCGCAAGAAGGGAGCCAAGCTGGTGCGTGTTACTTCCCTGTAGGGGTTGTGGGGAGGGCAGCCTGACTCCAGCCTTCTCGTGATGAAAACTCTGTCCAGTTCTGCTACTGAAGGGAGAGAGATGAGAGCCTTTTAGGCTGAGGAAGGCCAGCACTGGGGTGTGCAGGGTTCGAGAAAGCTCCCAGGGCCTGCCTTCCTTCCCTGAGCTCATATATTTGTATCCCCTTTTCAGACTCCTGAGGAAGAAGAGATTTTAAACAAAAAACGATCTAAAAAAATTCAGAAGAAATATGATGAAAGGAAAAAGAATGCCAAAATCAGCAGTCTCCTGGAGGAGCAGTTCCAGCAGGGCAAGCTTCTTGGTGAGAAGGCTGTTGTGTTGGAGGTGGGGAGTCGCAGAGATTGAGTGTGCCGAGGCACTTTTCCCTTGTCTCAGTTCCTTTGACTGCCAGCCATGCAGTCTAAAGGGTTCACTGATAACAGGCTGCGAGCACAAAGGGGAACGTTTGGTCACCCTATTCGTATGAAGCTGAAATGGGAAGCATTGGGTAGAAGAGTCTGCATAGGCCCGTGCTTGGAGTCTTTGTATTTGGGGAAGTCTCTGCCCAGGCTGAGGGGGCTGTCTCAGTGATGAAAACTTTGTCCAGTTCTGCTACTGACAGTAAGTGAAGATAAAGTGTGTCTGAGGAGACAGCTGGCTTCATGCTTGCCCCCAGGGTACCTGAACCCACAGAGATTCTTAAGCGGGTGGAGAGGTTTGGGTAGGGCCACCTTGTCGTTGTGCTAAGGATCACCTACTCTCTTGCAGCGTGCATCGCTTCAAGGCCGGGACAGTGTGGCCGAGCAGATGGCTATGTGCTAGAGGGCAAAGAGTTGGAGTTCTATCTTAGGAAAATCAAGGCCCGCAAAGGCAAATAAATCCTTGTTTTGTCTTCACCCATGTAATAAAGGTGTTTATTGTTTTGTTCCCACATTTATGTTGCCTGAATATATGACTGTTTTCTCTGCTTTATTTCCTTGCCCTGCAAAACTGATCTGGGTGGGTGGCTGCAACCCCTTGCCTTAACCTCTGCCTCCTACTGTCCTGAGCCAGGCTCACCACACTGTAAAGTCCCTGTTCTCAACTCCATGTCCCTGAAGGCCAGATTTATTATGTGGGCTATGTCTATAGTGGGAACATTTCTCACCACATTTTGGTGGGGATAGGGATGTGGCAGAGGCTATGAGGGGGTATCCCAACCTTGGGGTTCAGTAATATTGTGCTGGCTGAGTCATGATTAGAATCTCAGGCTATATTGCTTATAAAAAATTTTAAGGATCTTGTACCCATTGTAAGATTAACAGTGATTTCTGCCTTGCTTGGTCTCCAAGGGTCACTTCTTTGACTTAAACTTGCCCTGTCAAACACTTATCTTTAGTCCTGACCTGCCTGACATCTGCACTTGGATTTTTTTTTTTTTTCTTTTTTTGAGACAGTCTCTGTCACCCAGGCTGGAGTGCAGTGGCATGATCATGGTTCACTGCAGCCTTTACATCGGGGCTCAAGTAATACTGCCTCAGCCTGCCAAGTAGCTGAGACAATAGGCACTACACCCCTTTTTGTTTTGTTTTTGAGACAAAGTTTTGCTCTTGTTGCCCAGGCTGGAGTGCAATGGCGTGATCTCGCCTCACCGCAACCTCTGCCTCCTGGGTTCAAGGGATTCTCTTGCCTCAGCCTCCCGAGCAGCTGGGGTTACAGGCATGCGCCACCACACCTAGCTAATTTTGTATTTTTAGTAGAGACAGGGTTTTTCCCTGTTGGTCAGGCTGGTGTTGAACTCCTGACCTCAGATGATCTGCCTGCCTTGGCCTCCCAAAGTGCTGGGATTACGGGCGTGAGCCACCATGCCTGGCCTATACCCATTTTTTTAAATTATTTTTTTTGGTAGAGACAGGGTCTCACTTCATTGCCCAGGTCTTGAAATCTTGGGCTCAAGCAATCTTACCACCTTTGCCTCCCAAAGCGCTAGGTTTCAGGCATAAGCCACCACACCCAGCTTTGCACTTGGGTTTTTTGTTTTTCGAGACAGAGTCTGGCTCTGTTGCCCAGGCTGGAGTGCAATGGCGGGATCTTGGCTCACCACAACCTCCACCTCCCAGGTTCAAGCGATTGTCCTGCCTCAGCCTCCCAAGTAGCTGGGATTACAGGCGTGCACCATCATGCCCAGATAATGTATTTGTAGTAGAAACGGGGTTTCTCCATGTTGGTCAGGCTGGTCTCGAACTCCCATCCTCACGTGATCTGCCCACCTCGGCCTTCCGAAGTGCTGGGATTACAGGTGTGAGCCACCGCACCCGGCCTGCTTTTTGGGTTTTTTTAGATAGTCACTCCGTTGCCTAGACTGGATTACAGTGGTGTGCAATCTCAGCACACTGCAACCTCCGCCTCCTGGGTTCAAGCAATTCTCATGCCTCAGCCTCCTGAGCGGCTGGAATTACTAGGTGTGCACTGCCATGCCCAGCTCACTTTTTTTTTTTGTCCTTGAGGCATTTTATTTGTAAATATATGTATTACATCCCTAGAAAAAGAATCCCTGGATTTTCCCTCCTGTGTGTTTTCGTCTTGCTTCATGGTCCATGATGCCAGCTGAGGTTGTCAGTACAATGAAATCAAACTGGCGGGATGGAAGCAGATTATTCTGCCATTTTTCCAGATCTTTGAGTTGCACATCAAATCTGGGGCTGATCGCTCCACACTTGTTTAGCCTGCCTGTGAGGTTCACAACAATTTTCCCAGCTCTGTGATCATCAGTGATTTCAAATTCGCCAATGTAACCATGCTTCATCATCACAGTGAGAAACTGGACGATGACTTTGGAGCATGGCCTAAGAAGCACCTGGCGTTTGCCTCTCTTTTCGGCATTGTTGATGCTCTTGAGAGCATCTGCCAGGGCATTCATGCGCACCATTGTGACGGCGTGGAAAGATGGCGGAAAGAGGACGGGAGGGGAGAGCGCACGGAGTTATGGGCCACTTTTTGTATTTTTAGTAGAGAGGGTTTCACTGTTGGCTAGGGTGGTCTCCAACTCCTGTCCTCAAGTGATCCACCCGCCTTGGCCTACCAAAGTGCTGGGATTATAGACATGAGCCACTCGCCCAGCTTTGTGCTTGGATATTTTAATAGGGCTCCCAAAGGCCAGCATTTTCAAAACTGAGCTCTTGTCTGCCCCCACCTGCCATGTTCCTCAGTTTCAAGAGTCAGGATCTCACACTAGGCTGGAGTGCAGCGGATCGATCATTGTTCACTGCAGCCTCAATCTACTGAGTAGCTGGGACTACAGCTGTGGTGCAGGGCCCAGAATAATCATTTTATTTTTTTGTAGAGATGGGGTTTCTTGTTGCCCAGGCTAATCCTGAGCTCCTGGCCTCAAGCAATGCTCCTGCCTTGGCCTTCCAAAGTGTTGGGATTACACATGTGAGGTACTGCACCCCACCAAGATTATATTTTTAATGCAACAGCTTCCTATCTCATCAATGAAAATCCTTACCAAGTATTATGACTTGATGTGACCTAGCTCCTTCTATAGTGACTCCCTCCATCAACCACACAACCATCCTAGTTTACTGAACATACATGTACACATGCTATTCCCTTTGTTAGGCACGCTCCTTCAAATATCCACTTGGGGCTGGACACTGGGCATGGTGGCTCATGCCTGTAATCCCAGCACTTTGGGAGGCAGAGGCCAAGGCAGGAGGATTGCTTGAGGCTGGGAGATTGAGACCAACCTGGGCAACAAAGTGAGACCCTGTTTCTACAAAAAAAACCCCACATGGTTCATTCCCTCCAGGTCTTTGCTATGCCATCCTAGTGAATTCTTGCCGGATCACAATATTCTAAGTTGCAGTCGCCCCTCTGAACTGTCTTACACTTCGCCTGTTTTTTCTCTTTATTCCTTAATCTGACAAAGTTTGCTCTTTTCCCTTTGGAATGGTACTCCAGGGAAACAAGGATATTTGTTTCCTGCTGTGTCTCTGGCACCTGGAAAAGTGTATGGACATATACTGGGTACTCAAATATATGCAAGATTAATTGGGAAAAAAGTCTTGAGACTTTATTAAATTTGAAGTTTGGCCAGGCATTGTGGCTTACGCCTGTAATCCCAGCACTTTGGGAGGCCGAGGCAGGTGGATCACTTGAGGTCAGGAGTTCAAAAACCAGCCTGGCCAACATGGTGAAACCCCATCTCTACTAAACATACAAAAAATTAGCAGGGTGTGGTGGCATGTGCCTGTAATCCCAGCTACTTGAGAGGCTGAGGCATGAGAATCTCTTGAACCTGGGGAGGTGGAGGTTGCAGTGAGCCAAGATCTGTCCATAAAACCAGTGGGTTCTTTCTCTAAAGTCTTGAAATCCATCCATTCTCCATTTCTACCACCTTCACAGATGACCGTTCTCACCATGGAACAAGGCTTGTAAAAGCTGCAGAAAAAAAAAAAAAAACCTCAAATACCTCGTGAATGAATGGCCATCATTGTGGGGTGCTACTGTCTCCACATTATAGATTTGGAAACTGAGGCTTAGAAATATTCACTATTGGCTAGACGCGGTGGCTTACGCCTGTAATTCCAGCACTTTGGGAGGCTGAGGCGGGTGGATCACCTGAGGTAAGGAGTTAAAGACCAGCCTGGACAACGTGGTGACACCCCGGTCTCTACTAAAAATACAAAAAATTAGCCGGGCGTGGTGGTGGACACCTGTAATCCCAGCTACTCGGGAGGCTGAGGCAGGAGAATTGCTTGAACCCAGGCGGTGGAGGTTGCAGTGAGCCGAGATCAGGCCATTGCACTCCAGCCTGGGTGACAGTGCAAGATTCCGTCTCAAATAAATAAATAAATAAATAAATAAATAAATAAATAAATAAGAAATATTCACTATCCCATGGACATACAGATGGAAAGAAGCAAAGCCAGCATTAGAATCCAGTCAACTGACCCTGCCAGAGGCTGGAGTCTACTCACTGCACTCTAGTGTCCCCCCTCTGTCTTCCTCCTCTGTTCTGGCATTTATCCTGTGGCCTTAATATTCAGTTTTGGCCTTCACTGATTTCTTTAGGTGAAGACTGGGATTTAAAAAGCAAGAATCGTATAGGAGCATAGTTTTATCACAATTCCAATGTAGTGCTCTGTGGCAGACTGTTTCCAGAAGACTTTTTTTTTTTTTGGAGACAGAGCCTGGCTCTGTAACCGAGAGCTAGAGTGCAGTAGAGTGATCTTGGCTCACTGCAACCTCCGCTTCCCAGATTCAAGCAATTCTTGTGCCTCAGCCTCCCAAGAAGCTGGGATTACAGGCATCCACCACCACACCCAGCTAATTTTTGTATTTTTAGTAGAGATGCGGTTTCACCACGTTGGCCAGGCTGGTCTTTAACTCCTGGCCTCTGGGGATCTGCCCACCTTGGCCTCCCAAAGTGCTGGGATTACAGGCGTGAGCCACTGTGCCCAGCCACAGAAGGCTCTTTACTTACATCAGCCGAGTGCCCCCAGCGCTGCAGGCCCACCATGGAGATGGGCCTAGGCTTCTACCCGTAAACTGTACTTTTTCCCCCTGTGTGGTTGGTGGCAGTGGAGAAGAGCTTGGCACACAAGTCCAAATGCTAGGTCTAGGGTGGGTGGTGGATGGCTGCCTTCACATCTGACTTTAATCAGCCTCCAAGACAGATTCCCAAACCCTTCCTTCATCTTCATCCTACTGCATGCATGCCAATTCAATTTTAAACAATTATAACTGCACAAGTAATAAATATATTCTCAATATAAACAAAAACTAAACAACACTTAAACAAAAACTTGAATATATTCTCAATGTAAACAAAAACTTTAACATTACAAACAAGGCAAAAGTCCCCCAGCACACACTGACCCTTCTTTTGAGTAAGGTTACCAGGGTAAGGTATACCCCTTCAAGCACGTTTCACATGACTCTCAAATTGTGTTTCCTGGACAAGCAGCACAGCATCACCTGGGAACTTGTTAGAAATGCAAGTTATTGGGCGCCATCCCAAATCTAACGTGCCAGAAATGCTGGGAGTGGTGCCCAGCACTCTTTTGACAAGACCTTCCGTGATGCTGATCCTTCCTTAAGTTTGAGAACCAATGGCCTAGCTCCCTGTTGCTGTGAAGCTAACCGTGCACCTGGGCTCTAGTCCTCTATGCCTGGGCTCATTTATTTTTCTAGCTTCACGTCCCCCAAGCAACCGACCTTCTCTCCCACCAAAGTGGACACATTCCCAGCCCTGGCTCAGGCCCTTTTCGCCATCTTCTCTTTCAAGTTCTGTCCCTAAATGCTCTGGCCTTCAAGGCACACAGGAAAAGCTGCTCTAATAGAGCTGGCTGGCAGGACCGGGCACGGGAGGGAAGGAGGGCAGTGGGTGGGGGAAACCGGGCGGGGGCAGGCGAGACCTCAGGGCTCCAGGGCCTCGTCCCCGGACTCCGCCGATTCCTCCTCGATGCGGGCTGCGGCCTCGGGGTCGCCGCCCTCCTCCGCCCGGAAGCGCAGCAGATGCGGGGGGCGGGGGGTGCCTCGCACGCGGCCGAAGTTCCGGAGGCTGATGGCCGGGGAGGGCGCCCCTACGCCCAGGAAGCGGCCGAGCAACGGGGTCTGCGCGGCGGGCGCGGGCCGACCAGATCCGGGGGACGCCTCCACCTGCAGGCTCTGCTCAGGGTCGTCGCTCATGCTGCGGGCGGGAGGGCGGGCTGAGCCGGGGCACAGGGCGGGAGCGGGGACGCGGGATCGGCTCTCGGGGAAGGACCGAGGCATCGGTGCCCCAGAGGCTGAGCGAGGACCCGCGTGCCGGGTCAGGCCCAGTGCAAGCCACTCACCGCAGGTTGAAGGTGGAGCCCAGGAATGAGGGCCGCAGAGACTCGGCCGCCGTGGCCACAGTGTAGGGTGGCTGCGGCTGGTCCTCATCCCAGTACTGGTCCTTCTCAGCGGGGGGAAGGTTCTGGTACATTTCGTCCACGGATAGCAGGGACACCTGGGCCACCAGCAAGTTACAAGGATCCTCCTCTCCTCTCCTTCCCACGGCCGGGCTGAGAGCTGACCGGGAGAGGGGGCCCAGGAGCTGCCCTGGACTCCTGATCCTGATGCTTGCTCACCTGCAAGTTGCGGTCTATGAGCTGATTTGTCTCAAAGTCGTCATCATCCTCACCAAATGGGTTGATGATCTGTTCAGCCACCTATAGGTGGCAGAGACAGGGTTTTCTGGGTTCAGAGCCCCACTCTTTTTCCCCAAAGTCGGGGCAGCCCCTCTGCCCACATCTCCACAGAGCAGGCTGGCATGCCCATCTGCAGTGCCCACCTTGAGCCAGCCAGCATAGAAGAAGAACTGCAGCAGAGTGGTGAGAGGCACGTACATGTCCGGGTCTCCCAGGGCTGGGGCTGGCTCCTGGCCTGGCTTCAGAAGCTTCTGAGGTTTGGCAGCCCCTGCCTCTGGCTCCACAAACTGGCGGCCAACCAGGGAGAGGGCAAAGAAAGAGTAGACGGCTATGGTCACCACCTGGAGAATGAAGAGCCAGGCTCAGTGCAGGATGCAGCGGGCCAAGGAGAAATGCTGCCCCTGCCTCTGAGGATCTATGGGAAGTCTGACAAGTAATCAAACATGTATCCTGGTGTGGCAGTACCAGTGGGGACAGGGTCACCTTGTTGGGGGTGGTGGGGGGCTTTTAGGATGAACCCGGTGCCTCAGGGGACTGAAATGGCCAGGCAAGTACCATCGCTAATTCTTCTCATCTCACACACAGCACAGGACATACAGTAGGCACTGGGACTCGGGAGGGGAGAGGCAGTTACTTGGGTGTAGACGAGGGGGATGCTGATCCAGTCATAGTGGAATAGCATGCTGCACTTGGCTCGGTACTTGTTCAGCTCCTGGGGGAACAGCAGGAACAGGAAGTCAGCAGAGGTGAGGAAGGAACAGGGGTGCCCAGCACAAACTAGGCCTGGGCCTGGCCAGGAGGCTCTTTCTCATTCTGCCCTCAGAGGTGTATTAAGATGGGGTGCTTGAATCCCAGCTCTGCTAACTAGCTGTGTAACTTAGGCAAATTTCTTTTCTACTCTGTGCCTCAGTTTCCACATCTGTGCAAGGAGGATGATAGTACCTATGTCAAGAGTTGCTGTAAGGGATGAATGAGTTAACATGGGTACAGGGCTTCCAAAAGGCTGGGGTACACAGCTGATGCCATACAACTGTTAGGTATTAAAATTATTATTCATCTTTAAAATTAGAGGGAGGAGGGCAGATGGGTCTGGTCCTGAGCCCACTCACTTCCAAAAGTAGACAGAGAGCGATATCGTCACGTATTCGCCCGTCCCTCCGGGCCTGGGCCGCCAGGTTGGTGAACCAGACGCAGGGGACCCAGTACTTGTTGAAGTCGGATTTCAGGCTCTCAAACTTTTTCCTCTCTTCCTGGGACATGAAACCTGAGGGGGTAAAGCAGGTGGGGTGCAGTTGCACCCTCTGCCGCCAGGGGAGGCTGCTGTTCCGCCGTCTGGCTCCCCTCCCTCGCGTCCACCGGCTGTCCCAGGACTCGCGGTTCCGCGTTCCTGTCGCAGTCCAGACCCTTCCCTGGAGGCCCCTGCTCCCAGGACTCTCCCAGGCGCCACCTGCATCCGGCTGTGGGCCGGACCCCCAGAGGCTCCCGGCGGGCGGCGCACCTGCGTCCACCACGTGCTCCATGGTGGGGAAGCGCTTAAGCACGCGGGTGCTGACCGAGCGCAGCACCAGCACGGACGCCAGGTTCGCGTAGCGGATGAGGGTGCGGCGCAGCAGGCGGCCCCGCTGGTCCACGCCGTGCACGCTAGCCGAGATGACGCACATCAGCTGGTCTGGCAGCGGGATGCTTGTGTACTGGGACCACCAGCGGTTCACCACGAGAGTCACATAGAAACCTGCTTGGCCGCCGTGATAGAGGGAGTAGGAAGGGAGAGTGGAGAGCCTGGGGGTCGGAGCGCCTCACCTCCCCCAGCAAAGGGCCTGGTCCAGGCCAGTTGAATCGTGGCAGGGGGAAGGAAACATTCAGCTCCAGTGCCCTGCTGTGCGAGGCCAGGAGGAGGGAGGAGGGCAAACTTCCTTCAGCAGAGGGAAAGTGGGGATTCAAAGCCAGGAGACTGCTTCCCAGGAGGGTGGGGAAGGGGTTGTCACCTCTGTCCAGCTCCCCTGCAGTGCCCAGGGTGGGCTTGTGAGGCCAGCAGGTGTCTTGTGCCTTGCTGGAAGTGAGGGTCCGGCAAGTGATAGGGCCCTGCCCTCTGGAAGTCCTGGACCCAGCACCCAGCTCCTGTGCCTGCTGGGCCTGCTCTGGCTGACCAGGAAGGCTCTGCCACCGTGTTGAGTAATTCTTTTTTTTTTTTTTTTTTTTTTTAGCAGAGTCTCGCTACATTGCCCAGGCTGGACTGGAACTCCTGGGCTCAAGCGATCCTCTCACCTCAGCCTCTCGAGTAGCTGAGACTGCAGGTGTGTCACCACACCATCTGTTGGGTAATTCTGACCCTCGGAGCTGTCAACCCAACCCAGAGGTCAGGGAACACAGTAAGGGGGACACAGGGAAAACTAGAAGGGAGCCTTACCCAATACAAAGGACAAGGGAATGAGGTCTGCTGAGCGGTTGCAGTACCGGGCCACCTGAGCATACACGTACCTCTGCTCCTGGGTCAGCAGCAGCCTGGGGAAGGCAGGTGTAGGCTTGGGTTAGAGGGAGGTGGGTGGCCCAGTCTCCCCACTTGCGCCAGCTCTAAGACCCTGCCCTTACCGGTAGGTGATGCTAAGCACAGCGTACAAGGCCCCAAAGAGGAGGAATTCCTTGTAGAGGAGCTTGTAGATGCTTCCCCTCCAGCGGAGAAGCAGGCCAGAGAAACCTCCGAAGCGGGCCTCCGCCACTTTGAGAGTGTATGAAACCGTCATGGTGCTGGGAGCCTGGGGCAGGAGGTCACAAGAGTTGCCCCCAGGGCTGTCGTTTAGTTCTCCAGACAACCTCCCTTCCACTCTGGTCTCACACACCCCAGCCTTCACCCTGCGTCAGTGGACAAGGGGGTAGGAGCCTGCAGAGCAGAAAAGTACACCCCACCCCCTGCAGAACTGAGCAGTACATGGGCAAAGCCAGGCTAGAGTTGGACAAGGTAGAACTGAGATCTGTGTCCCTTCATGCATGAGGTTTCCTCAAGCTCCTCTTCAGCCTGCAGGGCTAGGGATAACCAGATCCTGAACTGCTGCGGACAAGAGACGCAGCTCCAGCCCAAATCCACTGCTATTCCTTGGGGCCTTGCTTTGGAAGCTGATTAACTAGAACTACCAGGGCCCAGGGCACTCTCACCCCCATCCCATACCTGCCTACCTGCTCTGGGCAGCAGCCCGTGTGGAAGATGAACTGGGCTAGACTTCAACCCCCACAGACTTAAGTACCTCTGCAGTCCATAAAGTTAGGCTGGACTGAGGCCTATCATTGATGGATTGAAGCTGTCATCCAGCTTCCCCTGGTGCTGGGAACTGGGTGTGTCTCCTTACCCCTGTAGGGTTGGGCTGGCCTTCGAGTGGCAGAAATGCCAGCTATACTGACCCCACAGCTCACACAGACGACACCATGTCCTTCAAGCCAGTATGACAGGGGTTATTGTCCCACGTTTCAGGTGGGAAGACAGATGCATGATAAACTGTTATAATAATACCAGCTGCTGATCACAGAGCACTGACTAAGTGACAGGAACCATGCCAAGGGCACTACTAGGTCATCCTCTCAAGAAATCCTCATCACAGCACCATGAGGTAGGGAATCAATCATCCACATTTCACAGATGAGGCTCCAAGAGGTAAATGACTTGCCCGCCGTCGGCCATACAGCTAGAACATGTTGGAGGCAGGATTCAAAGCCAGGGCTGATGGACTTCCAAGGCTGGAAGTGGCCTAGCAAAGGCATGAGCTCCAGGACCCATCCTGTGCACTGGCCACACTCCCAGTCTTCTTGTACAGGGGCTTGGGGGCTTGGCCAGGCTCTTCTCCATCCATGCCACGGGGCTGACAGCCACAGATCTGGAAGCTCAGGCCTAGGAGTGCAGGCTCCGTTAAGCCCTGTGTCCAACATCCTGACTCCTAGGGGTGCCCAAGATTTGAGTGGCCACTTTCACCTCTGGAGGAAGTAATACCTAAGGCGCTGATAGAAATAGAACTTCCGCTGCCAGGCAAGGTGGCTCACACCTGTAATCCTAGCACTTTGGGCAGCCTCAACGCAGGTGGATCACTTGAGGTCAGGAGTTCGAGACTAGCCTGGCCCAACATGGTGAAACCCTGTCTCTACTAAAAATACAAAAATTAGCCGGGTGTGGTGGCACGAACTTGTAATCCCAGCAGGTACATGGGAGGCTGAGGCAGGAGAATTGCTTGAACCTGGGGAGGCGCAGGTTGCAACGAGTTGAGATCGTGCCACTGCACTCTAGCCTGGGTAATCAAAAAAAAAAAAAAAAGAAAAGAAAGAAAGAAAAAGAAAAAGAAAAAGAAATAGAATCTCAATGGGAGAATCGCTTGAACCCGGGAGGGAGAGGTTGCAGTGAGCTGAGATTGTGCCACTGCACTTCAGCTTGGGTGACAGAGACTCTGTCTCAAAAAAAAAAAAAAAAAAAAAGGCCAGGCACTGTGACTCACGCCTGTAATCCCAGCACTTTGGGAGGCCGAGGCAGGCGGATCACCTGAGGTCGGGAGTTCGAGATCAGCCTGACCAACATGGAGAAACCCCATCTCTACTAAAAATACAAAATTAGCTGAGCATGGTGGCACATGCCTGTAATCCCAGCTACTCCGGAGGCTGAGACAGAAGAATCGCTTGAACCTGGGAGGTGGAGATTGCGGTGAGCCGAGATCATGCCATTGCACTCCAGCCTGGACAACAAGAGCAAAACTTTGTCTCAAAAAAGAAAAAGAAAAAGAAAAAAGAAAAGAAAAGAAATAGAACCTCAAAGTGGAAGAGAATTGGCAGCTTACTTACCCTCCCAGTGCTGAGGTAAGTGAACACTGAAAAATCCCAAGAGTGGTGGTCCTGCCTCTGTCTTGTTTTGGGAAGCTCCTCCCCCTACACTGTGAGCTGGTTCTCTTCTGCAAGTTTCCTAAAGATAGGAAGCATAGAGAGGTGATTAGGAGCACAGGCTTGGGAATTGGACAAACCTGGGTCTGAACCCCAGCTCTTTGTAACTGTGCAAGTTACCTAATCTCTCTGAACCTCAGTTTCCTCCTCTGCAAATCAGAATCAAGAACGCCTAACCTCATGGGGCAATTTTGAGTATTCACAGAAACAATGCCTATGGCCTAAAGCACTGTGGGTGGTTGGCTTGGGCTGCTGTTACTATGAAAATTTGAATCTGTTCTCTTTGGTTTCCCACGACTGGTCCAGTCTTGCCTACCAAGCCTTCCAAGCCAGACAGTCCCTGAGAAATGAGGAGGCAGAGACCTTTTCTTCATGTCCTGCTAACCTGCCCCAGACCAAACAGTGCTGGATCCTGGCTTTTAAGCTGAATACACAAGGCCCTCTGAGACTTACCCACCTCTACCCTCATCACCAGTCTCTGCCTAGCTCATATAAAATTTTTTTTTAATTTTAATTTTTGTGAGTGCATAGTAGGTGTATATGCCTAGCTCATTTGTAACTGTTCCTTCAAGATGTGGCTCAGAGCACCCTCTAGGAAGCCTTCCATGATCTTCCCCAGGTTACTCCTCAAAACCCTCTGGGTTTTCTCTCTTGCAGCAGTTAATCACAGTGGTCTATGATCTGTTTACAGGGAGATCTCCCCTCTAGCCTGTGAGACACCTGAGAACAGTTTTGAATCTGATTCATCTAGGTAAAGCTAGATTACAGTGGCTCATGCCTGTAATCCTGACACTTTGGGAGGCTGAGGTGGGAGGATCACTTAAGCCCAGGAGTTTGAGACCAGCCTGGGCGACATAGTGAGACCTGTCTCTACAAAAAATTTTTTTAAATTAGCTGGGTGTGGTGGTGTGTGCCTATAGTCCAGGTACTTGGGAGGCTGAGGTGGGAGGATCACTTGAGCCCAGGAGTTTGAGGCTGCAGTGAGCCATGATACAGCCATTGCACTCCAGCTTGGGTGACAGAGTGAGACCCTGTCTCAAAACAAAAACAAAAACAAAAAAAGAAAAAGAAAAAGCTGGGGAGGACTTGAAACCAAGCAAGCTTCTTTTTCTTTCTTTCTTCTCATCCTTCCCTCCTTCTTGCCTCCCTCCACCCCCTCTTTTGTTCTCCATTTCTCTCTTCCCTTTTAAGATGAAAGACATCTGGTCCCCCACCCCACCCCTGCTATTTTGTGAGATTTCCCAGATGAGCCAAGATCTGGAAAACTACTCATGGCCTGACTGGCGTTACATTCTCCATGGGAGATGTCAATATGAGGAAAGAACAGGACTCAGAGAGAGAGAGAGAGAGAGAGAGAGTATGTGTGTGTGTGTGTGTGTGTCTGTGTGTGTCCAGGACCTGACCTGGGGAGGGTGAGATGCCAGCTCCTGGGCCTCAGGCATCATGGCCAGGCAGTTCATTCTCATGCTCTGATCTGTGGCTTTCCTAGAGCATCTGGGCTGCTTACCACTTAAAGATGTTCTAGGACTTGGAAAGCCAGGTCCTGGGAGTGCAGGAGCTCAGGCCGTGTCTCCCTGACAGCTCTACCCCAGGAAGACCAGCTGGCTGCATTTCAATCCTGCACCGCCACCCGCACCTGTGGCCCTCACACCTCTGCTTGTTCCCAGCCCTGTGGTCTGTGAATTTCCCACAGAGCCCGGGATAAAAGTACGTGACCTGAAGCCTCTGCCAGAGGAAGAGGGCGGTCCCCAGGCCCACCCAGTCCCTACCTCCTGAATCACCTTATCTCCTTCTCAGCTGTTGACCAGTCCCTTTGTTTATGGTGCAGGAGAGGGAACCACTCAGCCCATAAATCACCTGCCCCACCTTTCCTTATCCTCCAGCTCTCCTCTCCCTCCCTATTGGTCCTGCCCACCCATTCCCCTGTCCCCTCCTCACAGCTGAGAAGTGGTTATATGGCTTGGCAGTGAAATGGATTCCGGAGCCACACTGCCCAGGTTCCCAAGTCCATGCTTCACCATGGTCACCAAAGTCACCAAGCTTTGTGACTTTGGGAAAGCCATTGAACCTTTTAAATTCCCCATGAGAGGCCGGGTGCGGTAGCTCACGCCTGTAATCCCAGCACTTTGGGAGGCCGAGGCAGGCGGATCACCTGAGGTCGGGAGTTCGAGATCAGCCTGACAAACATGGAGAAACCCCATCTCTACTAAAAATACAAAATTAGCTGAGCATGGTGGCACATGCCTGTAATCCCAGCTACTCCGGAGGCTGAGACAGAAGAATCGCTTGAACCTGGGAGGTGGAGATTGCGGTGAGCCGAGATCATGCCATTGCACTTGAGGTCAGGAGTTCGAGACCAGCCTGACCAACATGGCAAAATCCTGTCACTACTAAAAATACAAAAATTAGCCGGGCTTGGTGGCAGGAGCCAGTAATCCCAGCTACTCAGAAGGTTGAGGTGGGAGAATCGCTTGAACCTGGGAGGTGGAGGTTACAGTGAGCCCCAATCATGCCATTGCACTCCAGCCTGGGCAACAGAGCAAGACTCCATCTCAAAAAAAAAAAAAAAAAAATTCCCCATGGGAACACGGGGATGATAATGCCTATCACATGGAGTCGTTGCGCATATTAGGTGAGTTAATAGTATAAAGTGCTCACAATAGCACCAGGTGAGTGGGAAGTGCTACCGTGGCTATCAGCACATCTCTTATTTCAGGTTGGCTTTATCCCTTCCACCTCTGCACCCACCAAGGACACCTGCCATCTCCTTATTGCTGAAGCCAATAGCCCTTCCCAAGTCCTAACCTTACCTGGCATCTCTTGTTCTTGACCCTCCTCCGTTGGCCTCTGTGACCTGACACTCAAGAGATTCTGGCCCAAGCACGGTGTCCAGGAATTCGAGACCAGCCTGGACAACATGGCAAAACCCCATCTCTACAAAAAATACAAAAAACTAGCCGGGTGTGGTGGCGCATGCCTCTAGTCCCAGCTACTTGGAGGCTGAGGTTGGAGGATCGCTTGAGCCAGGAAGTCGAGGCTGTAGTGAGCTGTGATTGCACCACCTGCACTCCAGCCTGGGTGACAGAGCAAGACGCCATCTAAACAAACAAACAAACAAACAAACAAACAACAACAAAAGACAGAAGAGGAAGACAAGATAATAAGCTCACAGCCCCAGCCTGGGTGTGGGCCCACCCAGCCAGTTGAGGAAGCCACAAGACAACAGCAAGAAAGGCCAGATGGGATTTCATTTTGTGCCTGAGTAGTGGCCCCTGGCTAGGGTCCTGTGTGGCAGAGATTAGAGAGGTAACATGGCCATGGATCAGACAGCCTGAGCTCAACCTTAAATCCCAGCCTGGGAAGAGAAGGGAACCCAGTCTTAGGCTCAGCACCTACGTGCTTGGCAGGAGCTCCTCAGCTTTGCGGAGGAGGCTCTAGGGAACCAGGCCAGGAGGGCAAATCAGCTTTCTCTTGCAAGGAGCCTGTCCTGGCCCCTCCTTCCCACTAACTTTCCAGACCCACTCCCTGGCTATATTGTCAGACTTCACCTGAACTCACCAAATTCAAAACTTAGGTCAGCTTGGGAACTTGGCAAATTGGGGAAGGGGCAAGTAGACCTTCACTCCTCCACACACATTGCAAAGCCTTTGGAGTTCTGGCCCCTGGACTGTTCCAGTCACCCTTCCCCTTTCCTCCAGCTACTCTGAACTTTCAGCTTTTTCAAGGACCAACAGCTCTCACTCCATGCCTTAAGGAGCACAGGGTTCCTCTTATGGAATACTTTCTCCTCCTGTCCATTACTGTTCCTGGCTAACTCCTCCTCAGCTCTCAGGTTTCAACTTAGAAATCTCAGCCTACGTACATTCCCCAAACTGGGTGTGATCCCACCTCTGGGCTCCCATAGGCCACCTCTATACCCTGTCTGTCTTCACCACTTAGCACTAATTACAGTCCAGTGTCCTTGTCCTACCGACAGGTCACGCCAGGGTGCAGCACAGGACCTGACACATAGAGGCTGCTCAAGAAAACGTTTGTTGAAAAAATGAACAACTGGCCTGGCTCAGTGGCTCATGCCTGTAATCCCAGCACATTGGGAAGCCGAGGCAGGCGGATCCCTTGAGGTCAGTAGTTTAAGACCAGCCTGACCAACATGGTGAAACCCATCTCTACTAAAAATACAAAAATTAGCCAGGCGTGGTGGCGGGGGCCTGTAACCCCAGCTACTCAGGAGGCTGAGGCACAAGAATCTCTTGAACCCGGGAGGCGGAGGTTGCAGTGAGCTGAGATTGTGTCACTGCACTCCAGCCTGGGCAACAGTGCCAGACTCTGCCTTAAAAAAAAAAAAAAAAAAAAAAAGGCCGGGCGCGGTGGCTGACGCCTGTAATCCCAGCACTTTGGGAGGCCGAGGCGGGTGGATCATGAGGTCAGGAGATCGAGACCACAGTGAAACCCCGTCTCAACTAAAAATACAAAAAATTAGCCGGGCGCGGTGGTGGGCGCTTGTAGTCCCAGCTACTCAGGAGGCTGAGGCAGGAGAATGGCGTGAACCTGGGAGGCGGAGCTTGCAGTGAGCCGAGATGGCACCACTGCACTCCAGCCTGGGCGAAAGAGTGAGACTCCGTCTCAAAAAAAAAAAAAAATTAGCTGGGTATGGTGGTGCGTGCCTGTAATCCCAGCTACTCGGGAGGCTGAGGCAGGAGAATCCCTTGAACCTGGGAGGCGGAGGTTGCAGTGATCTGCCATCCTGTCACTGCATCACTACACTCCAGCCTGGGTGACAGAGCGAGACTCTGTCTCAAAAAAAAAAAAAAAAAAAAAAGCTGGGTGTGGTGGTATGCACCAGCTGTAGTCCCAGCTACTTGGGAGGCTGAGTTGGGGGGATTGCCTGAGCCAGGGAGGTCGAGGCTTCAGGGAGCCATGATTATGCCACTGCACTCCAGCCTGGGCCACAGAGTGAAACCTTCTGTCAAAAACAAAAAAACAAAAAAACACAGTGTGTTAGATCTTGCTAGACTTGGTGATATAATTAAGAGGCCATTATGGGCAGAACTGTGCCCCCTTCCAAAATTCATATATAAATATATATAAATATATATAAATATATAAATATATATAAATATATAAATATATATAAATATATAAATATATATAAATATATAAATATATATAAATATATATAAATATATAAAAATATATAAATATATATAAATATATATAAATATATAAAAACATAAAAATATATATAAATATATATAAATATATAAAAATATATAAATATATAAATATATAAAAATATACAAATATATAAATATATACATAAATATATATAAATATATATAAATATATAAAAATATATATAAATATATAAATATATATAAATATATATAAATATATATAAATATATAAAAATATATATAAATATATAAATATATAAAAATATATATAAATATATAAATATATAAATATATATAAATATATAAATATATAAATAAATATAAGTATTTATGAATATATATGAATATATAAATATATAAAAAATATATATAAATATATAAATATATATAAATATATAAATATATACATATATACATATATAAATAAATAAATATAAGTATTTATGAATATATATGAATATATAAATATATAAAAAATATATATAAATATATAAATATATATAAATATAAATATATAAAAATATATAAAAATATATATAAATATATAAATATATATAAATATATAAATATATATAAATATATATAAATATATAAATATATATAAATATATATAAATATATAAATATATAAATATATATAAATATATATAAATATATAAATATATAAATATAAATATATAAATATATATAAATATATATAAATATATAAATATATATAAATATATATAAATATATATAAATATATATAAATATATAAATATATATAAATATATATATAAATATATATAAATATATAAATATATAAATATATAAAAATATATAACAATATATAAATATATATAAAAATATATAACAATATATAAATATAAATATATATAAAAATATATAACAATATATAAATATAAATATATATAAATATATAAATATAAATATAAAAAATATATATAAATATATAAATATATATAAATATATAAATGTATAAATATATATAAAAATATATAACAATATATAAATATATAAATATATAACAATATATAAATATATAAAAATATATAACAATATATAAATATAAATATATATAAAAATATATAACAATATATAAATATAAATATATATATAAATATATAAATATAAATATAAAAAATATATATAAATATATAAATATATATATAAATATATATAAATATATAAATGTATAAATATATATAAATATATAAATATATAAAAATATATAAATATATATAAATATATATAAATATATAAATATAAATATATAAATATATATAAATATATAAATATAAATATATAAACATATATAAATATATATAAATAAACATATATAAAGATATATAAAGATATAAAGATATATAAATATATAAATATATAAAGATATATAAATATATAAAGATATATAAATATATAAAGATATATAAATATATAAAGATATATAAATATAATATATAAATATATAAAGATATATAAATATAATATAAAAATATATAAATATATATTAAAAATATATACATATAAATATATGTATATTTTTTTGAGATGGGGTCTCGCTCAGCCACCCACGCTGGAGTGCAGTGGCACGAGCTCGGCTCACTGCAACCACTGTCTCTCGGGTCCAAGCAATTCTGTCTCAGCCTCCCAAGTAGCTGGGATTACAGGCACCTGCCATCATGCCCGGCTAATTTTTGTATTTTAGTAGAGATGGAGTTTCACCATGTTGGCCAGGTTGGTCTCGAATTCCTGACCTCAGGTGATCTGCCGGCCTCGGCCTCCCAGTGCTGGGATTACAGGCATGAGTCACCACGCCCGGCCCTATATATATTTTTGAGACAAGCTCTGTGTCTCCCAGGCTGGAGTGCAGCAGCATGATCATGACTCACTGTAGCCTAGACCTCCAGGGCTCAAGTGATTCTCCCACCTCAGCCTCCCAAGTAGCTGGGATTACAGGCATGCACCACCACACCCAGCTAATTTTTGTTTTGTTTTGTTTTGGAGACAGAATCTCTCTCTGTCACCCAGGCTGGAGTGCAGTGGTGTGATCTCAGCTCAGTGCAACCTCCACCTCCTGGGTTCAAGTGATTCTCATGCCTCAGCCTCCTGAGTAGCTGGGACTACAGGCGTGAGCCACCACGCCCTGATAAATTTTGTATTTTTTTTTTCAGATGGAGTCTCACTCTGTCATACTCAGGCTGGAGTGCAGTGGCGTGATTTTGGTTTATTGCAACCTCTGCTTCCTGGGTTCAAGCGATTCTCCTGCCTCAGCCTCCAGAGTAGCTGGGATTACAGGCGCCTGCCACCATGCCCACCTAGCTAACTTTTTTTTTTTTTTTTTTGAGATAGAGTCTCACTCTGTCACCCAGGCTGGAGTGCAATGGGGCGATATTGGCTCACTACAACCTCCACCTCCCAGGTTCAAGCGATTCTCCTGCCTCAGCCTCCTGAGTAGCTGGGATTACAGGTGGGTGCCACCACGCCAGACTAATATTTGTATTATTAGTAGAGACGGGGTTTCACCACATTGGTCAGGCTGGTTTCGAACTCCTGGCCTCAGGTGATCTGCCTGCCTCGGCCTCCCAAAGTGCTGGGATTACAGGCATGAGCCACTGCGGCTGGCCCAATTTTTGCATTTTTTTGGTAGAGACGGGGGTTTCACTATGCTTCCCAGGCTGGTCTCAAACTCCTGGACTCAAGCGATCTGCCTGTCTCAGCCTCCCAAAGTGCAGGGATTACAGTCATGAGCCACCACTGCACGGCCCCAAAATTTATTTATTTTATTATTATTATTATTTTTTAGATGGAGTCTCCTTCTGTTGCCAGATTGGAATGCAGTGCCACGATCTCAGCTCACTGCAACCTCCCCCTCCTGGGATCAAGTGATTCTTTTTTTTTTAAGACTCTGTCTCAAAAAAAAAGAAAAAAAAAAAAAATATATATATATATATATATATACACGAATTTTGGGCCAGGCACAGTGGCTTATGCCTGTAATCCCAGCACTTTGGGAGGGCCGAGGTGGGTGGATCACAAGGTCAGGAGTTTGAGACCAGCCTGGCCAATATGGTGAAACCCTGTCTCTACTAAAAAATACAAAAATTAGCTGGGCGTGGTGGCACGAGCCTGTAATCCTGGCTACTCTGGAGGCTAAGGCAGGAGAATCGCTTGAACCGGGGAGGCAGAGGTTGCAGTGAGCCAGGATCGCATCACTGCACTCCAGCCTGGGTAACAGAGCAAGACTCTGTCTCAAAAAACAAACAAAACAAAACAAAACAAAATAAATAACGGTGCAAAATTGAATATGCCTTTTTGACTCTCTAAATGCCTCAGATCCATTTACCCTGGGGATTTGTCCTTTCTAGCCCCACCACCATCTCCCCTCTGGAAGACTGCTGACCTATAAGGATAAAGACCAGACTCTTGAGCAGGCACTTAGGGTCTTCCTGCCCATCCCTATCCCCAACTCCCCCTCAGTAATTTTGGCTACTAGTATTTCTCCACATCTGAGGCTATCGTGGGTCTCCCTTCAGTGGTCATGAAGGACAAGGTTGGAGAAGTTTGCCCTCGTGAGTCTGATGAGGGATTGGGTGGGATCCCTCTAATAGCATATGGAGGGGATGAAATGGGCATGAGACCAAAGGCCAGGAGAGCAGCAAGGAGCTGTGGCAATCATCCTGACAAGAGAGACTGTGGCCCAGGCCAGGGTGTGAGGGGAAGATGGAGCCAAGGGGATAGATATCAGAGCTATTTGGGAGGTAAAATTGGCACAAATTGGGTACTCAGCAAATATTTGTTGACTTTCCTGGCTACTCTTTCTAAAGTAGGCTCTTCATTTGCTCTTCTGTTTATTCTTCCTTCATAGCACTTTTCACAGCCTGCAATTACCTTGTTTATCTGCTTGCCTATTGTCTGTTTCCATCAAGCAGAATGTAAACTAAATGAGGGCTGCAAGCTTGATTAGTTTTATTCGAGATAGTGTCCAGCACTTAGCAGATGCTCTCAATAAATCTTTGAGGAATGGCATGGTAATTGATTGGCTGGCACAGAGGGAGGGCAGAGAGGTGAGAGACAAGGCCAGGAGGCCTGTGGTCCTGGGCCTCTGTCTCTGGCCCTGGGAAGGGTGGGCATTGCGCAGGGGTCTAGGGGTCCACGTGGTCCAGAGACTAGCTGCCCAAGTGCCCGTGTCTAGCATTTGAGAAAATGCAATTCCCAGCCAGGCAAGGTGGCTCACGCCTGTAATCCCAGCACTTTGGGACGCCGAAGCGGGTAGATCACCTGAGGTTGGGAGTTCCAGACCAGTCTGACCAACATGGAGAAACCCCGTCTCTACTTAAAAAAAAAAAAATACAAAATTAGCCGGGTGTGATGGCGCATGCCTGTAATCCCAGCTGCTCGGGAGGCTGAGGCAGGAGAATCGCTTGAACCTGGGAGGCAGAGTTTGCGATGAGCCAAGATCGCGCCATTGCACTCCAGCCTAGGCAACAAGAGCGAAACTCTGTCTCAAAAAAAAAAAAAAGAAAGAAAGAAAGAAAAAAGAAAATCCAATTCCCATTCACTTTCTGGCCTCTGGCTGCTGACCCAGGCCCGGGGGTATTTTCAGAGGAAGGGAATTGCGGACCCCGGAGGAACCCGAAATTTGCCCCTCAAGAGTGTAGAAGTGGGTAGCGGAAGATGTGGCCTGGAGCATGGTAAAAGCCTTGAAATTCCAGACTCTGCTTGACTCCTAAACCTGGCAAGGCAGCCCTCGGGCCAGGCAAGCCAGGCGCGAGACTGTGCCTTCCTTCCAGGCCCTAAAGAGGGCAGCACTGGGCCGGGCCCCGGGCGAGGGCGAGGGACACACGCGGTCCGGCACACTGAAAGGGGAGTGTCGGGTAACATGCCCGGGCAAAAGCGAGCGCCGCCCCTGCCTCTCCGCTGCTGGCTGGAACGCTGATCTATCTAGTTGCTGGGGAGACGCCCCCAGATGCCCGGGCCCCACTCGGACTTCAGCACACATCCCGAAGGATGGGGAAAGAAAGAGGCCCCCACGAGCGGGACTCGCAGTGGCCAAGGAGGGGTGAGAGGCGGACAGGGATCAGCTGGCCCCTGCGGCCTGGTTGCACCTGCATGGTGACTAGCTGCCGGGCTGCGCCCCGGGGCGCGGCGAGGAGGCGGGGTCTGGCAGTGCGTTGGGTGGGGGAGGAGCTTCTGGGTGATGTAAGGCCGGGAATGGGAGTGGCCTCTCCTCGACTCGCTGCTAGGAAGGGGGCGGGACTCTCGGTGACCAGACGCCGGGGAGGGGGCAGGCGTTCATTGATAAAACGCTGGGCTCCCCTGGGCGCCAGCGCAGCGTAGCAAATCCAGGCAGCGCCACGCGCGGCCGGGGCCGGGCGGAACCGAGAAGCCGGGACCGCGCTGCGACGCGCCGGCCGCATGGAGCCTGCCGCCGGTTTCCTGTCTCCGCGCCCCTTCCAGCGTGCGGCCGCCGCGCCCGCTCCCCCGGCCGGGCCCGGGCCGCCTCCGAGTGCCTTGCGCGGACCTGAGCTGGAGATGCTGGCCGGGCTACCGACGTCAGACCCCGGGCGCCTCATCACGGACCCGCGCAGCGGCCGCACCTACCTCAAAGGCCGCTTGTTGGGCAAGGTGGGCCGAGGGACGTCCGCGGGGTGGTGATGGTGGAGGTGGGGGTCCCGGCCGGCCTCTTTTCTGGCGCCGAGCAGGGCGTGGGCACTTGACCCCCAACGCGGGGACGCCCGCGGGCCAGACTCGGCCCCCCTGGAACAACCAGCCTGATGCCCCCTCTTCACAGGGGGGCTTCGCCCGCTGCTACGAGGCCACTGACACAGAGACTGGCAGCGCCTACGCTGTCAAAGTCATCCCGCAGAGCCGCGTCGCCAAGCCGCATCAGCGCGAGAAGGTGGGTCCAGGCTCAGCGGGCGAGGGGTGGGGTGGGGACGGTGGCATGGGAACCATGGAAGGATGACGACTCCGCGCCCTCATCGCAGATCCTAAATGAGATTGAGCTGCACCGAGACCTGCAGCACCGCCACATCGTGCGTTTTTCGCACCACTTTGAGGACGCTGACAACATCTACATTTTCTTGGAGCTCTGCAGCCGAAAGGTGAAAGATGGTGATTCCCGCAGGGATGAGAGTGAGGGAGAGAAGACAGTCTTTTTTTTTTTTTTTTTTTTTTTTGAGATGGAGTCTTGCTCTGTTGCCCAGGCTGGAGTGCAGTGGCGCGATCTCGGCTCACTGCAATCTCTGCCTCCCGGGTTCAAGCAATTCTCCTGCCTCAGCCTCCTGAGTAGCTGGGATTACAGGCATGCACCACCACGCCCGGCTAATTTTTGTATTTTTAGTAGAGACAGGGTTTCACCCTGTTGGTCAGGCTGGTCTCAAACTCCTGACCTTGTGATACACCTGCCTTGGCCTCCCAAAGTGCTGGGATTACAGGCGTGAGCCACTACACCCAGCCGAGAAGACAGTCTTAAGACCCAAAGCTGGGGCCCTGTTTCTTCCTCAGGGAGCACAGATGGAGGGGGAGGGGGAGGGAGGGCTCACCAGGGGCTGAGGCAGTGGCTCTCTGCAGTCCCTGGCCCACATCTGGAAGGCCCGGCACACCCTGTTGGAGCCAGAAGTGCGCTACTACCTGCGGCAGATCCTTTCTGGCCTCAAGTACTTGCACCAGCGCGGCATCTTGCACCGGGACCTCAAGTTGGGTGAGACTCCTGAGCCTGGAGGATGGGAGGTTGGGGAGGGAGGGAGGGAGGGAGGAAGGAAAGAATCTGACACACCTCTCTTGCCCCATCTAGGAAATTTTTTCATCACTGAGAACATGGAACTGAAGGTGGGGGATTTTGGGCTGGCAGCCCGGTTGGAGCCTCCGGAGCAGAGGAAGAAGTGAGTTTTGAGGAAAGGGGCCCTGTGTGTGATACAGATGACATGCGTGATAGACAGTGCATATGTATGTGGGAGGCAAGGTGACTGCCTGATGTGTGCATGAGATAAATGGGAAGGGATGATGGGCTGTTCATGCATGTGTGAAGGTGGAGGTGGCAGCCTGTGTTACCGAGACCGGTGGAGAGGGGGAGGATCCTATAGGTGTATGACACAGATAGGGTAGGTGACTCTGAGTCCCTGAGACAGATGGGGGTATACAGATTCTTGGAGGCACATGACTTACCCTTTGTGTGGATGGGGGAAGGTGACAGGCAGCGTGTATGTGTGTGTGAGAGACAGACTGAGAGTGTGGAAATGGTGGGATATGACATTGTGGGTGTAAGAAGACCCTGCTGTGGCCATCATACTTTGTGTGTGTGACACAGATAGCGTATGTGGCAGATGAGTGTTTATGGGGGTTGTGACAGCTGGTGTTGGTGTGTGTGTGGCACAAACCGTGGGAGGTGACAGCCTGATGCCTGTCTGACAGACAGGAGTGCAGGAAGGGGGAAGGGATCAGCTGTGGACTCTCTGTGTTGACCCTAGAGGAGAGGACTGGGCTGGGGGTCAGGCCCTCCCCCTGTCATGAAGAGCAGCTGAGCAGCTGGGCCAGGCGGGTGGGCGGGGACTCAGCTGCCATCCCTGGCATCCATTGTCCCAGGACAAGCAGGAGTTCTCTGGCCTTTGGTGACAGGCAGCTGCTTTGTCTGGACTAACAGTGGGGGAAGGAGTCGGGGGGCTGCTGGGCTGGGTCTCAGCCTTCTCTCCTCCTCCCCACCCTCTTTCAGGACCATCTGTGGCACCCCCAACTATGTGGCTCCAGAAGTGCTGCTGAGACAGGGCCACGGCCCTGAGGCGGATGTATGGTCACTGGGCTGTGTCATGTGAGTTGCAGGGTCCAGGTTCAGCAGCAGACAGGTGGTGGGTGTGTGGGTGGAGCATCTCCTCCACTTTACTCCTGACCCCTTGGCCCTGCCCTATAGGTACACGCTGCTCTGCGGGAGCCCTCCCTTTGAGACGGCTGACCTGAAGGAGACGTACCGCTGCATCAAGCAGGTTCACTACACGCTGCCTGCCAGCCTCTCACTGCCTGCCCGGCAGCTCCTGGCCGCCATCCTTCGGGCCTCACCCCGAGACCGCCCCTCTATTGACCAGATCCTGCGCCATGACTTCTTTACCAAGGTCTGTGGCTCCCCAGACCTCTAAGTCCATCTGTGTATTCCCAGGGATTGAAAGGGGGCAGGTGACAGGACCCCTGGAGCCTCTCTTCTCTGTTCACATGGTTCCCCTCCCTAGGGCTACACCCCCGATCGACTCCCTATCAGCAGCTGCGTGACAGTCCCAGACCTGACACCCCCCAACCCAGCTAGGAGTCTGTTTGCCAAAGTTACCAAGAGCCTCTTTGGCAGAAAGAAGAAGAGTGAGTCTGGGGTGTCAGTGGGTTGAGGGGGCAGAGCAGTAGAGCGGCTTGTCACATTTGTCTTGGGTGTGTGAGTGTGGGTGCCTGGAAACTCCTGGGGAGAGCATGTGCAGTACAGGCACTTGGGGAGGCCAATCTCTGTGTCATCCCTGTCGGAAGTGGAGGGGCTGGGCAGGATACTGAGGACGGTATCACCTTTCACCCCCAGGTAAGAATCATGCCCAGGAGAGGGATGAGGTCTCCGGTTTGGTGAGCGGCCTCATGCGCACATCCGTTGGCCATCAGGATGCCAGGCCAGAGGTGAGGCGCTCAGGTGGACACTGTTCCCCTGACTCACCCCCACCCTAGCAGCTGAGGGAAGCCGGGGATAAAAGAGGCTGCTGAAGCATCCAGCCTCGTGGTGGCCTAATTGGCTGTGTGTCACCAGCCTGGCGGGGCTGACCTGGGGTGCCCTGGGAGCCAGGGCAGGGCCAGGCCATGGACTCAAGGGTTTGGATTTTGGGGCCTGTGTCACTCCCTTTCCCTGCCCAACCCTCCAGGCTCCAGCAGCTTCTGGCCCAGCCCCTGTCAGCCTGGTAGAGACAGCACCTGAAGACAGCTCACCCCGTGGGACACTGGCAAGCAGTGGAGATGGTGAGGAGCCAGGGAGGATGAGAGGTGATAGAGGTTGCTGGAGCTGAGATCAGGGGCGAGAGGGAAGGAGTGGGCAGAGGGGCCTGGCCTGGGTCCTGGGGTGCTAATTCCTAAATCTCAGTGCCCTGTCTCCTTCAGGATTTGAAGAAGGTCTGACTGTGGCCACAGTAGTGGAGTCAGCCCTTTGTGCTCTGAGAAATTGTATAGCCTTCATGCCCCCAGGTAAGGGTGGGGTCTGGTACATGCTGCTGTGGTGGGAGTTCTGTGGCTGGGAGGCCAGGAGCAGGTGCTGACTCCCTCCTCTCCCATGACAGCGGAACAGAACCCGGCCCCCCTGGCCCAGCCAGAGCCTCTGGTGTGGGTCAGCAAGTGGGTTGACTACTCCAATAAGTTCGGCTTTGGGTATCAACTGTCCAGCCGCCGTGTGGCTGTGCTCTTCAACGATGGCACACATATGGCCCTGTCGGCCAACAGAAAGTAAGTGCTGTTATGGGGTGCCTTGTATTCAGGCCACTAATCCAGCAGGGCCGCACCCTCGTGAGTGCTCCTGGGCTCAGGGGTCTGGGTTTCTCAGAGGAGGGGCATTGGTGCAGGGCTCCCTCTGACCTCTGCCTCCCCATTCTAGGACTGTGCACTACAATCCCACCAGCACAAAGCACTTCTCCTTCTCCGTGGGTGCTGTGCCCCGGGCCCTGCAGCCTCAGCTGGGTATCCTGCGGTACTTCGCCTCCTACATGGAGCAGCACCTCATGAAGGTGTGAGGGCTGGGGCTGTGGTACATTGAAACCTAACCCATCCTGGCCGGGTGCGGTGGCTCACGCCTGTAATCCCAGCACTTTGGGAGGCCGAGGCGGGTGGATTATGAGGTCAGGAGATCGAGACCATCCTGGCTAACAAGGTGAAACCCCGTCTCTACTAAAAATACAACAAATTAGCCGGGCGTGGTGGCGGGCGCCTGTAGTCCCAGCTACTCGGGAGGCTGAGGCAGGAGAATGGGCGAACCCAGGAGGCGGAGCTTGCAGTGAGCAGAGATGGCGCACCATTGCACTCCAGCCTGGGCAACAGAGCGAGACTCCATCTCAAAAAAAAAAAATAAAGAAAAGAAAACTAACCCATCCTGATCCCTCTGATTCCCCCTTGGTGGTGGTTGGGGTTGCTGAAAGCTAGAGGATAAGGCATACACTAATGGGGAGGGGGCTGTCTCACGCTGGATCAGTGACCTGCCCTGATCCTGCTCCCAGGGTGGAGATCTGCCCAGTGTGGAAGAGGTAGAGGTACCTGCTCCGCCCTTGCTGCTGCAGTGGGTCAAGACGGATCAGGCTCTCCTCATGCTGTTTAGTGATGGCACTGTCCAGGTAAGAGCCTATCCAGGAGTTGCGGGAAGGTCTGGGAGGCCCAGGGTGCTGGGGAGGAAGCTGGGCCCGGAGCCTAGGTCCTGACCACTGTCATGCTCTGTGTGCAGGTGAACTTCTACGGGGACCACACCAAGCTGATTCTCAGTGGCTGGGAGCCCCTCCTTGTGACTTTTGTGGCCCGAAATCGTAGTGCTTGTACTTACCTCGCTTCCCACCTTCGGCAGCTGGGCTGCTCTCCAGACCTGCGGCAGCGACTCCGCTATGCTCTGCGCCTGCTCCGGGACCGCAGCCCAGCCTAGGACCCAAGCCCTGAGGCCTGAGGCCTGTGCCTGTCAGGCTCTGGCCCTTGCCTTTGTGGCCTTCCCCCTTCCTTTGGTGCCTCACTGGGGGCTTTGGGCCGAATCCCCCAGGGAATCAGGGACCAGCTTTACTGGAGTTGGGGGCGGCTTGTCTTCGCTGGCTCCTACCCCATCTCCAAGATAAGCCTGAGCCTTAGCTCCCAGCTAGGGGGCGTTATTTATGGACCACTTTTATTTATTGTCAGACACTTATTTATTGGGATGTGAGCCCCAGGGGGGCCTCCTCCTAGGATAATAAACAATTTTGCAGAATTGGACTCCCCCTCACTCGCAGTAGAGCCCGTGGACCGTGGCCACCGCGAAGAGCGAGGTGTTGGTGTAGGAGACCGAGGCCAGCCCATCGCGCGCCACGTCCCAGAGCGCACGGCTGACCACGTGAACGCCCTGGCCCGCGCGCGGCCCCAGCACCACACTGCATACCAGCTTGTAGCGTGGCGGGCTGAGCTCGCGCAGGCGAACGTGCACCTGCTCGCAGAGCTCCCGCACCAGCCGCGCGGCCTCGTCGCTGGAGTAGCACGCGTCGTGCAGCCCTGCGGCCAGCGCCGCCTCCAGGGCACGCTGTGCACGCGCAGCCTCCCAGCGCTCCCCGGGCACTGGCTCCGTGCGGTAGGAGGGCGCCACCCAACGGGCGGGCGCCAGGGGCAACCCTGAGAAGCTGACCCTTGAGCCCAGAGGGGGCACCGGGCCCAGGGATGGCCGCTGACCCCCAGGACCCGCGCCTGGCCCGACCAGCGAGTTGCGGCGGGAGAAGGACGCGGCCAGGCCCAGCATGGAGCCCCGGCGCGAGGCCGGGGCTGGACCTGGACCTGCCGGTCGGGCCTCATCAATGCTGGGCAGGCAGCCTCGGGGCCGCACCGGTGAGGGTTTCCGCCCGGAGTCTTTGGCATTCTCCTCCTCCTGGCGTCCCGGGGGCAGAGGCCTGCTGGCCATGGACCTGCTGGCTGGAGGAACCACACTCAGGGTGGCCTTCACCAGGCATCTGTCTACCCACCCCAGCCTCTTGCTCAGTGATGTCAAGGGTTTTTACCTTCTACCCCCTTCTTACCTGTGTTTTAGAACAAGTGGATCAGATAGTCCCAGGCTGCCTGGGTTCCTAGGTGCTGAGAAGGTTAAAGGCTGTTAGACACATGAGCAGGGGACAGGAGGCTGCTAGGACTGGGATCCTCGGCTAGTCCTTGCCGACTGAGCTCCTTCTCTGGGCACTATGGAAGTTAGCCAGGTACGCTCGGAGTCTTAGAGACTGCCATTTCTCCCTTCCACCCGACTTCTCTGGAAGGAGAGGCAGGCCTCTGCCTCAGCCTGGACTGTGGAGGCAGAGCCTCCAACCCCTAACCAGGAAGGACTGACAGACTCAGCTCCTTCAACCCCACAGATCCTTCCAGCCCTGGGGGTGTTGAATCCAGTCATCTTCCACCCAGATCTACTCTAGGGTGGCTGGCACAAAGATCTCCCCTACACCTGGCCCAGGCTGAGGGCAGATGACTCATGAAGCCCCCTTCCACCTTCTGCCTTTGGCCTCTGATCCCACTTCCTCCAGAATCAGTTCTGAGATGGCTGCCCTCTGCTCCCGAAACTCCCTCAGGCACCTGAGTCACCCGCAGGCTTTGGCTTCTGAGTTCTGTCCTGGCTGCACAGCCCTGGCCCCGCTGGCCTGAAGGGCAAGTGGGAGGGGAAAGACCTGTGTTGTGGAGTTGCCATGGGTTGCTAGAGCAAACACTCCTCCCTCCCAGGATCCCTCCCTCCAGTCTGGCTCTGGCTTAACCTGAGAGCATTGTTGCTGTGAGCATGTGCTGAGCATGGGGTGCCCCTGAGTCATCAGGGAGAGCGGCCGACAGGGTCTTGCAGCTTAGAGGCAAACTTCCTAAGCGCAGGCAACAGAGGGGCAGATGTAGAGCAAGGCTGTGGTCAGAAAGGCTTTGTCCTACCCCAGGACTCTTGAGCCAGGGCCCATTTTCTCCCCTTGTGGAATGGCCAGATGACTGGCCATTCGTGAACAAGTCACAGAGGCCTAGGTTAGGGGGAGATCTTGAGGCTGCGGGGGTGGTGGCTCAGGAATCCAGAGTCTGGGCCCACAGGAAGGAACACGTCATGGCTCTGTTGTCTCCCCATCGGCCTCGACAAGGACAAACATTTCCGCTCCCGGCGCAGAGTTAGGGTGGGGCTTGGATGACTTCCTCAGTTCAGGGCTATGTGCGGGGGAGGGGAGGCCCACTGGCTCAGCTGGTAGGCACCAGGCCTTATAAAGTGGCAGTGACTCGGCAGTGAACCCCGAGTCCAGCCTCGTGACCTTTGCTGACCCAAGTGTCCTGGGGCTTGTCCCTAGCTGGCTACACCTCTAGTACCTAGGTTTCCCCAAAGTTACATTTCAGAGATGGCAGAGGCTGTGACACCTCTGCCAGGGCTGACAACTCATGTGACTCCTCCTCTGGCAGGGATGGGACTGTCCCCTCCCAAACAAGCCAGGTCGGGGCCCTGACCCATCTATGGGGGCGAGGATTTTCCCTGTTGAGTGGGGGTTTCCCCGGCCTGGCTAACCGGATCCTGACCCTGTGTGCCTGTGGAGGAGGGAAGGGTTAGGAGGGCAAGGAGTTTGAACTCTGAACCTAGGGCAGGCTCAGCTTCGGGGGCTAAGACCCTCGTATGGCGCTTAATGCCCCTCTAAGGGCTGAAGTTTTCCCTGGGCCTGCCCGGGAGATGGGTGGAGTCTCTTCTCAGGCCAGCTCCAGTTTCCATGGAAACCCACAGGCTTCCCACCCCGTCGGCTGCCTGGGCAGACTCCCAGCCAGGGCCTCTTTCGCCGCCGCCGCCGCCGCCAGCCAGCCAGCTTCTTCCCAGGACCATAGGCCACTCCAGCCTCAGCTTCTCCTGGCCCCCTCCCTGTGTCTGTTCCTGTCCCCGAGCCTCTGGCCTCTGATGCCTTCAGGAGCTTGGGCCTCTCCTGCTCCACTCCTAAACTTCAGCTTCTCAGCAAACAGGCCTCCCAAGTCCCTGCTTCTCCCTCTCAGGCCTTGCTAACCTCACCAGCTCTAGGGCCTGGCCAGGCCTCCCAGGCTCCCTCCTCCACCCCAACCCCTTCTCACTCATGGAGCCCTTGGGACTGGTCGTGCATGGGAAAGCTGAACCTTTTTCCGCAGCACTCCGAAGCCTTGTCAACAACCCGCGATACAGGTGAGGGGTGGGCCCTGCCTGCGGGTTTTTCTTAGCTGGCTCTGTGGGCCCCAGGACTCTAAGGAGGCCCTGGTGAGAAGAGGCTGGGAATTAGAACTTGGCCATCCTCCCTGGTGAACTTAGGCTATGGGGAGGTCAAATGTGGAACATGGCTACTGGTCACTCAGTGTCTGTGAGACCCTGAGGGCCAGAGGCAAGGCTGGCGGGGTGGAGCTGCTGTGTGAGCTCAGGCAAAGCCCTTCCTTCTTTGGACTTTGGCCCCTGGCAGAAGAAAATGATTCTCAGCCCCTGGGATCCTTAGAGATGGTGGGTCATGATTCCCCTCCTCCCTCCACTCACTCAGCTTGGTATTGAGGCCTCACTGCTAGAAGAAGAGGAACAGATGACCTGTTCTGGGAACTGAGGCTTCACAAGAAGAACAAAGCTCCAGAGATTGAGCCATAGTCCCTGACAGGAAGCCTCGGGGGTGCTGGCTGCTCCCTGCTGGCCGGGATGCCAGTGGTGTCTGAAACCAGGGGTAGAGTTTACAGGAGGCCGGGCTGCTCAGGAGAGCTAGAATGAAGTTCTCTGTCCTCATGGTCTCAGATCTGAGCTCTTCCCCAAAGGGTGGTGACTTCCATCACCCTGCTTCTTTGGGGTCACAGTCTGGTCTGGGTAATGTGAACCCCCCAGGCTTTGGACCTGGGACTAAGAGGCTCTAGGAGGCTCCAGCCTCATCTGCCTCCTATCCCCTGCCTTGTTCAGAGGCCCAGAGCTGGGGCCGGAAGTGATCATGAAGATGGAAACTGTGGTCTGGCTCATGATGGTGCATCACTGCTGTGTCTGTTTGCAGTCGTTGTGCACTCTGTGCCCCACACCCCCACACCCTCCTGTCTGGAGGAGGGCTGAAAAAAAGCTGAGTTTGCAGCTGGTGGAGGAGGAGCCAAAAGAAGCTTCCCTGCCCCCAAGACTCAGGCTGGGGAGGAGAGGGGAAGGTGGGATCAACCTTGCTTCTATTAGCCCAGATGCCCCTCAGTAATCAAGCATAGTCATCTCCTCTGAGACCTGAGGTTTAGGATTATTGTCCCATTTCATGGGTGAGAAACCTGAGATTCAAAGATAGGAAGTCACTTGCCTATGGTACCCATTAGGTGGAGCTGGGACTAGAACTCAGGGCTTTGGGTCCCAGACCTTCTGCTGGAGGGACGAAGCCCTGTCTCTTACATTCTGGTTAGGAAACTAAGACCCAGAGTGGGCAAAGGCACAGCCCAAGTTGCACTCCGGGTGCTGGCCTCCTCCCCGCTGCCTCTCTGCCTGTCTCCCACAGTGATGTTTGCTTCGTGGTTGGTCAAGAACGGCAGGAGGTATTTGCCCATCGGTGCTTGTTGGCCTGTAGATGCAACTTCTTCCAGCGACTTCTGGGCACAGAGCCAGGCCCCGGGGTGCCCAGTCCTGTGGTGCTAAGCACTGTGCCAACTGAGGCCTTCCTGGCAGTGCTGGAGTTCCTATATACCAACAGTGTCAAGCTGTACCGCCACTCTGTGAGCCTGCTGACCAGGGGCCTGGGTGGGAGAGGTGGGGGGTGCCAGAGGCAGGAGTTTGCCCATTACACTGTGGGCACAGGGCAGGGGAAACTCCCTTCCACTCCCCCAACCACCCACTCTACAGGTGCTGGAAGTGCTGACAGCGGCTGTGGAGTATGGGCTGGAGGAACTGAGAGAGGTGGGTTTTTGTGCCAGGTCCCTGTCTCATTTCCCTTGCTTCTCACGGGCTCACTTCCCGCCCTGCCTCACACACACTCTGGCCTGGAGAGGAACGTGTGCCCACACAGAGAGAAGTATGTATATCTCTCCCAAGTAAGTAGGGCATGTATGTGTGCCTGTGTGCAAAAGGATCCATGCATGCCTGCCCTGTGTGTGCTGTGGGAAGAGGGGGTGATTATGGCTGGTGCTGTAGATACAAAGATATCAGCCTTGATCCGTGTTCTCCAGAGAGGGAGAGGAGACAGACACATGAAAATGCTTACCTGGGTGGCATAAGAAGTGTGATAGAGGCCGGGCGCAGTGGCTCACGCCTGTAATCCCAGCACTTTGGGAAGCTGAAGCAGGTGGATCACTTGAGCCCAGAAGTTCCAGACCAGCCTGGGCAACATGGTGACACCCCATCTCTACTAAAAGCACAAAAATTAGCCAGGCATGGTGGCACACACCTGTTAATTGCAGCTACTTGAGAGGCTGAGGCACAAGAATCGCTTGAACCTGGGAGGCAGAGGTTGCAGTGAGCTGAAATCGTGCCACTGCATTCCAGCCTGGGTGACAGAGCAAGACTTGCCCTCAAAAAAAAAAAAAAAAAAAGAAAGTGTGATAGAGAAGCGTGAATGGTGCCGAGACTGTATGGGGGGACTCTCCAGTCCCGCCACTAGGGAGAGGAGAAGACTTCCCAGAGGAGGAAACATTTGTGTTCGATCTGGTAGAACAAATAGGATTTTGTTCCTAGGGGAAGTGGGAAGATGGTATTCTAGTCACAGAGGCACCAAAGGAGCTAGTGAGACATTTGGTGTGTCTGAACTGTGAGGAGAGGGCAAGACGAGACTGCAGAGGACGCCAGGGCCTGGTTCATGTAGGGCCCTCAAGCTTTTGGACTTCTTTTAAGCAGAGGGCAGTGGAGATTCACTGAAGGTTTCCGATAAGGGAGTGAAGAATTGGAAACTCAGGGGAGAAGGGATTGGAAGAGGTGGAGAGGACTCGCTAGTCCAGTCAGGAGGCTAGTGCAGCAGTCAAGAGATGAGAGATGTCACGGATGAAATTCAAGTTTCTGCTAAAAATAGAAGTATCCTTGAGTCAGGAAGGGAACAAGTGGAGGAAGATAAGCATCCTGAAAGAAGGGGAGAATTTTGCATGGCCTTTATCTGGTTTTGATTAGTGGCGAATGTACTAGAAGGTGGGTGGCTGGGCTTGGTTTTGCTAGTCTCCAGTTCCTGTAAGCCTGCTGTCTCAGGCTCTAGCAATTCCCTGCCTCCCCTGGCCTGGGTCAGGATGGGTCTGGGGCTGCTGGGTGACTCACCGCTCCAAGCCTGCTCACTGCTTCTGGGGTGGAACTAGTGTCTTGGAGCAGGGACACCGCCACCCAACCCACATTCATTTCTGTTCCCAGCTGTGCCTGCAGTTTGTGGTGAAGGTGCTGGATGTGGACTTGGTTTGTGAGGCCCTGCAGGTGGGTGCTGCTGGACAGGCATGGTAGGAGTCTGGCTCTGTGTGTGGAAATGGGCTCCCAGCACCTGGGAGCCTGGGCCTGCTGTGTCTGGCCTGGAAATAACTTGGGTACATGGTGGTGGTGGGGGTGCTCCAAGGATGTTTATAGGATGAATTCTGTGCCTAGATCTGTGGGATCCTGGGTGTATCAGCAGGGTCAGGTGCAGGAGCAGGTGTTGAAGGGGCTGGAGGTCTTTGCTGGTCTTCTGTCTGTCAGGGCTGGGGAATGGTTCTCAGCTTGACTTGGGGTAGGGAAAGGGTGGCTGTAGACTTTAGAAGTCAAGCTGGGTCAGGCACAACGGCTCACACCTGTAATTTCAGCACTTTTGGAGGCCGAGGCGGGCGGATCAAGAGGTCAGGAGATCGAGACCATCCTGGCTAACACGGTGAAACCCTGTCTCTATTAAAAATACAGAAAATTAGCCTGGTGTGGTGGCATGCTCCCAGCTACTCTGGAGGCTGAGGCAGGAGAATCGCTTGAACCCGGGAGGCAGAGGTTGCAGTGAGCCGAGATTGCGCCACTGCACACTCCAGCCTGGGCAACAGAGTGAGACTCTGCCTCAAAAAAAATCAAGCCTAGGTCCCAGGTGGGGTTTGAAGGCCATGGCGTGGTCTCCTGTAGGGAAGAGCAGGTTGTAGAGTGAGTCCACGTGTGTGTGTGTGTGTGTGTGTGTGTGTGTGTGTGTGTGTGTGTGTGTGTGTAGCAGGCTTTCATTGGGTCTAGTTTCCTGGAGGGCTGAGGGCCCTGTCAGCCTCCCCAGCTAGGGCTAGGGTCAGGCTTGCAGTGGTGGGTCCCAGTGAGCAGGCTGGGCTACGGCCTCTCCAGTCTCCAACCTGATCTCCCTCATTCTGCTCGCAGGTGGCCGTAACCTTTGGCCTGGGGCAGCTGCAGGAGCGCTGCGTGGCTTTCATAGAGGCCCACAGCCAGGTACTGCTCCCTTCATACTCCTCACCCTACGCACCGCATTCTGCTCCTCCCTGACCCATTTGCCGGCTCGCAGGAGGCCCTCCGGACCCGAGGCTTCCTGGAGCTGTCGGCGGCCGCGCTGCTGCCCCTGCTCCGCAGCGACAAGCTCTGCGTGGACGAGGCTGAACTGGTCCGCGCGGCCCGAAGCTGGGCGCGCGTGGGCGCGGTGAGTGGGGCTGGGGGAGCGCAAGGGCACGGAAGGAGGTGCTGGCCACGAGACTGGTGAGCGGGCGGCAGGACAGGTGCCCGACTCAGGGCTGGCGTTTGCAGGCGGTGCTGGAGCGGCCGGTGGCTGAGGTGGCGGCCCCGGTGGTGAAAGAGCTGAGACTAGCCTTGCTGGCCCCGGCGGAGCTGAGCGCCCTGGAAGAGCAGAACCGGCAGGAACCACTCATCCCGGTGGGGACGCGGGGAACCGGCCCAGCTCCACTCAGCAGGGGGTACAGGGCGCTGGGAGGGGGCAGGAGCAGCCCGGCCCACGGTCCTCGGGGCGAGGGGCCACCGCGGGACTGCGCACTAACTGGCCTTGCTCTGCAGGTGGAGCAGATTGTGGAGGCGTGGAAATGCCATGCCCTGCGGAGAGGGGATGAGGCCCGGGGCGCCCCGTGTCGCCGCCGGAGAGGCACCCTGCCCCGGGAGCATCACCGCTTTCTGGACCTGTCCTTCAAATGATCCAACGCCGGGACTCGCAGGGAGCCCTCGACCCGCCCAGCTGAGCCTGCCCCAAACTACAGCTCCCGAAGTGCTCGGCGTTCGGAGCGGGCTTCCGTTCCCAGCGTGCCCAGTGAGCCGGGCGCCGGAAGAACCGTTGTCTGCCACGCGCAGCCCCTTGTGCGGGATCAAGCCCGTGTGGGCGAGGTGGGGTCGGGCCGGGCAGGGCTTGGGCTGGGCCTCCCTGAGGGGGTGAAACTCGAAAACGAGGATTTCCTTCGTTCCACACCCTGACTCTACGCCCTGCCCCTGGGCATTGTCGTCTACTAGTCTATTCTGATGACTCCCACATATCTATCTGTTCAGCTCAGCTCCCTCTTTCTTTTCTTTTTCTTTCTCTTTCTTTCTTTCTTTCTTTCTTTCTTTCTTTCTTTCTTTCTTTCTTTCTTTCTTTCTTTCTTTTTCTTTCTTTCTCTTTCCTTCCTTCCTTCCTTCCTTCCTTCTTTCTTTCTCTTTCTCTATCTCTTTCTTTCTTTCTTTCTTTCTCTCCTCTCTCTTTTTTTTGAGACGGAGTCTCGCACTCTCGCCCAGGCCGGAGGGCAGTGGTGCCATCTCGGCTCACTGCAAGCTCCGCCTCCCGGGTTCACGCCGTTCTCCTGCCTCAGCCTCCGGAGTAGCTGGTACTACAGGCGCCCATCACCACGCCCGGCTAATTTTTTTGAATTTTTAGTAGAGACGGAGTTTCACCGTATTAGCCAGGATGGTCTCGATCTCCTGACCTTGTGATCCGCCCGCCTCGGCCTTTTTTTTTTTTTTTTTGAGACAGAGTCTTGCTCTGTCGTCGAGGCTGGAGTGTAGTGGTGCGATTTCGGCTCACTTCAAACTCCGCCTCCCGGGTTCAAGCGATTCTCGTGCCTCAGCCTCCTGAGTAGCTGGGATTACAGACATGCACCACAACGCCCGGCTAATTGTTGTATTTTTAGTAGAGACGGGGGTTTCACCATGTTGGCCAGGTTGGTCTCGAACTCCTGACTTCATGTGATCCGCCAGCCTCGGCCTCCCAAAGTGCTGGGATTACAGGTGTGCGCCACCATGCCCGGCCTCAGCTCCTTCTTTCATTCCAGACCTGCCCCCCTGGAGATCGCTCCCTGAATGCCCCTCAGACACCACAGGCTCGGCGAGAAATTGATCTCCCCAGCTTTTCCCCAGCTCTGCCCCCATCGTGTTTCTCATTTCCGTGGACACCCACGCCAGAAACCTGGATCTCATCCTTGCCTTATCGCTCTTCACACCTGCCTTAGGTCTCTTTTTACCTTGTAAGAGACCTTAAGAGACCTTTCCAGTTGGTTCAGTTCTCTCAGCCCCAGGTTCAACCTGTCCTGTCTGACACGTCTCACAGCCTTCCTGCCTTCACTCCAGCGCCCCCTCAATCCATTTCCCACAGTGCAGCCAGACCTGTTTTTGATTGTCAGTCCTATGGGGCTTAAGTCCTGGAACATCCCATTGACCTCCAGGACAAAATTCAATCTATTTCACTTTCAGGGCACTCAAAACTACTAGTGAGTGGTTCCTCACCTCTTCTCTCAAATACAATCTTTGTATAAATTCATTTATCCTGGAGGTATTAGTCCTCTAGCTCCATACCTTACTCAGTTACTGCAGACCCCTCTGCTACCTCCTTCATTCACTATACATCTTGTTTTCCCGAGGATGTGAATCTCCCTCAAGAAAGATCCCTGGGGCCTGGAGTGGTGTCTTACTCGTTTCTGCTTCCTCAGTCTCTGTCAGATAATCAGTGCTATGTAAATGTTAAGTAAATGACTTTATTTATTTATTTATGACACAACCTTATTCTCACCCAGGCTGGAGTGCAGTGGTGCAATCTCGGCTCACTGCAGCCTCAGCCTCCCAGGCTCAAGTGATCTTCCCACTTCAGCCTGCTGAATAGCTGGGACTACAGGCATGTTCCATCACATTCGGCTAACTTTTTTTTTTCTTTTTGTAGAGATGAGGTCTCCCTACGTTGCCCGGGCTGTTCTCAAACTCCTGGGCTCAAGCAATGGTCCCACTCCGTCCTCCCAAAGTGCTGGGATTACAGGCATGAAGCACCACCACACCCAGCCTATTTCCTCATTTAAATGCCACTTTATTCCATGAAGAGTTTTAAAGGAGCTGCAAAGCAAGATACTGTCAATCTAAAATGAGAGACAGTTGACTATTTAGAAGAAAATAAAGTTAGATTTCTATCTCAGGGACTTCATACAAAAATATATTGTACAGGAGGCCAGGCACCGTGGCTCACGCCTGTAATCCTAGAACTTTGCGAGGCCGAGGTGGGTGGTTCGCCTGAGCTCAGGAGTTCGGGATCAGCCTGGGCAACATGGCAAAACCCTGTCTCTAAAATACAAAAAACTAGCCAGGTGTGGTGGCACATGCCCGTAATCCCAGCTACTTGGGAGGCTGAGGCACGAGAATTGCTTGAATCTGGGAGGCGGAGGTTGCAGTGAGCTGAGATTGTGCTACTGCACTCAGCCTAGGCAACAGAGTGAGACTCTGTCTCAAAAAAAAAAAAAAAAATATATATATATATATGTATATATATATATACACACACACACACACACACACACATAGATGTGTGTGTATATTATATATACACATAGATGTGTGTGTATATTATATATACACATAGATGTGTGTGTATATTATATATACACATAGATGTGTGTGTATATTATATATACACATAGATGTGAGTATATTATATATACACATAGATGTGTGTATATTATATATACACATAGATGTGTGTATATATTATATATACACATAGATGTGTGTGTATATATATACACATAGATGTGTGTGTATATTATATATACACATAGATGTGTGTGTATATTATATATACACATAGATGTGTGTGTATATTATATATACACATAGATGTGTGTGTATATTATATATACACATAGATGTGTGTGTATATTATATATACACATAGATGTGTGTGTATATTATATATACACATAGATGTGTGTGTATATTATATATACACATAGATGTGTGTGTATATTATATATACACATAGATGTGTGTGTATATTATATATACACATAGATGTGTGTGTATATTATATATACACATAGATGTGTGTGTATATTATATATACACATAGATGTGTGTGTATATATATTGCACAGGGATTAAAGATAGTTATTTAGCATTATCTCTCGACAGAAAATGTGCTTACTCAGTAGTACATGGCAGCATTGATTGGATAGTGGAAATTGAAAATCATCTATACGTCCATTACCAGAGGACTGGTTATATTAACTATGGTATATTCCTGTAATATTTAAAAAATCCATGATCTTTGGTGAAAAAAGCACAGAATAGACCAATTACAGCATGATTCCTCTTGTTAAAAGAAAAAAGGTAGCATAGTGATTAAGAGCGTGTCTCCTGGAGCCAGAATGCTTGCATTTGAATCCCAGCTCCGCCACATATTTTCTTTGTGATTAACCTTTCTTTGCCTCAGCTTCCTTATTTATAAAATGGAGATAATGGAACCTATTTAGTAGAGTTTTTAGGAAGATGAAAATAATTTCATAAAATACTTAGAATTGTAGTGGGACAGATTAAATTCTGTATATGTGTTTAGAAAACATATTCATTCATTTGTTCCACAACTATTCATTGAGTGCTCACACACTAGACATTGATTTACGGTCATGGAATAAGTACATCAGACAACAAGTCAAGTCAAGTCTTTGCCTCATGGAGCTAACATTCTAAGAGGAGAAACATGCAGTAAACAAGTAAAGAAATGTATGCTCTATTCAGGGAGTAGTTTGTGCTATGAGGAAAAGCAAAACAGGTTGAAGAGATAGCTATGTGGTGGGAGTGGGACTATTTCGTACAGGGCACTGATTGTAGACCTCTGATGAGATAACATTTGACAAGAGATCTGCAGGGAGCTATGTGTCATGGGGGAAGGCATTGGAGGGTTTTGTGCAGGACAGTGATGTGTGATCAGATTTAGTTTAAAAGAATAATTTGGGCTGGGCATGGTGGTTCCTGCCTGTAATCCCAGCACTTTGGGAGGGTGAGGTGGGCGAATCACTTGAATCTGGGAGTTTGATACCAGTTCGGGCAACATGGCGAAATCCCGTCTCTACAAAAAATACAAAAATTAGCCAGTGTGGTGGCACGCGCCTGCAGTCCCAGCTACTTGGGAGGCTGAGGTGGGAGAATTGCTTGGATCTGGGAGGTGGAGGTTGCAGTGAACTCAGATTGCGCCACTGCACTCCAGCCTGAGATTGTGCCACTGCACTCCAGCCACTGCACTCCAGGAAGACCCTCTCAGAAAAAAAAAAAAAAGAATTTGGCCGTTATGTGGAGGACTGGAATTGAGAAGGGCAAGAGCGAGGTAGAAGAGTGGTCTAGGGAGAACAGTTAGGGGCTATTGCAATTATCCAGCAAGAGATCTTGGACCAGGATGGCAGCAGTGGAGGTGGTAAAATGTGGTTGGATGAAGCGTACGCTTTGAAGGTATCAACAGGACCAGCTGATGGAAGGGAGTCAACAGGACTAGCTGATGGCTGTAAACTGGGGGGTCACTAGCTATCAGATGGCATTTACTTAAAGCCATGGAAGTAGGTGAGCTCCCTTATGGAGAGGGAATAGGAAGGAGGTAGACCATTCTATCAAAATGCTCTTTCTACAGGGCACTTCTCACTGAGATATTATTTATCTGGGATTTATATTATTTATTCAATTTGTTTTGTGTTTGGTTCTATTAGAAAAGCTCCATAGGGGCCGGGCACGTTGGCTTTTGCCTGTAATCCCAACACTTTGGAAGGCCGAGGCAGGCGGATTACCTGGGGTCAGGAGTTTGAGACCAGCCTGGCCAACATGGTGAAACTCTGTCTCTACTAAAAACACAAAAATTAGCCGGGCGTGGTGGTGCGCCTGTAATCCCAGATGCTGAGGAGGAGAATCGCTTGAACCCGGGAGGTGGAGGTTGCAGTGAGCCGAGATCGCGCCACTGCACTCCAGCCTGGGCAACAAGAGCGAAACTCCCTCTCAAAAACAAACAAACAAACAAACAAACAAACAAAAAACAAAAAAAAGAAAGAAAGAAAGAAAAGGGCCAGGTGTGGTGGCTCACACCTGTAATCCCAGCACTTTGGGAGGCTGAGGCAGGCGGATCACGAGGTCAGGAGATCGAGACCATCCTCACCAACACGGTGAAACCCCGTCTCTACTAAAAATACAAAAATTAGTCGGGTGTGGTGGCGGGCGCCTGTAGTCCCAGGTACTCCGCAGGCTGAGGCAGGAGAATCGCTTGAACCCGGGAGGCGGAGGTTGTAGTGAGCCGAGATTGAGCCACTGCACTCCAGCCTGGGTGACAAAGTGAGACTCCATCTCAAAAGAAAAAAGCTCCATAGGAGAAGGAACCTTGTCTCTTCACCACATAAACTGTGTTTGGATTCGCAATCGAGTTGGGAAAAAAAAATCAGTCTGGAAGAGCCACACCAAACCGCTAACAGCTACTGTCTCTGGGAATAGAACAAGGAGTTTGGTTGGCGCGATATACCGCCCCTGAACCTCTAGCCACAATAAGGCTTAATTAATGACCGGACGACTTGAAAGCGCCTTCCACTGTTTATCTCTTAAATCTGCAACGAAATGCAACAAAAACGCAAGAAATAAACAATAGAAGCCAGTCTTACTGCACACTGCAGAAGCCAATAAACCCCAAATGTAGCTCAAAACAAGGTGTCACGCAAACTTCTGATTTTTTTTTGTTTTACACTGAATCTCTGTCACTCTGACTAGAGGGCAGTGGCGCGATCTCGGATCACTACAACCTCCGTCTTCTAGAGTCAAGAGACTCTCCCGCCCCAGGAGTCTCTGCCACTCTGACTAGAGGGCAGTGGCGCGATCTCGGATCACTACAACCTCCGTCTTCTAGAGTCAAGAGACTCTCCCGCCCCAGCTTCTCCAATAGGTGGGATTGCAAACAGGCACCACCACGCCCGAATAAGTTTGTGAACATTTGGTACAAATAACAAATGACCAAGTTCCTTGGTTGTAGTTGCCTAACTTTTAATACTTAAAAATGTAGCCTCAGGAAATAAGAGGCCTCAAAAAATTGAATAAAAACTCACAACTTTCTCTCCACGGAAATCTTTAGTAAAAGGCGAAAGATTTATGCGCTTTGAAGAGAAACCCGAGTATATTCGTGACTTCCGCTTCGAACCTCGCAGGGAGAACTAACACTTAACACACTTATGGTTGTTGGATGCCTGCGTGGTACGCACTCCCTATATGTAGTTTATGCACACAGATGCGTGTAAGAGGCATCATGCTCTAAAACAGTGCAGAAATGCGCGCACAGAGGGAGTGCAAGCATCTTGAGGGTATCTTTTCGTGGTGCACCATGGGTATGCAAATCACAGGCGGCTCCGGGCTGTTCCGCGCCACCGGGGAAGCCATGGGTCACTGATCTCCTTTGCTCTCCTATGCTCCTCTCTGCTGGTCCTCCTGGGACCCGCACCCCGTGGGCGGCGCCGGGTGCGGAGTCCTTTGCGGAGCTGGTGTTCGTCCCAGGGGTTAAGGTCCTGTCCCGCCGTCCTTACCCGCAGTAAGCCTCCGGGCTTAGAGAGAGGGACGGGGAAACAGACGGGCACAGACACTCAGGGGCACTGGGACCTCACAGGAGGCACGACCCCACCCCTCCTGGAGGAGATGGCATCCGATCCAATTCACCTCGAAGGGTGATATGGGGTCACATCAAGGGGAGGTGAGAAAGTGTTCTAGGCAGAGGGAATGGCGTATGAGAAATTAGGGACCCGAAGACCAATTCAGCCTGTCCAGACAGTGGCGCTCCGTGTGTCTGATGAGGGGGTGCTGGGGTGGGAGGCAGAGGCTAGATCTCCTCGGGCCTGGAAAGATGAAGATGAGGAGGCTTAGTGAGGCTGGCTAACTTGCCCAGGGTTACTCCGCTGGTAAGTGGCACTGAGGGCTGACCCCCTTTGCACTATTCTGGCCTGGTGAGCTCTCTCTGCTCCACCTAGAAGGCCCTTCTTGGTGACCCAAACACTGCTGGACCCAAATGCAGCCTCCCTCCCTTGGGCCTGCTGGTTGCACCCCCTACTCTAGGTTCTCTGCCAACTACCCGCTTCTCTTGAGCTTTTTAGGCATTTTAGCGTGGATTCAATTGCAATAGGCGTTTTTTGTTGTTGTTGTTTTTGTTGTTGTATCTTTTGGTCAGAACATGATTTCCTGGCCTTTGTCCAGGTGGGGTGGGATGTGAGAACGCATTGTTCCTGGGGTGGGATCATTCCTGGTGAGTGGGTGGTTGGAGCCCAGGGTCTATGTGAACTAGACTATGGGTCCTAAGCTATGGCTGGGAAGGGGCAGTTGCAAACCTCCCCACGCCTCTAGGTGAGGCTCTGTGCTCTATTCCAGGGCTGTGGCCACTCTTCAAGGCCTCTGCTTAGTGGAGCTGTTCAACTTTCACAGAACAAACAACTTACGCTGTGTCCTCACTAACTGCTAGCACCTCAGTTTCTGAGCAGTTCCCGCAACTGATCCACTGGCTGACTGGCCAAAGACACCTCTCGGCTGTCAGGACAACCAACTTACAGAGGCCTTTGCCTTGGAGGTTGCTCTGGAACCTGGCTCCTTTCCCTGGGTCCACAAACCTCCTGAGAAGCTCCCCAGACCCTGTTGACCTCTCTCTGCTTCAACTGGCTGCTTTCCTGATCTGCCTCCACCTCGCCTTCCACCTGCTGCATGGCTTTGCCCCTCTGCCTTGCCGTTTCCCGTGCGGGTGAAGCAGGTAGGTGGAGGTGAGTCTGGAGAGACGGGCAGGCTGGAATATGGTGGCTCTGAAAGCCACACAGTGGGGTTCTTTTTTTTCTGCTCTCGGTCTCCAGATTGAACCCAGTAGGATTTCACACCAACAAAATTTGTTATCGTTTTGTATAGTAAGCACTTAATCCAGATGATGTTACCAAGTATATGACAAAAATCCAGAATCTGGGGTCTTTTCCACCCAGAACTAGAGAAGCTAATACCTCAGGTCCTGGCACCAGAGAAGCTCCTTCCAATAGCTAATGTTCACTTGCAAACTCCCCACTCTGTCCAAAAAAAAGCACTGAAGTCATCTGAGATTAGTTCACATAGAATATATTTCATTCTTTAAAAAATAAAACTTTCATCATAGCTAACATGTATGTATACTACAAAAATAGACATTTTCATATAAATAATGGATGTGGTAGGAGGTGGGCAGGGATATGGAGAGCCTGCCCAGGAGTCACCAGACGGAAGGGTGCTGGAGGGTCCCTCAGGCTTGGTCAGCTGGGCAGGCAGTGGTGTGGGGTGGGAAGGGGGACAGGGCTGCACTGCAGCCCCAAGTGCCAGCTTTCACTCTCAAGTGACACAGATACAGGCTCACACAGGCCTGGATGTGCAAATCGGTGGCTGTTCTGTATGGATATCAGGGAGGCCCATGACAGCTGGGTCGGGAGAGGGGATGCAGCAGCAGCAGGGCCCTCCAGGGGTCCATCCTGCGTCTAACACCAGACCCAGTGCTTCCCAGTGACCCCACACGCCCCACACATGGTCTCTGTGCTTCAGCTGCTCTTTCACCCAGTGGCTGGACCTGGTCCCCTGGAACTGAGGTTGCCAGAGCTAGTGGCAGCAGGGGACCAAGGGGGCTCATCAGGGGCTGGATGGATGTAGGCACCAGGCAGGGGGGGTGGGTGGATGGCCACGGTCATGGAGGTAGTCACTCTGGCAAAGCTCTGGGGCAGGGAGGAGGATGCCCCCCACCTAAGCCCGCCTCCCTGTGGAGCTGGTGGACTCAGGATCTCTGGGCTTTCCTTGTACATCTGTATCACCTGTGGGGAGACACCAGCCCCAGTAAGCCCACGGGCCCCTGGGGCTCCCGTCCCCTTTAGCATCTCGCTGGGGATTACCATGACTGTTGGGAAGCTGGGGCCCTTGTTGGTCTCCAGCAGGATATGAGAGCTGGCAGGCGACAGGATGTTGAGGCCTGGGGCAAACCCTGCACCTTGTTCTGGATCCTAAAAGTCTAAGGTGGGTCCCATGAAGAAGCCAGGAGGGCTGAGGGGCAGGAACATGGTGTCTGGGGAAAGGAGGAGGCTGCCACCTTCAGCTGGTGGCACCTGTTGGGGAGGTACCTGTCTGTGGGCCACAGGGCTCTGTCCCTTCCCTTGCCTCTCCCTACCCCGTCCCTTGGGCTGGGAGTAGAGGGATGGTGCCGAGGGTGTGGTCACCTCTGGCGGCGGGCCCAGGATGGACAGCAGCACAGGCAGCAGCACGAGTCCATGGAGGAGGCCCAGGAGCGTGAGCACTGTCAGCGCCGCAAAGAAGTACCTAGGGGTAGGGTGTGGGGGGAGTCAGCCCAGGCCTGTCCTGAGCCCTGCCTCCCTGCCCCGAGCCCTCCCTACCTTACAATGAAGTCAAAGTGGGAACCAGCAAGCATGAGCAGACCCAGCAATGTGGAGATGGCCCCATCGGTCACGGGGGCAAATGTGTGCTCAAGGGCATGGGCGGCCCGCAGGTTCCGGCTGCCCTGGGTGGTCAGGAAGCCCTAGGAAAACAGAGTGGTCCTGGAGCTGCTCCTCTGCCAGTCATGGCCAGCTCAGCCATGTCCCGAGCTGTATCTGTCTTCAGAGCTCAACGATACCTTGGCCCACCAAAGGCTGGGTGAACTAAGTTCATGGGAACTGTACAGGGAGCATGCGTGAGTCCTTTTAGGTAACACTGTATGGATGGGTTTGGTGAGCTTAGACACAGAGACACGTAGAAAATAGGGTACAGCCTGGGTGACAGAGTGAGACCCTGTCTCTTAAAACAAACAAGCCCGGGCACGGTGGCTCATGCCTGTAATCCCAGCACTTTGGGAGGCTGAGGTGGGTGGATCACCTGAGGTTGGGAGTTCCAGACCAGCCTGGGAAACATGGCAAAACCCTGTCTCTATAACAAATACAAAAATTAGCTGGGTGTGGTTGTGTGTGCCTGTAGTCTCAGCTACTTGGGAGGCTGAGGTGGGAGGATCGCTTGGCCCAGGAGGTGGAGGTTGCAGTGAACCGAGATTGCACTGCTACACTCCAGCCTGGGCGACAGAGTGAGACCCTGTTTCAAACAAACAAACAAACAAACAAACAAACATAGGTTGGGCAAACTACAGCCTGTCACTTGTTTTGTAAATGAAATTTTGTTGAAACAGCCATACCCATTGGTTAATGTATTGTCTAGACAATTTTGTGCTTTGATGGCAGAGTTGCAGCAGAGACTCTATGGCCTACCAAGCCTGAAATAGTTATTATTTGGTCCTATAAATAGAAGAAGTTGGCCAACCACTAGTCCATCTAGAAGAGGGACATCAAAGTGATAACAGTTACTTCTCAGAGTAGCGTTTCAGAGGATTTCTAATTCTTCTTTTGTACCTTTCTGCATGCTGGCTTTGTTTGTTTTCAAGGATCATATATTGTTTTTATAATCAGAATAATAATAGAGATATTTGGTGGGGGGAAAGGAAGGGAGCTGTTTGTGGAGTCTGGCTGGTCTGTGGGTCCCCCCTTTCCTCTGCCAGAGAATATGCAGCCCTGGGCGAGGCCCTCCTTGGTTCTGGCATCTCTGTATCTCTGGTATCTTTGTAGAACCCCTCCATTAAGCCCACATTGCCATCCCGCTACCATCCCATTTTTTTTTTTTTTTGAGACAGGATCTTACTGTGTTGCCCAGGCTGCAGTGCAGTGGTGTAATCATGGCTCACTGCAGCCTCAAACTCTGAGGTTCAAGTGATCCTCCCGCCTCAACCTCCTGAGTGGCTGAGACTACAGGCACGCACCACCATGCCCAGCTAATTATTTAAAAAAAATTTTTTTTCTTTGAGACGGAGTCTTGCTCTGTTGCCCAGGTTGGAGTGCAGTGGCGCAATCTTGGCTTACTGCAGCCTCTGCCTCCCAGGTTCAAGCAATTCTCCTGCCTCAGCATCCTGAGTAGCTGGGATTACAGGCACCTGCCACTACGCCTGGCTAATTTTTGTATTTTTATTAGAGACGGGGTTTCACCATGTTGCCCAGGCTGGTCTTGAACTCCTGGCTCAAGCAATCCACCAGCTTTAGCCTCCCAAAGTGCTGGGATTACAGGTGTGAGTCACCATGCCTGGCCCATCCCACAATGGTTCACAGTAAAACCATTCAAAAGAATCATTGATTCCCATTTTCTCATCTTCCATTCTGTCTTTAACACATTCCAGACAGGATCTTGTCTACTCCTCTCTACTGAAATGGCTGCTTATTTATTTGTCTACTTATTTACTGTCTATCTCTCTCTTCTTTTTTTTCTTTTTTTGAGATGGAGTTTTGCTCGGTCTCCCAGGCTGGAGTGCAGTGGCATGGTCTCGGCTCATGGCAACCTCCACCCTCCCGGGTTCAAGTGATTCTCCTGCCTCAGCCTTCCAAGTAGCTGGGATTACAGGCATGCACCCCCACACCCAGCTAATTTTCATATTTTTAGTAGAGATGGGGTTTCACCATGTCGGCCAGGCTGGTCTTGAACTCCTGACCTCAAGTGATGTGCCCACCTCGGCTTCCCAAAGTGCTGGGATTACAGGCGTAAGCCACCTCACCCAGCCCTTATTGTCTATCTCTATCCCTAGAATATAAGTTCCTTGGAGGTAAAAAACTGTATTGCTATTATATCCCGTATTCTTTTTTATTTTTATTTTCCAAATTCTTTTTTGAGATTGAATCTTGCTCTTTTGCCCAGGCTGGAGTACAGTGATGTGATCTCAGCTCACTGTAACCTCCGCCTCCTGGGTTCAAGTAATTCTCCTGCCTCAGCCTCCTGAGTAGCTGGGATTACAGGCATGAGCCACCACGCCCAGCTAATTTTTGTATTTTCAGTAGAGACGGGGTTTTGCAATGTTGGCCAGGCTGGTCTTGAACTCCTGACTTCAGGGGATCCGCCTGCCTTGGCCTCCCAAAATGCCCCAGCATCATCCCAATTACAGGCATGAGCCACTGTGCCCAGCCCAAATTCTTTTTTTTTTTTTTTTTTGAGACGGAGAGTTTCACTCTTGTTGCCCAGGCTGGAGTGCAATGGCACGATCTCAGCTCACTGCAACCTTCGCCTCCCAGGTTCAAGCAATTCTGCCTCAGCCTCCAAAGTAGCTGGGATTACTGGCATGTGCCACCACGCCTGGCTAATTTTTTGTATTTTTAGTAAAGACAGGGTTTCACCATGTTGGCCAGGCTGGTTTCGAACTCCTGACCTCAGGTGATCCACCTGCCTCGGCCTCCCAAAGTGCTGGGATTACAGGAATGAGCTACCACGTCCACCCAGCCCAAATTCTTAAATAGTACCTAGCACATAGTAGGGGCTTGAACAATATGTGTTGAATACTGAATCAGCTGATTGGTCCCTCCCCGGGGTGCCCGTGCTCACCAGAGCCACGTGGACTGTGAACTCAACGCCAATGCCTACAGAGGCCACAAGGATCACCACGGGGATGGCACTCAGCTTGATGCCCAGGAAACCCATGATACCAAAGAGTTCCACTGTCATCATCGCCAGGACCAGCACCTGAGGGAGACAGGGCTCACAGAGGGCTCCTGGCAGGAGGGATGACAGGCTGGGCAGGGAAGGGTGGGGTGTCTCTGTCCCCACTCCTGCAAGCACTCACTATGAGGCCAGCCGTCCAGGGGTTGAGGAGCAGCAGAGCACAGACGAGGAAAGTGCACACCAGCAGGATGCAGACGGCCAGCAGGAAGCAGCGCCGCAGGCCCAGATACTGTTCCCAGAAGAGGAAGGGGGAGCCGCTGGGGTAGGCGTGCACCCCAGCCTGGCCGGCCTCTGCGCATGCTGCCCGGGCCCCCTCGATGGCCTCCACAAAGTCTGCAGTCTTCTGGAGGCCACGCAGCAGGAAGGGGAACTGGGCAAACTCCAAGGGCTGAGCTGGCGGGACTGTGGAGGGGAGGGGAAGGGAGAAGAGGGAGAGGGACAGGGCGGTGAGCACGGGGCAGAGTGGGCAGGGCCTCAGGCTCAGGGCTTGTGTGGGCGAGGCTGAGGCTCTTGCCGAGCTCCCCCCAAGACTCACTGCGAAGGTTCTCCCCCGTGGTGTCGTATTTGTCGTGCAGCCATTCAGGAGGTGGGGGGTAGAAGTTGGCCTGTGAGGCTGCCAGACCCAGGGGGTCACTGCTCACCCACACGGTCAGCCCCATGTAGAAGAGCTCGGGTGGAATCAGTCCCTCTCTGTCCACCAGCTTCCTTGTGGTCAGCTGCAGAGGCAGAGAGGGCTGAAGGCCTGGGCCCAGGAGGCCTGCAGCCCCTGTACTAGTGGACCCCTCCAGCCCTCTCCCAACCTGGCTGAAATCCAGAGGCTCCTGGGCGTCTCCAGTCTGGATGAGCAGCTTGTAGGCCAGGGCCCCATCCTCAGAGCCATTGCGGTACGAGTGGCGGGTGATGCGCCCAGAAGCCCAGTCCTGGTCAAAGGCAGCCTGGATTCCTGGGGGAGACCAGGATAGGGTTCTATTAGCTGGTGGCCCCAGGGCGTTTCTCCCTGCAGCACCCCTCCCTGCCCGTCTCCTCGCCTCTCACCCTGTAGCCAGTTGCGGTAATAGTGCAGCCAGGTGCGGGGTGCCTGGGTGGCCGGTGGGGGCAGCACCGCCTTGAGGGAACTGAAGCGCTGGTGCAGATCAAAGAGGGCGCGTTGGGAGTGGGCGTAGTCAAAGCCACCCTGGGTCACCAGGGCCACCTCGTACAGGGAGAAGTACCTGAGCTGGGCGCTCAGGAAGGCATGCTCCTTGGTGCCCCGAGGCACCACATCCGTCAGGGCCAGGCCGTCTTGCACCAAGGTGGCTCCGTAGAGGCTCAGGCCCAGAAGAGCACCAAAGAGCACCAGCACGATGGCCTGCGGGATGTAGCAACTAAGCTGGAGACCCCAGGGCTGCCCCCAGCCCCTCAGGCAGTGGACTAAGCCCTCTCTGCCCTTCTGGGCCCAGAGATGCTAAGTCTCTGCCCTGCTCTGCCCAGTCTTACCTTAGCATGTGACTGGAGCAGCAACGGGGCAAACTGATAGCGGGCGAAATGGGCAAGATTCCAGCGGGCACAGGGCAGGGACTTGCAGGCTGCCTTCTGCCTTGTCTCCTCCTCCTGGCCTAGAAGGTCCCGTGTGGACCCTCCAGGGCTGAAGAGCTCAGAGCCCAGTGGGTCAGAAGGTGGGGGCACCAGGTGGGCTTGGGGAGGCAGGATGGTGACCACATGCTGGCTGCTGGCTTCACAGTGGGTAAAGGCTTGAACTGTGGCAGTGAGGTGGGCAATGCCCACTGGTACTGTCCCGTCCCCCAGCTCCTGGGGCAGGATCTGAATCACCTGAGCAGAGCAGGGACTGGAAGAGGTAGAGAGTGGATGACAGGTCTGTGCCTTGAAATGCTGGTGAGGGGACAGGCTGGCGTGGGTCACGGGAGGAAGGGGCTGGGGCGCAGGCAGTACCTGGAGAAGCAGCAGAGCACATCAAGGCGCTGGCAGTGGCGCCGCCGTAGGTCCAGGCTGAGGATGGCTGGGAAGACAAGCATCACGGCTACAAAGGTGCAGCCAACCACTATGGCCGCCTGGGGGACGGACAGGAGGGGAATGAAGGCTGGATGAAGCTTGGCCTCAGCCCCACACCCACCCTGAGCTGCCCCGTGTGAGAGGCCTCACCTGTAGGGAGAAGGCTCGCAGCGCAGGGATGGGAACGAGGGCAGCCATGAGGAAGGCGGCCATGTTGTTGATGGATGTGAGTACGACACTGGTGCCCGTGCGCTGCAGACACTCGCCCATGCGCTCCTGCCAGGACAGAGTGGGGACCTGCCCTCAGGTCACAAGGGAGGGGCCGTGTCAAAGTGGAGTGAAGGGGAGGCTCAGGAACTTGGGGTGCAGAGGTGGGGCAGTCATAACACAGTGGCTAGCATTTATTGGGTACCATGTACGTATGATGGGCTGTTCTAAGCATTCAACTTGAGTTACCTCACTGATCCAAACAATAACCCTTAGGACACAGCACTATTATTTCCCCTGTTTACAGATGGGGACAAGAGGCACCGAGGTTCATTAGCAGCCCAAGGTCACTTGAACCAAGAGGCTCTTAACCAGTAAGCTGAGCTGCCTCAGATGAGCCCTGGGGGACAAGGCCCCACCTGGAGAGGGGTGCCAGGCAGAGCCTCTGTGAAGGCATGCGCCAGCAGGAATACGTCATCCACGCCGATTCCCAGAGCCAAGAAGGGCAGCACCTGGAGGGGCAGAGGAGCGGGCAGCTGAGGACCCGTGAAGCCTGGTGACTGGCACTGAGTCTGCCCTGCAGTCCTGGCGTACCTGGGTAGTGGCAGCATTGAAGGTGATGCCGAGCAGGGCACAGAGCCCAAGGCCTGAGGCCACCGCCAGGGCCACCAGCAGTACCCCGGCAAGGCCCACGGAACCCTGGGACTGGGCGCAGTCCCACCGCAGCATGGTCACACAGGCATAGGCCAGCTGTGGGGGGAAAGGGCAGTCTCAGGGGCTCCCAGGGTGGGCACTGGTTGGAGGTGGGGTGGGGGCAAGGTGCCAGGTGCAAGACCCACCATGAGCAGATAGCCTCCCACCACACGGGCAGCACTGACTTCAGAGAACGCATGCAGGATGTCATCCAGGGTGGTGGAGGAGAAGGCATGGATCTGCTGGGAAGCGTTCTCAGGCAGGGCCTCCTGGGCCAGCTGGAGAAACAGGGTGGATAGGAGGGGGCAGGAGGAGGGAATGGCCTCAGGGCACCCCCCTTGTCCTTGTCCATACCGACCTGCACAAAGCGCCGCTGCCAGGCTTGTAGCACTGTGCTGGCCTGCTCCTCACTCCAGCCAATGTCATGTGTCTGATAGTCACCCCGGAAATGCTCGTACAGCTGGCGGGGACTCATCAGCAAGAAGGTGCTCTGCAGGGCCTCTGCCCTGGTGGGGGTGTGGGAGAACCAGGGGTCAGAGCTGGCCCAAACACCTGGTGAGGGATGTGAAGGGCCTTTTGCCAGAGCTGCCTGGCATTACAGTATGGGTTCTCATGAACAGAGTCCCCTCACCAACTCCCAGAGGAGACCCTACCTCAGCAGCTCTCCTTGGGGGTCTCTGGCCATGCCTCCCAGCAGCAATTCCTCCTGCCAGTGCATGAATTTGTGGGAGAAGCCATGGCAGCCCCCACTCAGCTCGTGAGCCACATTGGGAGCCTGGAGGGGAACAGGAGGGGTTAATGCTCAAGGCCCTGGCCGTGGATAACTGAGTGTCCCTGGGCTTCCACCTCCAGGAACCACGCTGCCATGAAGCTCAGTAGGGCTGGAGTGTAGGTAACTATTCTGAGCCTCTTGACTGCTCTGCAGGAGTGAACAGCTAGTATCCCGCAGACAGGAAGCCCCAAGGGGAAGCAGAGGCCTGGAAGGGCTTCTGGGAGGAGCTGGTGTAACTGGCGGATTCTGAAAAAAGTACCACATTTGCAGGGCCACAAAGAAACCTGGGAAACCAGGTATGATATTCATGCTTACCTGCTGTGTTCTTAGTTTCCCTGTATTAGTCTATTTTGATAAAAAGTCCAGCCTTGGCCAGGCGCAGTGGCTCACGCCTGTAATCCCAGCACTTTGGGAGGCTAATAAAAATTAGCCGGGCATGGTGGTGGGCACCTGTAATCCCAGCTACTCAGGAGGCTAAGGCAGGAGAATTGCTTGAGCCGAGGTTGCAGTGAGCCAAGATCGAACTACTGCACTCCAGCCTGGGTGACAGAGTGAGACTCAAAAAAAAAAAAAAAAAGAAGTCCAGCCTTATCTAGGCTTAGAAAAGGAAAAAGGGATTCATATATACCACTTGAGGGCTCCGTAGGATAACTGAATGGGAATGGAACATTGGGGGCCTGGCACTGTGGGAGCAGGGTAATAATGGCCAGGAAGTGGGGGGTCAGGGCACAGAGCAGTCAGCTCCCCCAGAACACAGGAGTATGAGGAAGGGAAAGGGAAGGAAAACAGCCTTTCCCTGGCAGACCTGGTTGGAACCCACCTGCCTGCTGTGATGGTTGGGGGCACTAGGTGGGCAGTGGAGGTCATCAGGGTGCAGACAGGGCCGCCCCACGTAGGCCTGGCCCACCTGTGCCTTGTCTAGCAGCTCCCGGAAGCCCTCAAGGGAGGCAAAGGGACCCAGCTCCTCCAGCAGCTGCTCTGGATCCAGGTTGGTCCACTGGATATCCGGGCGGCCGCTGAGGGAAAAGCCTATAGTTGGTGAGGGTCAGGGACGAAAACCCAGGCTCCAAACTGCTGCTGGGGCGCCATGCTGTACCCCACCCTCCTCTTATCTGCCGATTTGTCCTTCCATATGGAGGGTGTGCAAGCCTCAGCTTCTCAGAACTGCCAGGCTGCATGGGCCCACCAGGGTGCTACAGTGAGCTGTAGAAGAGTACAAGGGGCTGAGACGAATATCAGGGCAGGGTTACCTAATACATAGAAAGGGCCCAGAAAGGCCCCACTGAGTTCCTTACCAAGCTGTGTGCTTGGTTCTAATATACAACCAGCAGGCACATGCCTGTAGCAGGTTTTCTTTCTGGCCTGGGCAATGGCTTAGCAAACACCTAGGTAATTTCCCCCAGCAAAGCCTCTTTGTGGGGATCTTTTTCTCCTTTGCTCAGATCTTACAGATCTTTGTGTTTAGTTTTGTGTAAATAAGTCAGGTCTTCCTTCCTTGAGAGGGAAAGAGAAGGAGGATGTGGAGAGAGCCTTGGGGAAGCCCATGCTCTCTGTTCCTGGCCTGGGAGGTAATTAGGACCTTGGTAAGGTTTTGATCATCCTCATTCCCCAGACCCCTCCTTTCTGCTGGGAGAGTCCCCAGCGGGAGATGAAGCAGGGCCCCAGGAGTGGCACTCACGGCAGGTAGGCGGAGCCCCCTTGGAGTTTGGCTCCCTCCCAGAAGCAGTCGAGGGGGGTGAGGATCACGCACGGAAACAGCTTCTCAATCATCTGCCAGGGATACCCCGGGCCACGTCAGTCCTGCCCCACAACCTTTGTAGGATGCCCTCTGCAATCCCCCTCCTTAGTTTTAAGGGGGCAGATTGCAGGCTGTGGGGCTTGCTCGGTCTCTGAGTCCTCCCACGCTACAGAAAAAGTTCTGCCTCTACTCCCTCTCAGGACACTTACCCGCTCAATCATTCCATTTTCAATAAGGGGAACTCCTGACTTGTAGCAGATTTTGTTCAAATCCCAGGACCTGCAATAGCCAGGGGCATAGGAGATCAGCAGAAGAAGGGGATTCCCACTCCAGAACCCCCACAGCACGCCTCGCCCCCAGCTGCTCAGGGGCTCAGCCAGACTCACTTCCCATAGAGTGATACTTGGACTTTACTGGCAGTGAGGGCTGCCTGGAGGTGGAGGCCAAGTGCTTCGGGTGTGAGGATGTTCTCTCCCTCCTGGCGTGCGGTCTGTATCAGCATCTGAGAGGTGTATGCAGCCTCCTCCCCCAGCTTCTCCTTGGTGTAATGCAGCTCCTGGCTCACCCGGCTGCCCACTGCCAGAGCAAACAGAGAAAGCTGGGGGGGAAAGGGCCTAGGCGGGTCAGAACTTGGGAAGGGGGCTTCTAACTCTGAGGCCTCCCCAGACAAGTGGGAGAGGTGCGGCAGAGAGGAGTCCCTGCCTTATCCCTGAGGGCCTGGTCATGGCCCAGGCCGACTCCCCAGGCTTCTGGGTCCTGGAGCTCTGCCAGGGAAGTGGAGAAGCCTCGGTTGTGTGGCTCTGCGGATTTCTTGTGTGGTCTAGGGCTTAAGCATGAACCAGGTTGGCTGGGTTTTGGGTGTAAACTTAAAAATGACAATCAGCATGAGCTGGCCGTGGGCTGTGGGGGTTGTAGGGGCATCTTGGTAAGGGAACCCTCGCTCAGTCCCTCTCTGTTCTGGTGGGGAGGACAAGGAGGGCCAATAGGGGCCAATAGGGAGGCTGCTGCTAGGAGGGTTTCCTAAAAGAACAGGTGTAGGGCTAGGGCTGGTTCTTAGTTCAGGTTGCTCTGGGCAGTGATTTATATCCACACACCTTTCTGCAAAGTGTCCTAAGGAGAGGGCAGGGATAGGAGTGTCTGATAATAATGGGTGATAATAATGGGCCCTGTGTTGGTGTGGGGGAGAGGGAGGATGGGACAGTCATTCAGTGTGCTGCTCCCACTCAGGCAGAAAGTGCATGGAATCAGCTCACGAACCCTGGCAGGGGTGAAATCAAAGTGGGCCAAGGGGAGGGAGGTGTCCAGATCCTTTTCACCGCCCTCACTGTCCAGACCACAGGGATTCCCGGCGCCAGGCCTGCCATAGTGTCCTGGATCTTAGCGCCCCTCCAGTCCTGCGTTATGCTGGCCACAGGCTCCTGCTCTGTAACTGGGACCTGGGGGAGGTGGGGACATTGTGAGGGGCTATCACCTAACTATGATGTGGGGAAGAGTGAGGGCCAAATCTACCTCTGGAGGCTTTGCGGATTTGGTCTGATCTCAGACCCTGCGCTGTTTCCACCTGTCTGGGGGTCTCCTCCTGTTAGTCTTTGCTGCCTGCTGGGACCCAAACGTACTGCTTCTCTGAGACTCAAGCCCCATCTGAGATCGTCATGTTTCCCAATCTCTTTTCCTTTTTTTTTTTTTTTTGAGACAGAGTCTTGCTCTATTGCCCAGGCTGGAGTGCAGTGGCCTGATCATAGCTCACTATAGCTTCGACTTCCTGGGCTCAGGTGATCCTCCCACCTCAGCCTCCCAAGTGGCTGGGACCACAGGCACCCGCCACCAGGCCTGGCTAATTTTTAAATTTTTTGTAGAGACGAGGTCTCATCACTATGTTGCCCAAGCTGGTCTTTTTTGTGGCTCACTGCAACGTCTGTCTCCCAGGTTCAAGCGATTCTCGTGCCTCAGCCTTCCGAGTAGCTGGGATTACAAGCACCTGCCACCATGGCCAGCTAATTTTTTGCATTTTTAGTACAGGTGGGGTTTCACGGCCTCCCAAAGTGCTGGGATTACAGGAGTGAGCCACCGCACCCGGCCCCAAGTTGGTCTTAAATTCCTGGGCTCAAGCGATCCTCCCACCCCAGCCTCCTAAAGTGCTGGGATTACAGGTGTGAGTCACTGCACCTGGCCCTCCAATCTCTTTTTCAAACCCATGTAATCTTCTCACTCACAAAAGCCCCAAATCCTTGGTAGCCCCCAACACATACTTACCCATATGCTCACATGTCCCCTCGTGCCCCAAAAGTCACATTCCTGGCCTTCACCTCATGAAAACAGTCTTCCTGTCCTGCTCCCCACACTGCCAGTTCCTTCCCTTTTTTTTTTTTTTGAGACTGAGTTTCGCTCTTATTGCCCAGGCTGGAGTGCAATGGTGCAATCTCGGCTCACTGCAACCTCTGCCTCCCGGGTTCAAGCGATTCTCCTGCCTCAGCCTCCCGAGTAGTTGGGATTACAGGTGCCTGCCACTACGCCTGGCTAATTTTTATATTATTAGTAGTAGAGATGGGGTTTCACCCTGTTCGCCAGGCTGATCTTGAACTGCTGACCTCAGGTGATCTGCCAGCCTCGGCCTCACAAAGTGCTGGGATTACAGGTGTGAGCCACCGTGCCCAGCCTCTCCTTCTCCGACTCTCCCCTACTCCCCACTCTTTTGCCAGGCCTGTACTGCAGTGTTTATTTCACCAAGATTAGGCCGAAGGCTGCCGCATGGAAGGGAAGAAGAGGACAGAGATAAGCTCTCCATAGTAAGTGGGTTTGCTGAGAGGAAGGAGGCATGGGAGGAGGAAGGAACCCAGAGAGATCTGATAAGAAAGCAAGAGAAAGAAACACGGATAATTTAAAATGGAGCATCAAAGAGAATAAAGACTCCTCAGGGGAGAAAATGGGGCAGAGAAAAAGATAAACCTTAGTTGACAAAGATAGATATGGACAGGTGAACTGGGATGCATTGTGGTGCAGAAAGGAAGAGTCGATAATGCTTAGTCTGTGCCTTGGGCTCATTAGTTATTCTCTCTGGGTCTCCAGCTCCTCATCTGTCAAACAGAAACAGTGACTACCTTGGTAGAATTAGAATAAATGCAGGCAAAGTACTTAGGAAATTGCATGGCACACAGTAGGTACAGATGTGGAGTTATTTTTCAATAGTTGCTGGTAGAGAAATGAAGTGACAGAAAAATGAGAAGGAACTGAAGGAAAGACTGCAGGTGACAGGGGAGGAAATAGGACAGAGGAGGGAGAATATCAAGATTGATACATGAAAAAACAACTTGTCTCTTTTTTTTGAGACAGGGTCTCGCTTTGTCACCCAGGCTGGAGTGCAGTGGTGCAATCACAGCTCACCGCAGCCTTGACCTCCCGGCTCAAGCAATCCTCTCAAGTAGCTGGAACTACAGGTGTGTGCCACCATGCCCAGTTAATGTTTGTATTTTTTGTAGAGACAGGGTCTCCCTATGTTGCCCAGGCTGGTCTCGAACTCCTGGGCTCAAGTGATCCTCCCACCTCAGCCTCTGAAAGTGCTGGGATTACAGGCATGAGTCACTGTGCTCGGCCAAACTTTTATGTCTTTACCAACGGGAAAATATAACTGGTTAACCAATATGGAAAAAGACTCTACCTTATAAATAATAATGTAAATGCAAATACAAACATCAATAAGTTACTATCTAACAATTTAGCAAAAATTTTAAAATTGATGGCACTCGTTGCTGGTTTACAAGAGTACACTCTAACCCACCATGAGAGTGTAATATGGTACACTCTTCGGGGGAAAGCAACATTGCAATATATATGCTCCATAATCTTTGGTCCAGAAGTTTCACGTGTAAAGGCCTATATACTATTGTAGGGACTTAAGCTTTCTCTAGGTGAAATGGGAGTCATGGTAGATTTTGGGCAGAGGGGATCTGACGTTTTCATCACCTAACAATGTATTTTTGTGAATACACTATTGTGAGTTGTGAATGATGAGGTGCCCACGAGAAGAAGTCAGGAAACGTGTCCTGGACCAGGTGTGCGCAGGGAACTGTCAAAGACTCCGTGTTTCGGTACTGCTAAGAGTGAGCCAGGGAGGAGCCAGCGGCAATGCTGGAGAAGCAATCAAGTCCAATTATGGAGGGCCTAGAGTGTGTGCTATGGAGTTTATATTTGATTTTACAGAATCTGGTGGAAATCGGTGGAAGGGCACTAAGAAGGGGACTGACTTGGCCAGATGGAGATTGGCCACAGGGTGGTGCTGTGGAGGCAGATTTGAAGGTGAGGCTGTCAGCACCTTCCTCCTTTCTAACAGACCCTGATTTCCGTGGCCGTCATCGGAAAGGCCCAGTGATTAGGGACAGCTGGGCTCCTCCCCAGCATCAGGAGGTGAAACTTGATTAGTTTAAGAAGCCAATCAGTAATTCCATTGCCTTTGCCAAGTGAAGGATTTCGGCATAGGATGCTACATAGTTCTTGCCAAAGAGAGCAAATGAGAAGTTGGCTGGGAGGCTACTAATACATTTTTCCTCACTTTTTAAAAGAGATGCAAGATCAGGCATGGTGGCTCATGCCTGTAACCCCAGCACTTCAGGAGGCCAAGGCAGGAGGATCGCTTGAGACCAGGAGTTCAAGACCAGCCTGGGGGCCGGCCAGGCGCGATGGCTCATACCTGCAATCCCAGCACTTTGGGAGGCCGAGGTGGGCGGATCACGAAGTCAAGAGGTTGAGACTAGCTTGGCCAACGTGGTGAAACCCTGTCTTTACTAAAAATACAAAAATTAGCCAGGCGTGGTGCGCACCTGTAATCCCAGCTACTGAGGAGGCTGAGGCAGAAGAATCGCTTGAACCCAGGAGGCGGAGGTTGCAGTGAGCTGAGGTCAATCCACTGCACTCCAGCCTGGGCTAGAGAGCAAGACTCTGTCTCGGGGGATGGAAAAGAAAAAGAAAAAAGGAAAAAAGATCAGCCTGGGCAACATAGTGGGACTGCGTCTCTACAAACAAACAAACAAACAAACAAAAAAATTAGCTGTGCATGGTGGCATGTGCCTGTAGTCCCAGATACTACAGAGAAAGAGGCAGGAGTACTGTGTGAGCCTAGGAGTTCCAGGCTGCAGTGAGCTGTGATTGTGTCACTGCACTCCAGCCTGGGTGAAAGAGTGAGACCCTGTCTCTATAAAACAAAACAAAAACAAAAAGAAATGCAAGACAAGAATGATTTCTTTTTCCTGACACTGCAGCAGCCACTTTGAGATAAGTCTGAGGACAAAAGTCCAGAATGTTGAAGATGGCAGAGGAGAAAGATAGAAAGAAACTGGGTCCTTGCTAATGTCCTTGGGCTGCCGAATTAACTGAATTAACCAGGCTTCCTGTTACAGAGAATAATAAATCAATCTTCTTTCTTCCTTCTTCCCTTCTTCCTTTCCTTTTCTTCTCTTTTCATGTGGCTAAAAGCATTCTATTATTTAATTTAATTTATTTATTTATATATTTTTTTGAGACAGAGTCTTGCTGTTACCCAGGCTGGAGTGCAATGGCACGATCTCAGCTCACTGCAACCTCCGCCTCCTGGGTTCAAGTGATCTCCTGCCTCAGCCTCCGGAGTAGCTGCGATTACAGGTACATGCCATCATGTGTGGCCAAATTTTGTATTTTTAGTAGAGACAAGGTTTTGCCATGTTGGCCAGGCTGGTCTCGAACTCCTGACCTCAGGTGATCCACCCCACCCTGGACTCCCAAAATGCTGGGATTACAGGTGTGAGCCACTGTGCCTGGCCTTATTTTATTTTTTAATTTTTTAGAAATAGAGATGGGTTTTTGCCATGTTGCCCAGGCTGGTCTTGAATTCCTGGGCTCAGTCAAGCCTCCCACCTTGGCCTCCCAAAATGCTAGGATTACAAGCATGAGCCACCACGCCTGGCCTAAAAGCATTCTAAATGATACAATCAGAAGTGTATTGCCAGAGATAGAACAAGGCCTCAACTAGAGCAGTGACCACAAGGTAGAAAGGATGGGTTTGTGCCGGGCCCGGTGGCTCAAGCCTGTAATCCCAGCACTTTGGGAGGCCGAGGCGGGCGGATCACGAGGTCAGGAGATCGACACCATCCTGGCTAACATGGTGGAACCCTGTCTCTACTAAAAAAAATACAAAAAAATTAGCTGGGCATGGTGGCGGGTGCCTGTAGTCCCAGCTACTCAGAAGGCTGAGGCAGGAGAATGGCGTGAACCCGGGAGATGGAGCTTGCAGTGAGCTAAGATCGCACCTCTGCACTCCAGTGTGGGCAACACATCAAGACTCCGTCTCAAAAAAAAAAAAAAAGAAAGGATGGGTTTGTTATGAGAGAGGTTAAGAAGCAAGGATTTAATAGTTTAGTAAACAATTGGGTGAACAAGAACTGAGGCTGACTCCTAAGGTTTTAGCTTTAGGTATTTAAGTGGATGGTGATTCTACCAACTGATATAAGGCCATCCTCTGTCTTCTACATGGAATGGCAGCTCTTGTTGCGCAGGCTGGAGTACAAAGACGCGATCTCGGCTCACTGCAAACTCTGCCTCCCGGGTTCAAGCGATTCTCCTGCCACAGCCTCCCCAGTAGCTGGGATTACAGGCATGCACCACCACGCCTGGCTAATTTTGTATTTGGAGTAGAGACAGTGTTTCACCATGTTGGTCAGGCTGGTCTCAAACTCTTGACCTCAAGTGATCCACCCGCTTCGGCCTCCCAAAGTGCTAGGATTACAGGCGTGAGCCACCGTGCCAGGCCTTTGTAATTTTCATTTTAGAGAACAATCTGCCTCTGAACGCTTGACTTTACAGTTGGCCAGGAAAGACAAACAAGTCAAATTCCAAGTCTCACTGAGGCAAAGTTAAGGAGGACCCTGAACTCTGGTCTGGAACACTGTGATAGCCAATGTTCGGTTTCTTCCTCGGCTTAATCTTTCTTTTTCTTTTCTTTTTTTTTTTTTTTGAGTCTCGCTCTGTCGCCAGGCTAGAGTGCAGTGGCACGATCTTGGCCCACTGCAACCTCTGCCTCCTGGGCTCAAGCGATTCTCCTGCCTCAGCCTCTGGAGTAGCTGGGACTACAGGCGCGAACCACCGCACTTGGCTAATTTTTGTATTTTTAGTAGAGATGGAGTTTCACCAAGTTAGCCAGGCTAGCCAGGCTGGTGTTGAACTCCTGACCTCAGGAGATCCACCTACTTCGGCCTCCCGAAGTGCTGGGATTACAGGCGTGAGCCACTGCACCCTGCCTTCTTACACTTTTTCTTTGAGACTGGGTCTCACAGTGAGACTCCATCTCTATGAAAAAAAAGATTGGCCTAGCGTCTGGCTCAGGCCTGTAATCCCAGCACTTTGGGAGGCCAAGGCGGGCGGATCACAAGGTCAGGAGATCGAGGCCAGCATGGCCAACATGGTGACACCCTGTTTCTACTAAAAATACAAAAAAATTAGCCGGGCATGGTGGCGCATGCCTATAGTGTCAGCTACTCTGGAGAATCGCTTGAACCCGGGAGGCGGAGGTTGCAGTGAGCCGAGATTGCGTCACTGCACTACAGCCTGGGCAACAGAGCAAGACTTACTCTCAAAAAAAAAAAAAAAAAAAAAACAGAAAGAAAAAAAAAGATTTTTACCTCACCCCCAGCCAATATAGGACAAGAGTGATATTCTGAAATAAAGGAAAAAAGCCTAGGAATTGGCTACCATCCTCTTATAAAACCCTCCCCCAAACAACAGCAAAAAACTGCTGGGGTCTAGCCTATCCTATGCTGGAGTATAGGAGAGAGGATGAGGAAACATGGAGGCTCAAGCAGTGTTTAGATGGGGAGAATGTGGGGAATGGAGAGGGAGGAAGGGAAGGGAGACTGCCTCTGTTGGGGCAGGAAATCCAAGAGTCATCTGGGACCACCCAGGCAGCAGTGGTGTGGGTGGGGATATGTGTATGTGCGTGTATGCACATCTGTGTCCTGGGGCTGGGGGCAGGCAGGCAGAGCGAGACATCTGCTCTGGACCCCAGGGCTGGCCTAGAGTGTATATGGATGTGAGAGTCTGCAGGGCTGGGGGTAGGTAGGGTGGGGATGGCGTGTGGGAGCTCAACAGGCAGGCAAGCTCTGAGAAACATCTGCTGTGGATCCTAGGACTTGCCAGTATTTGAAATAACTCGAGGGTGTGAGACTCCAACCTGGGTTCTGCCTTTGGGTATGGGCCAGGGCTGAGGGAGTCTACAAAATGCAAATTTCCCAGGGAAAAACAGACTGGAGTTTGACTCCTATCAAAGGGCTGCCATATGAAACCAGCCCTCAGGAAAGAAGAGAGTCATGCTGAAATTTTTTTTTTTTTTTTTTTGAGATGGAATCTCCCTCTGCTGCCCAGGCTGGAGTGCAGTGCGGCGATCTTGGCTCACTGCAACCTCCGCCTCCCAGGTTCAAGCAATTCTCCTGTCTCCGCTTCCCAAGTAGCTGGGACTACAGGCGCCCGCCACCACGCCTGGCTAATTTTTGTATTTTTAGTAGAGATGGGGTTTTATTATGTTGGCCAGGTTGGTCTTGAACTCCTGACCTTTGATCCGCCCGCCCCGGCCTCCCAAAGTGCTGGGATTACAGGCGTGAGCCACCGTGCCTGGCCTGCTGAAATTATTAATGAGAAATCATTCTGGCCAGGCACGGTGGCTCACACCTGTAATCCCAGCACTTTGGGAGGCTGAGGTGAGCGGATTACTTGAAGCCAGGAGTTCGAGACCAGCCTGGCCAACATGGTGAAACCTGGTCTCTACTAATAATACAAAAATTAGCCAGGCATGGTGTCGCCCACCTGTAATCTCAGCTACTTTGGAGGCTGAGGCAGGAGAATCGTTTGAACCTGGGAGGCAGAGGTTGCAGTGAGACGATATCAAGCCACTAAACTCCAGCTTGGATGAGACAGAGTGAGACTCTGTCTCAAAAAAAAAACAAAAAACCAAAAACCCAAAAATTATCAGGGTGTGGTGGCTTATGCCTGTAGTCCCAGCTACTTAGGTGGCTGAGGCACAAGAATCACTTGACCCTGGGAGGTGGAGGTTGCACTGAGCTGAGATCACACCACTGCACTCCAGCCTGGGTGACAGAGTGAGATTCTGTCTCCAAAACAAAACAAAACAAAAATTAGCTGGGTGTGGTGGCGCACGCCTGTAATCCCAGCTACTTGGGAGGCTGAGGTGGGAGGACCTGAGCCCTGGAGGTCTAGGCTGTCTCTACTAAAAATACAAAAATTAGCCGGGTGTGTTGGTGGGCACCTGTGATCCCAGCTACTTGGAGGCTGAGGCACGAGAATCACTTGAACCCGGGAAGTGAGGTTGTAGTGATCCAGGATCGCACCACTGCACTCCAGCCTGGGTGACAGAGAAAGACTCTGTCTCAAACAAACAAACAAACAAAAAAACAACCCCCCCCAAAAAAAAACCCCAAGAAAATCATTCTTCTTTTATGCTTCCTTAAGAAAGTGAGGATTTGATTCCATCTGACCCTGGCTATTGCCTCAAAGTGTGGATTCTGTATTGCTTTTCCATTAAATGGGCCTGGGTGCCTGAGTCCTCTCCCTGCAGGCTTGGCCAGATTATTTACTCAGTTTCCCCAGCCTTCTAGTTCTAACTTTTCTGATTCTGCTGGTCAGAAGTGATTTCTCCCTACCCTATCTTATACCACATAATCACAGGATGCTCTGTATTGTATTTTAGTTATTCCAGCACATATTTTACTTTCTTTGCTACTGAAAGATGAATCTTGTTTTAGCTGCCTTTGTAAAACCCTGATGCATTGTCAAAGACACACATAGAAAGTTAGCAATAAATGCTAACGTACAAAATCACAGACAAATATTCTATACACCCAATTCACAAGGTCTAACATCTGCAGATGTCCATTTATGGTTGTGGGAGGGAACGGTGTTCCTAGATGCCCAGGTGTAGGACTCTGGCCAGCAGGTGACCCTCCAGCCCCAGGGCCAGGCCTGCTAGAGCTCAGTAGCCAGCTCCTCACCCCGTTCTTGTCTTGGGCTCACCATACCTGAGCAGCTATGGCCAGTGTCCACAACTTACCTTCTACCCAGAGCTGTTCCAAGTTTGTCTCAATAATGGCCATGCGGAGACCTAATGCCAGGGCCCCAAAGGCCAACAGTCCCAGAAAGAGCACTTTGCCACAATGTCTCTGGATCCCGCATCCCAGAGAGAAGAGCAGGCCCTGGAAGTAAGCACGAAGCCAGAGTGGAGCCTTCAGGCTCCCAGCTAGGATCTGGGATGGAAAGAGAAGGGTCAGCCAGGCATCACTGCAACAATGCATGAAATCCTTCCCTTCTCACCCTGTATATCTGCTGCCCAGCCCTCGCTTCTTGATTTCTGGATGTGGGACAGGGAGCACCAACACAGACACAGGCCCAGACTTGGAAGATGTAACACCCACCATCCCCAGCACACACCTGAGGAAGGCATAGGCCTATTTTCCTTTCTTTTCTTTTTGTTTTCTCTCCTTTTTTTTTTTTTTTTTTTTTTTGAGACGCAGTCTCGCTCTGTTGCCCTGGCTGGAGTGCAGTGGTGTGATCTCGGCTGACTGCAACCTCCGCCTCCCAGGTTCAAGAGATTCTCCTGCCTCAGCCTCCCGAGTAGTTGGGACTACAGGCGCCCGCCACCACGCCCTGCTAATTTTTTATTTTTAGTAGAGACAGAGTTTCCCCATGTTGGCCTGGCTGGTCTCGAACTCCTGACCTCAGGTAATCTGCCTGCCTCAGCCTCCCAGTGTTGGGATTACAGGCGTGAGTCACCGCGCCCGGCCGGCATAGGCCCATTTTCTGAGAGCAGGATACATATGTACACACACCTGTCGTCGGGTGGACACAGAGGTGAACCCACAGACATTCATTCTCACTGGCCAGACGATGAGGAGACACCGGCACAGACACACCGACACACACGCACAACTTGCTTGCGGTGCTGGCTCTCACTTGCCTTCAGACATCTAATGACACTCGGCACTTCAAGACATCACAAACCTTGCAGAGGCCCGAGTGACAGACCTGGCTCCGCTCTCTTCCTTCTTCCAGCTCCCCCTCTACTCACCTGGGGTGCTGCGGTTCGAGCTGGGGGTGTGTAACTCGGGGGCAGCTCTCTGAGGGGCGGCGATCGAGTCATGCTGGCGGGGATGGGGGGCGCGGGCGCCCCCAACCCGCGTTATCTGGGCGCTCCCATAGGCTAGCCCGGTCTCCCGGTACCGCTGGGCCCCGCGTAGGGATTCAGTGGGGCCGCCAAGGCGCGGGCGTGGGAGAGACTGTGGGGTGTGGGTGTTAAAGCGGCTGGGAGGGAGGAGTGCAGGGAGCTGCGGGTCCGGGGCGCGGCGCCGGGATTCACCCGCTCCGTGGGCCGTGGGCCGCGGCGGCTGGAGGAGGAATGGGTCCCGCGCGCAGGCGGAATTGCTGGCCCGAGACGCACAGCAGGGCTCGAGGTGGCAACTGCAGTCCCCGGGAGGCGGCTGGAGCTCCAGAAAAGGGAGCTGGCCGGGGCGACGCCCTCCCATTGGCTGAGGGGCCCGCAAATTACCCTAGCCGCGCGGCCCGGCCCGCTGCTAGGTAACGGCGCCGCAGGGGGCGGGGCGGGAGACCACCCAGGCTGGGCCACCCCGCGCCTCCCTCCCGCCCGCGGGGCCCCAGGGAGGAGGAGGGAGGGGGATCCCGGAGAGGCGCAGCGCCGGCCAAGTGTAAGTCCAGAGGCTTACGCTGAGAAAGGGCCTTTGCGGGCTCTGTTAGGGATACACTTTTTTTTTTTTTTTTAAGACGGGGTCTCACTCTGTCACCCAGGCTGGAGTGCAGTGGCTCCATCTCGGCTTGCAGGCTCCGCCTTCCAGGCTCAAGCCATCCTCCCACCTCAGCCTCCCGAGTAGCTGGGATCACAGGCATGCACCACCACGCCCGGCTTTTTGTATTTTTGGTAGAGAACGGGTTTCGCCATGTTGCCCCGGTTGGTCTCAGACTCCCGAGCTCAGGATATCCGCCCGCCTCAGCCTCCCAAAGTGTTGGGATGACAAGCGTGAGCCACCGCGCCCGGCCTAGGGCCACAATTTCTTTTTCTTTTCTTTTTTTTTTTTTTCAGGCTTAATTCACTTTATTTTTCTTGTATAAAAACCCTATGTTGTAGCCACAGCTGGAGCCTGGATCCTCTGCGCGGAGACTCTGGTGTGGGTCTTGACGAGGTGGTCAGTGAATTCCTGATAGGGAGACTTGGTGAATACAGTCTCCTTCCAGAGGTCGGGGGTCAGGTAGCAGTAGGTCTTAGAGATGGCATCAAAGTGGGTAGGGCCACACTTTCTTTCCGACCCAATCAAAGCCCAAGATTTCTTCTGTTCACTCTTCCCGGCTTCCATTCTTGCCCTCTTCAGTCCACTCTCTCCACTGAGACCAGAGTCATTTCTCTAACATGCAAATCTGATAGCTCCAAAGCACAAGGCCCACTTGGAGCACAGGGCCCTGTGTGATCTAGCTAAAGCCTTCTCTCCCATAGTTCCCTCACATCAGTGTTCCCTCGTTCCTGCCTTTGTACATGTTTTGGTCCTTTTGTCTTGGCAGATAATCTTCAAAAACTGAACTTGAATCACCCCCAAAACCCACCTTTTTTTTTTTTTTTTTGAGGCAGGATCTCCCTCTGTTGCCCAGGTTGGAGTGCAGTGGTGCCTTCACAGCACACTGCAGCCTTGAGCTCCCAGTCTCAAGGGATCCTCCCACCTCGACCTCCCAAATGGCTGGGACTACAGGTGTGCACCACCACACCTAGCTAATTTTTGTAATTTTGTATAGACAGGGTTTTGCCATGTTGCCCAGGTTGGTCTCAAACTCCTGGGCTCAGGTCATCTGCCCACCTGGGCCTTCCAAAGTGCTGGAATTATAGGCGTGAGCCACTGTACCCAGCCTACCCCCTCTTTGAAACCTTCCTTGATTCATGTCTCTCTCCTGGCAGATAATTGCTTCTTTGTGCTCTGCATAACAACTCAATTTATATATGTATAATTGCATTTATGACACAAAAACTTATGTACTTGAAAGTCTGCCTTCTTCACCAGACAATAAATAGGTGCTTAATAATTGTTGAGTGAGTCACTAAGAGTTGCAGAATTCAGGGTGTAAAGGATTGGAAATTGGGAAGAATAGAGGCAATAGTCCCTCTATTAAACTTTCAACTATCCTATCTGAGTGTGCTGTTTCTATTGGGTTCCTGATTGATAAACCTCAAGTGGCAGAGTAGGGTAAAATCAATATTCCAATATGTAAAGTTTGAGAAAGAGAAAATGAATCTACAATAAGCTAATTTTTCTAACACAACTACTATTATCTCTGGCAAATTTCTTGGTCAGTTCTTCCAGACTTAAAAAAAATCATTCCATCATAAATATTTCATGTTACTATGTAGTTTTTGTAATCAATCATTTGGAGAATATCCTTAGGACAGATTCCCAGAAGTGGGTTGTTTGGGTCAAAGAGTATGAACATTTTTATGGCTCTTGATACACACTGCTCAACTGATTTTTTGAAAGCTTGTGCAAATTAACATCATCTCTAGAGCCTCAGTCCTGGGGAAGAGGAACATTTAGGTTGAAGGGGTGAACACCTAACAGGTTTGCCATTTCCATTTGTCCATTCACCCAGAAAAATGCCTATGGAGGAACTAATATATGTATGATGCTGTTGGCCAAACAGTAACTGCACATGAAAAGCAGCCTACCTGAATAGCACTTTCTTCTCCCTGTTATAGAGTGTGTCCTGCTGAGCATAAAGTGGCATGGTAGCTCATGCTTGTAATCCCAGCCCTTTGGGAAGCTGAGGCGGGAGGATTGCTTGAGGCCAGGAGTTCAAGCCCTGGCAACATAGTGAGACCCCATCTCTACAAAAAATAAAAAATTAGCTGGGTGTGGTGGCGCACACCTGTAGTCCCAGCTACTTGGGAGGCTGAGGCAGGAGAGTTGATAGAGGCTGCAGCGAGCTGTGATTGTGCCATTGCACTCCAGCCTGGGCGACAAAGTGAGACCCTGCCTCAAAAAACAATAATAATGATAACATAAAAAATTTAAGGTTAAAAAGAACTGTACCCCTAGCAAGTCTCTGAAATAGAAACAGCCTCTAACTTAAGTCTGTATGGGCCCCTAGTTTGCTCTTGGGGCAATAGCTGAAGACAGGGAGTGGCCTGGACTCAGCACTGGTTGTCATCAGGAGTACAACTCCCGATGCTATGCTTTAAGTAAGTCTTAATCTCCTTCCTTTTTACCAGACTCTGCAAGACATAAGGTCCATGGATAAATAGATTTGTAACCACTTGGGCCTTGGGACTCTGCTTTCATCATAGGCCCATCACTGCTAACAATTGTGACAAAGTCCACCATTTCTATGGATGCTTCCAAGGCCAAGTCTGTCTATTAAGGAAACCTCTTGCCTTATAGTTCAAAGACTAGGATGGAAGAAATGGGTCTACAGTTTCCAGCCTTTCCAACCTAGGGCCTAGTGCTGTCTGGCTGCTCCAAGCTACAAAATGACCTGTCTTCTCCCAAACAAAATGGTTTCCTGAGCCCAGCTAAGCTCAGCCAGAGCCAAAGCCATAGACCCCAGGAATAGGAAGGGATAAAGAGGCTTCTCTTCTCTTTCTGCAAGCAGCCTCCTTTATGATAGAACAGCTTGTTTCACTGTCATTTCCACTGGTCCTGGGTACGTGTTTTGGGCCTAAACTAGAGATATTCTCCAAATAACAGGATAAAAGCAATCTAATTAAATCTCATTACTGACTCATGAAACAAACGTCTTGGGATCTCCTTTTTTTAAATTTTTTCAATGAGACAGGGTCTCATTCTGTCACCCAGGCTGCAGTGCAGTGGCATGATCTTGGTGCACTGCAGCCTCTACTGCCCAGGCTCAAGTGATCCTCCCATCTCAGCCTCCCGAGTAGCTGGGACCACAGGCGCGTGACACCACGCCTGGCTAATTTTTTTGTATTTTAGTAGAGACAGAGTTTCACCGTTTTGCCCAGGCTGGTCTTGAACTCTGAGCTCAGGCAATCCACCCGCCTCGGCCTCCCAAAGTGCTGGGATTACAGGCATGAGCCACCGCGCCCAGCCTTGGGATCTCTTATGTGTCCATTCCTTTGCTGGGTTCTGGTGTTGCAGGGTACCTGCTTTTTAGAAGTTCATAGCCTGAGGGGGAGCACAGAGACCACAGGGGAAACCACTGAGTTGGGGGTACTCAGGGATGTTTCCAGAAGTGAAAGGAACTGGATGGGAGAGGTGGGAGGATGACAGAATCTAAAAGGAAAAGGAATGGCTCATGGTCTGGATCTTTCATTTGCTGGTTGTGAGATCTCAGGGAAGTCACATAATCTCTGACATTAACATAAGGATTAAATGAGATAATACATATGGCTGAGGAACAGTGCCAGGAAAAGTGAGGCAGCCCACACTCACATACACACAGTGCTGGGTAAAGTGACCAGTCTGGCTTCAGGGGTGGGTTCATGTGGGAGTTAATTCATGGTGGAGGCAAGGCAGGCTTGCTTTCTCTGGCATTCCTCTAGGCTTCTCACTCGCCAGCTTTTGGCTGCTTCTGTTATCTAGGCCAAGCAGAGTCAATGACCCTGAGATGTGGAGGAGGGAAGTGGGGGTCCTGGGCAGCCCCATCACCACCTGTTATATTTAGGGGCCAAGCCTGGGTATGTATGCTCCTTCCCTGTGGGCAGGTTGAGGCCAATAGCACCTATCAAGTATTTGTTTGTTTGAGATGGAGTTTTGCTCTTGTTGCTCAGGCTGGAGTGCAGTGGTGCCATCTTGGCTAACTATAACCTTCACCTCCTGGGTTCAAGCGATTCTCCTGCCTCAGCCTCCTGAATAGCTGGGATTACAGGCGCCCGCCACCACGTCGGGCTAACTTTTTGTATTTTTAGTAGGGATGGGGTTTCATCATGGTGGCCAGGCTGGTCTTGAACTCCTGACCTCAGGTGATCCACCCACCTTGGCCTCCCAAAGTGCAGGGATTACAGGCGTGAGCCACCGCGCCTGGCGTACCTATCAAGTATTTGGTGCCAGGGCTGCAGCCAGAGATTAGGGAATGGTCCTTCACTTTAAGTGTGGGGGAAGGAGACAGGCTAAGAACAAATGCAGCCTCTCTCTATTTATCCATGGCAGAAAGGCCCCGATGCAATCATCCTGGGTAGTGGCAGATGGCTCAGGCCAAGGACAGGTCATACTGGCTTCCAGTAGAATGTGTTCTCCTGCCCAGTCTCTCTCCCTCTGGGTCAGCTTCATTAGAGCAGAGCTTTCTAGACTTTCTGTCTGGGTGGTCCTTTCCATGGGCCTCCCCCTTCCTCAGACACATTTAACTATTTAGAAAGCTGCATACAAAGGCCTGGTTTATGTACCTCCTTAGGAGTAGGGATAGCTGTGGATAAAGAAAGTGTATCCCCTGCAATTCTCTGGAAATAGAAACAACTTCTCAACTAGGCCATGCAGGCCCTAGATTCCTGTTGGGGCTACAGCTAAACACAATTTCCCTCTCTCCACTGAGTATGGAAGTGGGATGGTAATAGTAAAGTAGTGAAGAACTGGGAAGAAGTTCGACCTTTGGCCTTGGGGAACAGCTTGGAGGGCAATCTTGGCAGTCTTATAGGCTCACAGGAGCTTATGGGCCCTCACTTCAAGTATGGGGAAAGGAGAGAGGCTAAGAACCAATGCAGCAGCTCCCCATTTATCCATGGCAGAAGGCCCCTGATGCAATCATCCTGGGTAGTGGCAGTCTTCTCGGCTCAAGGAACTCTTGCCAGCAGGCAAGGATGAATTGTAACTGGGGGATGGATTCCTGGAGTAGCAGCTGTCAAGTTTTGTCTGACCCGGCAAGCTCCCGGAACCCTGTTCCTCAGCACATCCCCAGGGTCCTCCCTGATTCGGCATTCGAGGTCCCCTTTCTCCTCTTCCTCCACTTCCCTCATTGAGCATCACTGGGAGAGGCAGGGCAGACCCTATTAACTCTTCTGCCTGCCTTGCTTTTCTGATTTCTGTCCATGGAGAGGTGGCCGGCCAGTGGACATTCAGTTGCTCACTATGTTTCAGACATACTCAGCCCCTCTGTAGCTGCTACCAAAAGAAAACAAAAACTGTCCCTGCCTTCTGGCAGACAAACAGGGCAAAGAGAAGAAAAATCAAAGCATCTTGGGCACCCAGCCAGTCCTGGAACTGTCAGACAATAGCAGCAGTGTCCTGAGCTGGGGGCTGCTCCCAGCTGGGACTCAAACTCAACAACACCTTCCTCTGGGAAAGCTTTTACCTTTTGTTTTCTCCAGCTCCTTCCTTTCCTTGATGCAGAGGCCGTTCCATGGACTTGTGCAAAGGGAAGGCACAGGAGAGGTTTTTCCTCTGTCTCACTGTCAGGGGTTCTAAGGGCTCCATGGGGAAGGACAGGAAAGGGTACATAGGAGGGCTCTGAGACAGTTTAATCAATGCCCTTTACTCCTCCACCGCACTTTCCCTCCCAACCCTTTTCTCTGCTCAAGGAGCAATCTTCTGGCTCCTTGGGAGACCCTAAGGGGAAGAAAGCTCTGGGAAAGAGGACAAAACCTGAGAAACAGAAGGGCCTTTAACATTCAAACAGTCGAACTTTCTCATTTTGCAGATGGAAACACTCAAGGTCAGAGAGGAGAGAGTGATTTGACCCAAACCAAACAACATTACAGAGGACAGATTTTCTTCCACCCAGGCCAGGACTCTGTCTCCAGCACCATCTAGGCCCCACCAATTTAATTTCAGTTCCAAAGGGGACCATGTTGGGCACCACCACAGCTCTTTATCCCCACATCCCTCTCAGCCCTATTGGTTTCAACCACTTCTGCCGGGCCATTTCAGCTCCTGCCTGATTAGGGCAAACTTTCAGGAGCCTTGTTCTGACCAGTGGGAGCACCAGGGCTCTCAAGAAGGCTGACAGAGGTGGAGATCCCCCAGGGTAGAAATACTCACGGAGTCTCTCACAAGTTCTATGACTAAGATAGGCAAGATTACTCAAGTAAACTTGAGAGCCTTGAGGTTTTTGAAGCAATGCAGAAACCAGTATTTCAAATAATTCTTTCTAATTACTGCCACCCACAGTGAAGACATCAAGAGAAGCCTTTACTTTGATAATTCTAGGAGGTGAAATCTCACCCCAGGAACCACTTTTATCTTCCACCAAACACCTGCAGGCTGTAAAAGCAATGCAGGGAGAGAGCAGAGTGAATGTGTGTTTGGGAGCAGGGGTGGTGGAGGGAAGGTGGATAGGCCTCTAGAAGGGCTGTGAGTATGGAAATTTCATTCCTCAATTATCTGAAGCAGGAGAGTCTGCAGAATTAGGATATAAAGGAGTGCAGCTGGAGGAGAGTCAGAAGGAATTTCAAGCCATGATACAGGTTCCTGGCTCTTCCTTCCCAGGTTGGGCAAACCTCAGTGAGGTGAGGTGCAGCGGGGTCTGGCTTGGCTCAGACCATGGCTCTTCATGTTCTTATCTCCACTAGAACCTGTGGGAATAGGCTTGTTGGCTAGGCAGGGGCTGCCCCTGCTTCTGTTCAGTCTCCAAGGGATATTAGTTGAACTAGGGAAAATGGCTAGAGGCTGGGAGGAGAGGGAGTGAATGGTGAGCATGGAGGGTGGGGCTGTGGGTGAGGTGGGGGAAGGGGCTGGGAATCTGTATGGTAGGTATGGGAGCAGAGTCCTGGGCTGATGCTCAGGCGTGGCACTGCCAGCAGCTAGGCCTATGGGTCTAGAAAGGCTGATTAGGATAAGGGACTGAAGTACTCCCAGGTCCTTTTAGGTGAGGGATACTTTCAGGACTGGGTTGGGTCAGCCAGTCAGAAAGTAGCCTTCCTAGGAGCTTTACATTGGACAGCTGCTGCCCCACCGATACATCTTGGCACACAAGAGTTAGGCCACTGTATCTGTCCTGTCCCACACACTTGCTCCAGATGATCTTTACCACATGACACATGAACATACACTGTGTACACCTGGAGCCCACCTGACATGGAGCTTTGGACTGCTCCACAAGTCTCCAGCATGCCTTTGGAAGCCCTTCTTTATTGGGAAATAAATACAGAGTTAAACAGGTGGGCCGGCCAACATCTGTGGCTTTGGAGGCCAAAAGGAAGGAGTCTGACTTGCTCAGAACTCAGATCTCCATGAGCTGGTCATTCCCCACGATCACCTCATTCACTCGTTTAGCTACAAAAGAAAAGGAAAAAAGTTTTCTGAGAACTGGCAGCAAGATGACATTTCAAACCCAACTGCTTTTTTTTTTTGGAGACCGAGTTTCGCTCTTGTCACCCAGGCTGGAGTGCAGTGGCACAATCTCGGCTTACTGCAACCTCCATCTCCCAGGTTCATGCGATTCTCCTGCCTCAGCCTCCTGAGTAGCTGGGATTACAGGCGCCCGCCACCACGCCTGGCTAACTTTTGTATTTTTAGTAGAGATGGGGTTTCACCGTGTTGGCCAGGCTGGTCTCGAACTCCTAACCTCAGGTGATCTGCCAGCCTCAGCCTCCCAAAGTGCTGGGATTACAGGTATGAGCCACCACGCCCAGCCAAACCCAACTGCTTCTAATTCTGTGTTCACAAAAATTTATTTCTCTACTATTGTGGCTGTGATCTTGAGAAGCTCTTGGAAATAGGGATATGAGAGAGAGAGCACCTTCCTATGCAGGAGGATGGGACCAACTGTCTATATACCTGGCTGTGGTGAGGCTTTAAATAGGAGAACTGAAACTGGGTCTTAAAGGGTGAATAGTTTCTACAGGCAGTGATGGAAGGGATTCTAGGCTGTTAGAACAGCAAGGGCAAAGACAGTGAGATGGGAGAAAGGGGACCATGAAATACTGTGGTGTGGCCAGAGAATAGGAAATGAGGGGATAAGGGTAAGAAATGAGGCTAAAAGGATAAACGGAGATAAGAAAGGGCAATACCTCATATATAATATGGAAATAATGACACCTACTGCATAGGGTTGTTGTGAGAATTCAATGAGTTAAAGGTAAGTGAATGCTCAATAAGTTGTGGCTATTATTATTTCTATAAAGGTCAAACCCATAAGGCCCTCCATGACATCTTTGCCTACCTCTCCAGCTTCATTTCCCACTATTCTCCATTTTGCCAGTAAGCCATACTGTTTTAATCCCTTTTTTTTTTTTTGAGATGGAGTCTTGCTTTGTCACCCAGGCTGGAGTGCAGTGGCGCAATCTTGGCTCACTGCAACCTCCGCCTCCTGGGTTCAAGTGATTCTCCCGCCTCAGCCTCCCCAGTAGCTGGGACTACAGGCATATGACGCCACACATGGCTAATTTTTTTTTTTTTTTTTTTTGTATTTTTAGTAGAGATGGGGTTTCACCATGTTGGCCAGGCTGGTCTGGAACTCCTGGGCTCAAGTGATCTGCCCTGCCTTGGCCTCCCAAAGTGCTGGATTACAGGCGTGAGCCACCGCACTTGGCCCTGTTTTATACCTTTGAACTTTGGCACAACCCTCTGCCTAGAATGCTTCCCCCTCCATTTTTTCCTGTTGCACTCTTACTACCCTATGTGCCCTAACGTAGCACCTCTAATATGCGATGCCTTCCCTTTTGCACTGTCCATTTCCTGCTTTGTGAAACCACTGTACCTAATATATATCTCTATTCCTACATCATTATACCACTCTCCTCTACTTCACTATAAGAACATTGAGGGCGCTGGGCGCGGTGGCTCATGCCTCTAATCCCAGCAGTTTGGGAGGCCAAAGCAGGTGGATCACCTGAGGTCGGGAGTTCAAGACCAGCCTGGCCAACATGATGGAACCCCATCTCTACTAAAAATACAAAATTAGCCAGGCATGGTGGCGCATGCCTGTAATCCCAGCTACTCGGGAGGCTGAGGCAGCAGAATTGCTTGAACCCAAGAGGTGGAGGTTGCAGTGAGCCGAGATCGCAGCATTACACTCCAGCCTGGGCAACAAGAGTGAAACTCTGTCTCAAAAAAAAAAAAAAAAACAAACCAAGAACATTGAGAGGAGAGATGGAACAGTGTAGTTATGATTATATCCCCAGTGTCTAGCATAGCTACTGCCACATGATGATTTTAGAGGTTTTGGGTAATGACTAAGATAGGATATGGTCATATAACTGGAGAGCTAAAGCTGAATGCAGATGAAGGTTGGTAGAGAAGTTCAGGGAATCATGAAGCCGGAGAGCTGGACAGTTTACTGATGAATATGTTTAAGTTGTCCAAGATGTTATGGACAAGTGAGGGAGAGGAGAGGAAGACTGTGAACCACAGGCTAAAGCTCTTAATAAATGTAGGGAAGTACCCTGGAAGCTGATCAATGATGCGGTGAAAGGTAAGAAGAGCTATAGAAAACTTTCAAGGAAAAAGAACTATAGAAAGGAGGCAGTGAGCCAATAGCCTGGAAGGGGCAGGGGGAGCCAGGGAACAGAGACTATATCTGGCATGTTGGGGTTGATGTATTTTCATGGTGATTCAGTAAGTTGGAGGAAACCTGTAGAGGCACAACAAGCAGAACTAGGCCGGGCGTGGTGGCTCGCTCCTGCAATCCAGCACTTCGGGAGGCCAAGGTGGGTGGATTGCCCCAGCCCAGGAGTTTGAGACCAGCCTGGGCAATAGTTAGACACCATCTCTACAAAAAATAAAAATATTAGCTGGATGTGGTGGCATATGCCTGTGGTCTCAGCTACTCAGGGGCCAGGGAGGGAGGTCGCTTGAGCCCGGGAGGTCAAGGCTACAGTGAGCTGTGACTGTGCCACCTACACTTCAGCCTGGGTGACAGAGTAAGACCCTGTCTCAAAAAAACAAAAAACTAAGCAAAGCTAGTGATGCTTGGTCAGGGATGGGAGTAGGGTCCAGTAAATACACTGGAAAATCTTTGGGCTGGAATCAGGTTGGGAAAGATCCCAAGGGGAAAAATACAAGGGAGGATGATAAGTTGGGAAAATAGCAATGGGATAGAAGGGAAAAACATCACAAATAAAAGGTGCACTGTTGGGAAACTGGGAAAGCTTCCTGCTGGCCAGGAGGATTTGACCTGTGTCAAGTATACATCAACAGCCTGACCTATACCAGGTCTACTTTCATGGTCAAAGAACTGATCACTCTGGCCATAGGGAAGAGATCCAAGTTCTGTCACTGACTGTAAGAAGAGACTCAGATGAAGCATGCTTTTAGCAGTTAGTGTTTTTTTTTTTTGTTTTTTTTTTTTCTGAATGGAGTCTTGCTCTGTTGCCCAGGCTGGAGTGCAGTGGTATGATCTCTGCTCACTGCAACCTCCGCCTCCCAGGTTCAAGTGATTCTCCTGCCTCAGCCTCCCAAGTAGCTGGGATTACAGGTGTGTGCCATCACACACAGCTAATTTTTGTATTTTTAGTAGAGATGAGGTTTCACCATGTTGGCTGGGCTGGTCTCGAACTCTTGACCTCAAGTGATCCACTCGCCTTGGTCTCCCAAAGTGCTGGGATTACAGGCGTGAGCTACAGCCTCTGTACCCAGCCATTTTTTAGGTTTTGACTGTTAGCTGTAGCCATTCTACTGCTTGAGAAGGTCAAATTTGGCTGCCAGTATTTTTGCCAGAGATAACCAATGAGAGTATTGGGATGGGGTGAGAAAAGTCAGAGTTGTTATAAAATGGCTTGTTTTCGTGTTGGTGCTAGAAGAGGGTAGGGAGGCCTACACTGAGTTACGAGCCATACTTTTGGGGAAAAAGACTGCTATGGATGTGGTGACTCTGGAGCATGAAAATGATTAGAATTTGGAGAGGAGACTGCATTATGTCTTTTTTTTTTTTTTTGAGATGGAGTTTCGCTCTTGTTGCCCAAGATGGAGTGTGATGGCGTGATCTCAGCTCACCACAACCTCTGCCTTCCAGGTTCAGGCAATTCTTCTGCCTCAGCCTTCCAAGTAGCTGGGATTACAGGCATGCACTACCACGCCCGGCTAATTTTTTGTATTTTTAGTAGAGATGGGGTTTCTCCATGTTGGTCAGGCTGGTCTCGAACTCTTGACCACAGGGATCCACCCGCCTCAGCCTCCCAAAGTGCTGGGATTACAGGCATGAGCCACCGCATCCGGCTGAGACTGCATTATTTCTTAGGATGAATGTTTTTTCCTGAAACCCCTTCATGTGAGGAAGACTGACGGAAGACTTTGCCATCTATTGAGCTCTTTGCTGGTAAGGATGTGAGTTGTTGGTGTTTGCCTAGGTCACCTATAGTAACAAGTCTTGAGTGCTGCACTGATGGTTAGGAGTTTGCTTTCACCATACGGCTCAGTCTCAAAAAAAAAAAAAAAAGAAGAAGTAATAGTGGAAAAAGGCAACTGGCCAGGGAGTTCCTGTGGCAGGAGGGCACTGACCACTGTGCTGGATGCACTGGTCCTTCCAGCAGAGGACAGAGAGAAGGAAGTGGTGGGGTTGTCCAGTTTAGAGCCCAGACAAGATGACTTCCCTGGCCAGCCCTCCTTCAGCAGGACCATTAAAGGGTCTCCTTGCTAAAAGGTGGACACATAGTGTTAATTAAAGCCAGAAAGCCCAGGAGTTTATGAAGCCCATCTCATGATGATTGCAACCATCGCACAGAGGCCTTTCTTGGAACCCTAACTTTATACCCTGAAATCCCCCAAAATATGTTTCATGGATCCAACATTCATTCATTCACTCTTTTCCCCTTCTGAGCATTTACCATAAATCAGGACCTGTTCTGAGAGCTAGGGATGCATATAGTTATGAGACAATCGACCTTGAGGATCTTTTTTTTTTTTTTGAGATGGAGTCTTGCTCTGTCACCCAGACTGGAGTGTAGTGGTGCAGTCTCAGCTCACTGCAGCCTCCGCCTCCTGGGTTCCAGCAATTCTCCTGCCTCAACCTCCCAGGTAGCTGGGATTACAGGCATGCACTACCACACTTGGCTATTTTTTGTATTTTTAGTAGAGACGGGGTTTCACCATGTTGGTCAGGCTGGTTTCGAACTCCTGACCTCAGGTGATCCGCCCACTTCGGCCTCCCAAAGTGCTAGGATTACAGGTGTGAGCCATCATGCCCAGCTGACCTTGAGGATCTTAGTAGGGAAGGCTGATTCACGGATAATTGCCATGGCTTGTGAAACATACTTTAATAAAGGTGTGGCAAAGCTCAAGGACACAGTGGAAGGAATGTGTAGTTCTGCTATGGGGAGTCATGGGAAGAGGCAGAGAAGGTTCTACAAAGGAGAAAACACTTGGTCGGAGTCTTCAAGAGAGGAAATCTAGAGAGAGCACATGTAAAAGCATGGAGAGGTATAATGGCACGGTATGTATGAGGAATTCTAAGTCTTTTGGTACACTCAAGGAGTAGTGCATATACCTGTCATTTAATTATATGTAATTCTCACAATTCTCCAAGGTAGCTATTATTGTCCCAATTGTCTAATTAAGAAAATCTGGGGCTGGGCGCAGTGGCTCATACCTGTAATCTCAGCACTTTGGGAAAGTGAGGTGGGTGGCTTGCTTGAGGCCAGGAGTTCAAGACCAGCCTGGGTGACATTGCAAAACCCTGTCTCTACTAAAAACACAAAAATTAGCCAAGGGTGGTGGTGTGCCCCTGTAGTCTCAGCTGCCCGGGAGGCTGAGGCACAAGAACCACCTGGATCCAGGAGGAGGAGGCTGCAGTGAGCTGAGATAGCACTACTGTACTCCAGCCTAGGCGACAGAGCAAGACTCTGTCTCAAAAAATTAAAATTAAAAAAAAAAAAAAAAAAAAGGAAAATCTGAGGGCTTAATGATTAAAAATTTCACTTGGTGCACAGCCACTAAGTTGAGTTGAGATGTGAACTGAGGTCTGTTTGATTCTAAAGCCCAAAAGGAAGGCATATGACTTTAAAAAAGGGAAGGGGGAAGAAACTGAAGAAGGAAATGATGTGGCGTCTACAGAGTTGGTGGGGTTAATTCCTTCAGCAACTCCCCTCCCCACCTTATTTTAGGTTTAGGAATAATACCAAAAGCAATCAGTCATTTTAATTTTTATTATTATTTTTAAGACAGGGTCTCCCTCTGTCACCCAGGCTAGAGTGCAGTGGTGCGATCTCAGCTCACTGCAGCCTTGACCTCTCAGGCTCAAGCAATCCTCCTGCCTCAGCCTCTTGAGTAGCTGGGACAACACGTGTGTGCCACTGTGCCTGGCTAATTTTTAATTTTTTTGTAGAGATGGGTTCCTGCTATGTTGTCTAGGCTCAAGCGATCCTCACATTTCAGCCTCCCAAAGTGTTGGGATTATTGGCATGAACCACTGTGCCTAGGCTTCAAGAATCACTGTACAGTATTGGTGCCAACCTGGGCCATTAGATCTATTGATATGTTTTCAAGGTTTTGAGATTAAGGGTGCATACATGTATAAGCTTATCTATAAGATTAATTTCTAGAAATGAAACTGTTAAGTCAAAGTAAAAAAATTTGACAGTGATGCCAGGTGCGGTGGCTTACGCCTGTAATCCCAGCACTTTGGGAGGCTGAGGTGGGCAGTTCTCCTGAGGTCGGGAGTTCGCAACCAGCCTGACCAACATGGAGAAACGCCATCTCTACTAAAAATACAAAAAATTAGCTGGGCGTGGTGGCACATGCCTGTAATTCCAGCGACTCAGGAGACTGAGGCAGAAGAATCGCTTGAACCCGGGAGGCGGAGGTTTCAGTGAGCTGAGATTGCACCATTGCACACCAGCCTGGGCAACAAGAGTGAAACTCCGAAAAAAAAAAAAAAATTGACAGTGATGTCAACTGCTCTCCAAAGATGGCTTTATCAATTTATGTTCTCGCCCGCAGTGTACGTATGTGCTTGTTTCCCACATCCTCACCAGCCTTTGGCATTATCAGTGCTGGTGTGAGAAGTAAAAATGGAATCTGTGATTGTAATCTGGTTTACCTTTGGCTTCAATCCTCTGGCCACTTCCAATCAAGCAGTCCTTGATGTCTGCACCCTTCTCGATCACAGCATTGTTGCAGATGACACTGCCTTGGATATTGCTTCTGTAACACAGTAGCCAAGTTAGGGAGGACCCAAGGCTCGCATCACCATCCTCATTACTATTGGTTGGGGGTTCTGGCTCCTCCCTAGGCCAGGAACAGCTGGGCAGTCCAGTTAATGGCTACGTGCCTCAAGTTATCAGTGGAAGACAGAATGGTAAGCCAAGGGAGGACCTGGCTTCAGAGAAATCCAGATTTGGGACTATGCTCATAACGATCTTTCTCTAAGGCCTGAAAAGAAGATATTCTGACTTCACTTCAGTTCCTTTTTTTTTTTTTTTTTTTGAGACAGGGTCTCACTGTGGCCCTGGGGCTGGAGTGCAGTGGTGTGATCATAGCTCACTGCAGCCTCTAAAACTCCTGGGTTCAAGTGATCCTCCCACCTCAACCTGTAGCTGGGACTACAGGTGAACACCACCATGTCTGGCTAATTACTTCAGTTCTTTAGGATCCCAGAACCTAGAGGTCTAAATTCCATCCAATCTGTTCTTTGGTCTGGGGCTGGTCCTTAGGCTGACCCATCACTGCTGCTTCTCATCTGGGAATATATACCAAATTTCATTTGAGGCTCAGAAATCACAAATCCTCCTAGGACATCAACTCTGGAAACAATGGGCTCCCCACACTCTCACCACAGACTCTGGTTAAGCAAAGCCATACTCATTCAAAAAAATTTTTTTTTCTTTGAGATAGGGTCTCGGATTACCCAGGCTGGAGTGTAGTGGCACGATCTTGGCTCACTACAGCCTCCACCTCCTGGGTTCAAGCAATTCTCCTGCCTCAGCCTCCCAAGTAGCTGGGACTACAGAGCCACTACACCTGGCTAATTTTTGTATTTTTAGTACAGATAGGGTTTCACCATGTTGGCCAGGATGGTCTTGAACTCCTGGCCTCAAGTGATCCACCCGCCTTGGCTTCCCAATGTGCTGGGACTACAGGAGTGAGCCACCGCACCTGGCCTAAACAATTTTTTCAGAGATAAGGTATCATTATGTTGCCCAGGCTGGCTTCAAATTTGAGCTCAAGCAATTCTCCTGCTTCAGCCTCCCAAGTCTCTGGGACTACAGGTGTCCATCACTATGCCTGGCTAAAAAGGATTTTTTAAAAGCCAACTCCATTCCACATAAAAGACTACTCCAGACCCTAAAGCATACACCAAGAGCAGCGCCACTTGCTCACAGCATTTAAATGTATTTAAAAAGCATTCTCCTAGGCCACGTGTGGTGGCTCACCCCTGTAATACCAGCACTTTGGGAGGCCGAGGTGGAAGGATCACTTGGGCCCAGGAGTTTAAGACCAGCTTGGGCAGCATTGTGAGACTCTTTATCTCTACACAAAATAAAAAAGCTAGCTGTGCATGGTGGTGCATGCCTGTAGTACCAGTTATTCAGGAGGCTGAGGTAGGAGGATCGCTTAAGCAAAGGAGGTAGAGGCTGCAGTGAACTGTGATCGCACCACCGCACTCTAGCCTGGGCAATAGAGGGAGATCTTGTCATAAACGGAGCATCTTCTTGGCTCTTAAAGACTGCCAGGTTGGAGGAAATGTCCTTTTGAAAATTACGACTAACCTGGCTGGGTGCGGTGGCTCATGCCTGTAATCCTGGTACTTTGGGAGGCCAAGGCAGGTGGATCACCTGAGGTCAGGAGTTTGAGGCCAGCCATGGCCAACATGGTGAAACCCCGCCTCTATTAAAAATATAAAAATTAGCCAAGCATGGCGGTGCGCACCTGTGATCCCAGCTACTCAGCAGGCTGAGGCAGGAGAATCAATTGAACCTGGGAGGCGGAGGTTGCAGTGAGCCAAGATTGCACCATTGCACTCTAGCCTGGGCGACAAGAGCAAAACTCTATCTCCAAAAAAAAAGAAAAGAAAAGAAAAAAGAAATTTATGACTAACCTTTATTGTACATCTACTCTATGCCAGGTATTGTGCTAAATAAATACTCTCTGTACATTATAGGACTGACTTTTACAAAGAGTCTCGCTCTGTCACTCAGGCTGGAGTGCAATGGCGTGATCTCAGTTCACTGCAACCTCTGTCTCCCGGGTTCAAGCAATTCTCCTGCCTCAGCCCCCCAAGTAGCTGGGATTACAGGTGCCTGCCACCACACCTGGCTCATTTTTTGTATTTTTAGTAGAGGCAGGGTTTCGTCATGTTGGCCAGGCTGGTCTCCAACTCCTGACCTCAGGTGATCCAGCCTTCTTTTTTTTTTTTGAGATGGAGTCTTGCTCTGTCCCCCAGACTGGAGTGCGGTGGCGTGATCTGCCTCAAGTAAACCTCTGCCTGCCTCAGCCTCCCAAAGTGTTGGGATTACAGGCATGACCACCGCTCCTGGCCACAAATCTAGTAATTTCTTTTTTTTGAGACAAGGTCTCACTTTGTCACCCAGGCTGGAGTGCAGTGGCGTGATCTTGACTCACTGCAGCCTCCATCTCTGGGGCTCAAGTGATCCTCCTGCTTCAGCCCCCCAAGTAGCTGAGACTATAGGCATGCGCCATCATGCCTGGCTAACAAATCTAGTAATTTCATCTGAAAATCACCTGAGTAGTGTAAACAATGACAAATAATGCCACCCTCAGTGTCCTGGCCCCCCATCAATTATTTTGGTAGGTCTCGGATAGGAGCTAAATGTATTTAACTAGAAGCAAACCCCTCCTAGATGATTCTGGGAGTACTATTTTTATCTCTGATGCACTAAAAAAGAGCAACCACATTTTGCAGATGAGGTAACAGATTTAGAGAAGTTAAACCATTCACTCAAAACCATATAACTGCTAGTAACAGATTTAAATCTAGGTCTGCCTGACTTCAGAATCCATAATTTAATCATAATGCAATACAAAGAAATTAAGAAAAGACTAGAAGAGACCTAGAACTGCCTTATTCTGAGCTGATATGGCTCAGTGGAAGAAGCTCTTTCCTAACAAGGGGATATTCAGTACCCGAGTCAGAAATGGGAAGAGAAAAAATGGGCAGCTGGAAGGGAGAAGGAGGAGGATAGAGAGGGTGTAAGCACCCTTTTAACAAAACAAAACTAAGGAAAAATTCCCAACCCAAGAGGCATGAGGGGGTGGGAAAGAGGACATTCCAAGGACTAAAAACACTGATACACAGACCATTAAAAAAGATTCTTCCCAAATGCCAAAACTTAGTAAAATGCAAAAAGAAATACTAGCACTTTAAGGCATTTCAGAGTCTTCTTTATCTCTGTTCTCCTAGGAGGTTAAAGCCTTTTGGAAAGTAGCAAAAGGCCAAAACCACAGCACCTCTGTGGTGTAGGCTAGAGATGGGCAGAGACAGCACTAGTTTGCCCTTTGGCAGACTTGGGATACACTCAGTGGGTGGGCTTTTAAGAGAGCTTCCATAACTTTCCAACTTGCCTAACTTGCAAAGCAGTCCAGTAAGCAGTTAGGGTCAGTTAGGGTGGTTCCTGCTTTTTGGGGGAAATTCCTCCAAAAGGGGTAATAGGGAAGTATAGAAAGCTTTAGATACAGAGGCTCCTGGGACAGAGCTGCCTTTCAGTTGGCTACTAGTTTATAATGGAAAAGTCTTATTTCTTTTTCCAAGGTGGTAGTAGGGGTATGCTTCCTACTCAGTCGTAAGAGCCAAAGAATGTATGCTCTGAAGCTAGGCAAGAGGTAAACATAGTCAGCAGACAAGAAACAGCCAACAGGAACTCAAGCAGCCATAATTAGAGACAATTAAATGTCTATTTTGGAATCTGGGATATAAGTGGGAGAGATTTCTGGAAGGAAGAGACAAGAATAACTGAGGTCAGATTTCCATAGCAATAAACAGCCTGGTTTTCCTTAGGCTTAGTGGATCTGATTGGGGTCTTCAGGAACCTCCCACATTGTCTGTCTCATCCAGTTGATGTGTAGCTCTTTCTGAGACACATAAACCACTGCTGTGGAGCCTGCGGATATGATAGGGAAAGTGGGGTGACGGATGGAAAGCTGTGGGCTCTCCTGAGGCTCCTGGTAAGTGGATCTGTGGAAGGCTTTGAGATGAATACCTGAAAACAGCTTACTGGTTGTGAAGCTCTTTTCTGACCATTTGTATCCTCAATTGTTCCCCAGTATTATTGTGCAGCCCAAATCACCTCCAATAGCAAGGCTGAGGTACTTTGGAAAAATTTCAACCCAACACAGCTTTTCCCCATCCAAGAAGAAACTCCAGGATCAAGGACTTTACTGGGAGTGTATCTGTTCATGCTACAGGGAATGGAAAGATAGGACCTTATCAAACAAACCCTCTCTAGGTTGCCAATTGGCAGCAAGGACTCTGTCTTTTCTGTTTAGTGCCTAAGGAGAGAGAAGAGGTGAGTTCCTATAGTCCAACAAAAGAGCTTGTTCCAGACTAGAATTACAGCTTCTGCATCCTAGTTTTAACTCTCAGGTTGGCACGAAGCACTCCGCTGTGCTAATGTCTAGCTGTGTTCTCTAAGACGCTGCTCAGTGATGGCTAAGACTAATGGAGACTTGGTCCTCATTTCTCCTTGGTAGGTTCAAATTTCAAGCACAGAGGCAGGCTTTGCAAAATTACTCTGAAAACTGTAACGTTTCAGTGGAAAGGAGGCCATGAGAAAAACAGAGTACTACAGTAAGATCACTGCTTGGCCAGGCACACCACACTATACTATGTTGTGGCATATCACCTGAGGAAGAAGGCTAACTGAGAAGCAAGAGTGCCTCCAAATTCTTGCTCCTCTTCTGGCTTTAGGTAGGACTTCTTTCAGTTATTTCAAGGGAGGAAAGGGAACTCACATATATCTAATGTCTAATACATCTCAGTCATTATATAAAGCACTTTACACTCATTTATTATTATTATTTTTTGAGATGGAGTCTCACACTGTCGCCCGGACTGGAGTGCAGTGGCGCGATCTCGGCTCACTGTCTCCTGCCTCAGCCTCCCAAGTAGCTGGAATTACAGGCATCTGCCATCATGCCCGGCTAATTTTTTGTATTTTTAGTAGAGATGGGGTTTCATTATGTTGACCAGGCTGGTCTCGAATGCCTGACCTCATGATCTACCCGCCTCAGCCTCCCAAAGTGTTGGGATTACAGGCGTGAGCCACTGCACCCAGCCTACACTCATTTTATAACTGAATCCTTTCAGCAAACTTGCAGGGATGGTGGTATTTATTCCAATTTTTACAGAGAAAATTGAGACTCACAGATGTTAGGCAATGTGCACAGGCCTAAAGTGACACTCCACTGTATCACGGGCTCCTGCTTCAGATATTGACTTAGAGAATATTCGGCAAAGAGCCATGAAACTTCTCAGTAACTGAGGATGGGGAGGTTCTTTTCTTTTTTGATGAGTTGACAGGCTTTCTAAACTACTCATGACCCTGGGGGAAGAAAAGAGAATGAAACTGAAGATATGTGTAGCTTTTCTAGGCATGTGACTAAGGTCTGCTCTAGGCCAACTCAACACTTTGGCCGAAAGATTATGGCTGAGTCACCCATAATCTCTCTAGGTACTGGGAGCCTCCTAACCTAAGCCCTTCTAAGCTGGTCCAAGTATCTCTCTAGAGAAAGAATCATGTGTTATTTTTATTAAAAGTTATTTTTTATTATTTATAATTTAAAACAATTCTTTTTGGTAGAGATGGAATTTTGCTATGTTGCCCAGGCTGGTCTCAAACTCCTGGCCTCAAGTGATCCTTCTGTCTCAGCCTTCAAAGTGTTGGGATTACATGTGTGAGCCACTGCATCTGGCAACCATGTATTATTTTTAATGAAATATTTTAAGTATAGAAAAAAACCTAGAGAATAATATAAAGAACGCCTGTGTATCCACCAAACAGCTTGAGAAACAAACAATCCAACTTGCTAAGCATCTTTCTTTCATCCCATTTCCTTCCTTCTTCCACCAGGGTATCCATTATTGGACTGTGGTGTTTCTTGTTCCTAAGTATTTTTACTACATTTATTAAACATACAATATTTTTAATGTTTTAGAATTGTACATACATGTTACCGTTCTGTGTATCCTTCTGCAACTTGCTTTCCCCTCTTCAACATCATATTTGTGATTTATCCAGGTTAATTCAGGTAATGATATATATAATACTTGAAGAAATGATCTTACCTTTTCCCTGTTTCTGGTCACTCTTGCTCTTGGGTCCTCTAGATTAAAAGGTACTGACTCCAGTGAGCAGGCTGAAAATTTCCTCCTTTTAGTTCTGTATGCCCCCCTTCACTATATAAGATTTTGTGGTGAGAAATGGCTCCCTCCTAAGAAATCTAAGTCCTTGTATTCCCTAAGCAGAGGCTAGGGAGTTTAGGGGAAATCAAAGCAAAGATGTAACAGCCTTAAAGAGTTAAGCTGCAGAATTCTTCATCTAAGATGGGTTTAGTGCAAATGGTTCAAAGGTAGGGAATGAACCAAAAGCCATTAGGAGCCCCTTTAATCCAGGGGATCTTCCCAAAGTGTCATAATTTGGTGTTTTTAAGAGTATGACAGAAGTGCTGGGCTCGGTGGCTCATGCCTGTAATCCCAGCATTTTGGGAGGCTGAGGCGGGTGGATCACCTGTGGTCAGGAGTTCAAGACCAGCCTGGCCAACATAGCAAACCCCGTCTACTAAAAATACAAAAATTAGCCTGGCGTGATGGTGTGTGCCTGTAGTCCCAGCTACTCGGAAGGCTGAGGTGGGAGGATAGCTTGAACCCAGGAGGCAGAGGTTGCAATGAGCCAAGATCATGCCACTGCACTCCAGCCTGGGTGACACAGCGAGACTCTGCCTCCAAAAAGAATTCTTTTAACAATTATGTACTTTTCTGCAACTCTAATTACCTCTAATTGGACTTATATTTAAGAGGATTCACTTTTATACCTTAAACTATCCATTTTCATTTCTTCCTTGGCTATATTATGTCTTCAGGTAGAGTTTTCCAGAGGGTTCATGGGTGACACAGGTCCTGAGCCCTGGAATACTTCTGATGCTTTTACATAGCAACCATAACTGGCTATAGGATTCTTTTGTGTTTTCTTTCCTTGTAGGGATGAAATATGGGAGGTTATAAGATTCTTAGGTCACAAATGTTTCCCTTCTAAATTCTCTAAATGTTGTTTCACTGTCTTCTGGCCTGAAATGTTATCATAGAAAAGTCTGAAGCCAGGCTGGGCGTGGCGGCTTACACCTGTAATCCCAGCACTTTGGGAGGCCAAGGCAGGGGGATCACTTGAGGTCAAGAGTTCAAGACCAGCCTGATCCAACATGGTGAAACCCTGTCTCTACTAAAAATACAAAAATTAGCTGGGTGTGGTGGCGCACGCCTATAATCCCAGCTACTTGGGAGGCTGAGGCAGGAGAATTGCTTGAACCTGGGAGGTGGAGGTTGCAGTGAGCTGAAATTGTCACTGCACTCCAGCCTGGGCAACAGAGCGAGACTCCATCTTAAAAAAAAAAAAAGAAATGTGTGAAGCCAGCCTGATTTTCTCCCTTCTATGTGGCCTGATGTTTTTCTTTCAGTTCTGCATGCCTTGGTATTTTGAAAAAAGGATGTTTGATGTCTTTTCTTTGGTTCACCCATGTTCCCATTCCTTCTTCTCTTTATGTTGAATCTTGGTGTTCTCTTTGGATTTAATCTAAATTTCACTGTATCTGGCAGATATTCTGTAGTCTGTGCATAGGTATGAGTAGGTTATTTCATTTTATTATAGATAAAGCTTCCTTCTGTGGTTTTGTTTTTTCAATTTGGTGAGCTTTAAGGAATGAAGCACTCATCCACAAATTTTCTTCTGTATTTGTAACATTGGTACCAACTTTTTTTTTTTTTCCAAGATGGAGTTTTGCTCTTGTTGCTCAGGCTGGAGTGCAATGGCGCGAACTGGGCTCACTGCAACCTCCACCTTCCGGGGTTCAAGTGATTCTCCTGCCTCAGCCAACCAAGTAGCTGGGATTACAGGCATGCGCCACCACGCCCGAGTAATTTTGTATGGGGTTTCTCCATGTTGGTCAGGCTGGTCTCGAACTCCTGACTCAGGTGATCTACCCGCCTCAGCTTCCCAAAATGCTGAGATTACAGGCATGAGCCACTGAGCCTGGCCATCATTGGTACCAACTTTTAAAATTTTTATTTATTTATTTTTTTCTCCCTCTCTATAATCATGTACAATATTTTTTTCTAGAAGCAGAGAGGGATCTCTTAACAGATATTTAGCCAGTTATAGTAGAGGGGTTAAATCAGAGATCTCCATTTTTCATTTAGTAAATGCTTATAAGATATCTACTACGTAAAAAGTGCAGTATTAAGAAGTTAGGGGATATAAAGACATATAAAAATATTTCTATATTTAGCCAGGCATGGTGGCTCACGCCTGTAATCTCAGCACTTTGGGAGGCTGGAGGTGGGCGGCTAATGAGGTCAGGAATTTGAGACCAGCCTGGCCAGCATGGAGAAACCCCATCTCTACTAAAAATACAAACAATTAGCTGGGCATGGTAGCACGTGCCCGTAGTCCCAGCTACTCGGGAGGCTGAGGCTGGAGAACTGCTTAAACCTGGCAGGTGGAGGTTGCAGTTAGCTGAGATTGTGCCATTGCACTCCAGCCGGGGTGACAGAATGAGATTCTGTCTCAAAAAAAAAAAAACAAACAAAACTATATTGAAGGCATTTATAGTCTAGTTGAAGAGGGAAGAAAGATGCAGTAAGTGCCACAGTACCATGTGAGCATGAATAAAGTGTTATGGGTGCATAGGGAGCACAGAGGTGGGGAAAATAGTTTATGGCTATGACAATTTTTTTTTTTTTTTAGATGGAGTCTCGCTCTGTCATCCAGTCCGGAGTCCAATAGTGCAACCTCGGCTCACTGCAACCTCTGCCTCCCCGGTTTAAGCGATTCTCCTGCCTCAGCCTCCTGAGTAGCTAGAATTACAGGCACACACCACCACGCCCAGCTAATTTTTGTATTTTTAGTAGAGACGGGGTTTCACCATGTTGGCCAGGATGGTCTCAAACTCCTGACCTCAGGTGATTGGCCCGCCTTGGCCTCCCAAAGTGTTGGGATTACAGGCGTAAGCCACCATGCCTGGCCGGCTATGACATCTTAAGAAAGCTGCATGGAAGAGTTGGAATATGCATTGGATCTTGCAAGATGGGTAGGATTTTTACAGGAAAGAGCTCCAAAGAGAGGCAATTCAGGCAGAGTGAATGTTAGAAATAAAGGGAAGTAGGAATGTAAGGAACCCAGTGGGCAGGGCAGTCAGTCAGTTGAGTGCAGGTGAAGGGTACACTCAGGGTAATGATGAGAAGTAGTAATTTCTTACCTGGCTCTGAGGTCTACACTTGCTAACTGCAAAAAGCATGGAAAACCTAGGTGAGAACCTGGCTTTCTAGCCTGTCAGCATGTGAAGATGCTACTCTAGACTGCTGCTTGGGTCATGTGCCTTGGATTAGGGGGAAATGCAGGAGAGGTTGCTTGGGACCAGGGGACCAAACATGCAGAATACAGGGCTGACACTCAAGCTTTGACAATGAAGTGTTTACTACATTGTGGATTCCTGAGCATCAGCTGTCATATAAAATGCCAGAACATGAGAAAGATGGGCAGGAGCTTTCTCTGAATAGTCTCGCCTACACCTTCTCCAAGGTGGTCCTATTAGCATCCCTCAAGCCCTGAAGACCTTGGGCAGGTGTCCAGAAAGCCTCAGCAAGCTTTCAAGCCTCAGCAGCCCACCACTGCTGGCAGAGACAAGCACATAACGAATATGAGAAACTCCCTTCTGAACAATTTTATGCTCCTACCCTGCCACTTAGCCAAGACATAATAGCAGCAGGGTAATCAAGTCTCACTTGACTGCAATTTAATTACCTTTCCCAGGTTTGCCGTAAGTAATTAAAATTAAGTGACCCCAAAATAATGGGAAAAAGTTCATATGGGATGTAGGATGTCTGATCTTATCAGCAGGAACTCATTCGCAGGATTGGGTAATTGCTAATGGCCTTCCCAGTCATTAGCCTTGTGTGGGCTGTCTATAGCTTTACCTCAACTTTTTTATTTTTAAAAAAAGAAGTAGCCAGCCTAGGCAACACAGAGATTCTGTCTCTAAAAAAAAAAAAAAAAAAAAAAATTTGCCGTGTAGTGGCACACGCCCATAGTCCCAGCTACTTGGGAGGCTGAAGTGGGAAAATCACTTGAGCCCAGGAGGTTGAGGCTGCAGTAAGTCATGATTGCGCCACTGCACTCTAGCCTGGGTGACAGAATGAAAACTTGTCTCCTCCAAGACGGCAAATGACTATGAGATATGCTAGGCCTTTTCTCTGAACTTCTTTTCTCACATAGAAAGCTGTAGTGTTGGCCGGGCGCAATGGCTCAAGCCTGTAATCCCAGTACTTTGGGAGGCCGAGGCGAGCGGATCACAAGATCAGGAAATCGAGACCATCCTGGCTAATATGGTGAAACCCCGTCTCTACTAAAAATACAAAAAATTAGCTGGGCGTGGTGGCGGGCACCTGTAGTCCCAGCTACTCAGGAGGCTGAGGCAGGAGAATGGTGTGAACCCGGGAGGCGGAGCTTGCAGTGAGCTGAGATTGCGCCACTGTACTCCAACCTGGGTGACAGAATGAGACTCCGTCTCAAAAAAAAAAAAAAAAAAAAAAAAGAAAGCTGTAGTGTCTTAGGGAGCCATGGTTTCCTCGCCAAGTCTCTTCATATCAATTAGGACACTAACACTGGATTTTTTTTTTTTTTTTGAGACAGGATTTTGCCATGTTACCCAGACTGTCTTGAACTCCTGAGCTCAGGCAATCTGCCCACCTCAGCCTCCCAAAGTGCTGGGATTACAGGTTGCAGGTGTGACCCACTGTGTCCGGCCCTGCCCACCCACAGAAGGGCAGGGAAAGGTTGCTAATTAGAGCATATGGGGAAAATTATGCCATTGTCTTCCTTGGAAGGTCTGAGAGAAGGGAAGCTACAAAGCTCATGAGTTACCTGGAACCAGGTGATCAAATGGATGAAGGCAAGTGTAGTTCTGGTTTAAGAGAATGGTGATGTCTGTCAGTCTTATCCAGGAGTCTGGAAGAGGACATGGCGTAGCAGGGGTGCAACAAGAAAAATGTCTGGAATGCTACATTTATTCATCTATAAAAATTCAGGAGTTCAGCTGGATGACTTCTAAGGCCTCATCTCACACTAGCATTCCAGACTCAGTGCTGGAGCCAGACCATGAGGAATCATGAAGTTCCAATTTCTTCTAAAGGTAAGAGGGAGCTTTCAAAAGGTTTTTAATAGAACAAGGATGTGATCAGAGATATTCTTTAGAAAGACAATGTTGGCAACATGCCATCCTTGTGAAATGGGATAAAGTAGTAATATAATAACAACAACAATAATAAATAAATAAAAATAGCAACTAACTATCCTAAATGCTTTATATGGCCGGGCATGGTGGCTCATGCCTGTAATCCCAGCACTTTGGGAGGCTGAGACAGGCAGATCACTTGAGGTCAGGAGTTCGTAACTAACCTGGCCAACATGGTGAAACCCTGTCTCTACTAAAAACACAAAAACTACCAGGGTGTGGGGGTGCGCACCTATAATCCCAACTACTCGGGAGTTTGAGGCAGGAGAATCGCTTGAACTTGGGAGGCGGAGGTTGCAGCGAGCTGAGATCACGCCATTGCACTCCAGCCTTGGTGACAGAGTGAGACTATCTCGGAAAAAAAAAAAAGCTTTATATTTACTAACTAATTTAGTACTCCCAATAAACCTACAAGGTAGTTCAGTTTTACCCCCATTTTATAATGAGAAAATCAGGCACAAAGAGGTAAGGCCTTTTTTTTTTTTTTTTTTTTTTTTTGAGATGGAGTCTCGCTCTGTCACCCAGGCTGGAGTGCAGTGGTGTGATTTCAGCTCACTGCAATCTCTGCCTGCCGGGTTCAAGCGATTCTTCTGCCTCAGCCTCCTGAATATCTGGGACTATAGGCGCGAGCCACCACGCCTGGCTAATTTGGCCAATTCTTTAAGAGACTAATTAAAGTGACAGACCTAGGATTCAGTTTGGCAGTCTGACTCAAAGCTCATGTTCTAATTCATAAGAACAATGGGGGAAGGGTAAATATAGAAGACGAAGAATGATGAAGACAGGAAAAATAAGTTGGAGAACACCACAATATGGTGGTGTAGTGGCTCATGCCTGTAATCTCAGCACTTTAGGAGGCACTCAGGAATTCAAGCCTGGGTAACATAGTGAGACCTCGTCTCTACTAAAAATATAGTGGCACATGCCTGTGGTCCCAGCTACTCAGGAGGCTGAGGTGAGCGGATCACCTAAGCCCAGGGTGTTGAGGCTGCGGTGAGCCATGATAACATCACTGCACTCCAGCCCAGGGGACAAAGAGAGACCCCGTCTCAAAAAAGAGAGAGAGAGAGAGAGAGAGAGAGAGAGAGAATATCACACGAATGATTTGGGAAAGAGACAAAGACTTTATCTCTGGGTCTGACCTCTTTTCCTAAGCTCTAACCACAAACTGAATACCAGACATCTCCACATACTTGATGCCCTACAGGCACTTCCTACCTCTTGTGCCCTACACAGACCTTGTCTCCCACAAATCTGTCCCTCCTTCCTCATCTCAGTGAGTGCACCACCATCCACTCTTTCCGTAACTGGAAACCTGGGCTTCACCTGTCAACTCTCCTCTCCCTTACCCCACATGTCCCCTTCTTGCTCATTCCTTGTCAGTCTCCTTAGATTCCTTTTCTTATGTCTAAAATTGCTTGCTGTTAGTTCCCAATCCCCAAGGTTTTGTTTGGTTTCTTTTCTTTTCATGTCACACACTCTCCTTGGGTGATTTCATCTACTCTACTCCCAAGGCTTCAGTTATCAGTTCTCAGGTTTTTTTTTTTTTTGAGAAAGAGTCTCACTCTGTCACCCAGGCTGGAGTGCAGTGGTGCAATCTTGGCTCACTGCAACCTCTGCCTCCAGGGTTCAAGTGACCTTCCTGCCTTAGCCTCCCGAGTAGCTGGTATTACAGGTGTGTGCCACCACGCCCAGCTAATTTTTGTATTTTTGGTAGAGATGGGGTTTCGCCATGTTGCCCAGGCTGGTCTCGAACTCCTGGGCTCATCTGCCCACCTCAGCCTCCCAAAGTGCTGGGACTACAGGCATGAGCCACCACACCCAGCCTTCAGTTACCACTTCTGTGCCTGCCACTTCCAAATTCGTACTTCAAGCACAGCTTCTTTCCTAAGCTCCAGCCCTGTAGATCAAGGCCTCCTGTACGTCACCATGCATTCAACTTGTCCCAGATGGAATTTATACTCTTCCCATCTCCCAGCCTGCCAATCTTGCTCTTCCTCTACTAATTTCTATCTTGAATAGCACACCAGAAATCTCATTGCTCAAGCAACAAATCTGTTTTTTTCCTTAATTTCTCTTTGACCTCATATATCTAGGCAGACACATGTTTTATAGTTTTTAATCACCTTATTGTCTGTCTTCTCCATCTCTACTGCTATTTATTGCCTTAGTTTAGGACCTCTTCTATTTTACCAGAATTATTTCAATGGCCTTCCTGCCTCCATGTTTACCCTGTTCAGGCCAACCTTCCTAATGTAGCCCAAATAATCTTCCTGAAATGCTAATTTAATCATGCTGCTCTTTTGCTTTAAGCTCTTAAATTACCATTACCTATCAAACGCCTCAGGGAACAATCCATTACTTGGCCCTTGTCCATCTGCATGTATAGCCTTGTCTCTTGTATCCATCCCTCTCTGATTTATATTCTGGTCATGGTGAATTGTTTGTCATTCTTTCATATAACAAATATTTATTGAGTTCCTGTAGGCCCTCAGGATATAAAAGTGAACAAGAGAGATAAGGCACTTACATTCTGAAACTAATGTTTTACTTGTGAGAGACAAGTAAAGATAAGACTAAATAGTGATGGTGTTATGAGGGAAATGAAACAGGTTGATGTGATGGTGGTTAGTGGGACAGATTATTTCCAATAGGGTAGTTGGGGAAGGTTCCTCTGAAGAGGTGACATTTGAGCTAAGATCAAAATAGGGAGATGTTTCTGGAATAAGATATGCTCTTTCATACTTCACAATCTTTTTTTTTTTTTTTTTTTTGAGATAGGGTCTCACTCTGTCACCTAGGCTGGAGTGCAGTGGCATGATCATTGCTTGCTGCAACCTCCACTTCCTGGGCTCAGTTGATCCTCCCACCTCAGGGGTTACAGGTGCACACCACCATGCTCAACTAATTCTTGTATATGTATGTATTTTAAGGCAGGCTCTCACTCTGTTACCCAGGCTGCAGTGTAGTAGCACAATCTTGGCTCACTGCAGCCTTGACATACCAGACTCAGTCGGTCCTCCCATCTCAGCCTTCTGAGTAGCTGAGACTACTGATGTATGCCACCACTCCAGGCTAATTTTTGTAGTTTTTGTAGAGATGTGGTTTCGTCATGTTGCCCAGGCTGGTCTCAAACTCCTGGGCTCAAGTAATCTGCCCACCTCGACCTTCCAAAGTGCCGGGACTATGGATATGAGCCAATGTGGCTGGCCACTTCACTTTTTATGTATCTAGAATACCTCTGGCCAGGTGCAGTGGCTCATGCCTGTAATCCCAGCACTTTGGGAGGCTGAGGTGGGAGGACTGCTTGAGGCCAGGAGTTCAAGACCAGCCTGGGCAACACAGTAAAATCCCCATCTCTATAAAATTTTTTAAAAAAATTAGCTGGGCCTGGTGGTGTGCGCCTGTAGTCCTAGCTACCTGAGAAGCTGAGGCAGGAGGACTGTTGGAGCTCAGGAGTTTGAGGTTGTAGTGAGCTATGATCATGCCACTGTACTCCAGCCTGGGCAACAGAGGGAAACCCTGTCTTGAAAAAAAACAAAAAAACACTACCCCCAAAACCACTCCTTTCTCCAGCTCAGGTGGCTCTACTCATTTTCCAAGATTCAGCTCAAGGGTCATTTCCTTAAGCCTTTCCTGACCCTTTCCTCCCTTCTGACCTTACAGATCTCTACCATAGCACCTATCACTTCTTACTGCACATAGTATAAATTCCTTGAGGGAAGAGATTAAGACTTATGTCGTTTTGTTTCTTTCACTGCCTAGCACAATCTTAATCAGAGAGTGGGTCTGTTAGTATCTGATAAATCAGTGAAATGCTTGAGAGGGGTCTCTATTAGTGGTGTGCTGACGCTGGCTTGTTTTAGCTTGGGAGAGGCAATTATTAGCATCTCTTCTCAACTCAGCGTTAGGTGATATCATTGGCTATAGTGGAATAATTTACACCACAGAAATTAGCAAATGTTTCGAATTATGTCGCTTATTTTTTCCTTTGGAGGGCTGGTTGTCAACAATTTATCAGCATACCACTGGTAGCAGCGTACCACAAAACTCTGGATATTTTTGGCCAACTGATATTAGTAGTTTAAAGCAAATACTTCTGAAGATTTTGTTATGAAAATCAGCAGTCCCCTGCAACCCCTATTCCTCATTTCCCTCTTCCCAGAGGCAACTCTTTTAATTCTTTCTGCTGAGTAATTTGGTATTACTTCCATGCCTCTAGGTATTAACATAATTGTATTACTAGTTCTTTATTTTTCAGCTTTAGGCATTATCAATTGGCTTTCTACAGTGAAAAATGAGAATTTAGCTCTCCTTTCTCCCTTACCCCCATTTCCCTTTCCATCTTTCATCCTTTCAATAGAGTTATAGCATAACTTTGGCCAGTAGTCAGGTTTATTATGACTATGTAAATTCTATTTTGTAGCTGATCCATAGCAAACTATGGTCTTTTCATTTCTTATACAGGTTATGTATCCCTTATCTGAAATACTTGGGACCAGAAGTGTTTTATTTTTTATTTATTTATTTTTTTTTTTGAGACAGAGTCTTGCTCTGTCACCCAGGCTGGAGTGCAGTGGTGCGATCTCAGCTCACTGCAACCTCTGCCTCCTGGGTTCAAGCCATTCTCCTGCCTCAGCCTCCTGAGTAGCTGGGACTACAGGTGCACACCACCACACCTGGCTAATTTTTTTTTTTTTTGTATTTTTAGTAGAGATGGGGTTACACCATGTTGGCCAGGCTAATCTCGAACTCCTGACCTCAGGTGATGCACCTGCCTCAGCCTCCCAAAATGCTGGGATTACAGGCATGAGCCACTGTGCCGGGCCAGAAGTGTTTTAGATTTTGGATTTTTTAAAATTTTTTTGAATATTTGCATTATACTTACCGTTTCAGCATCCCTAACCCAAAAATCTGAACTCTCAAATGTTCCAGTGAGAATTTCCTTTGAGTGTCAAGTTGGTGCTCAAAAGTTTCGGATTTTGGAGCATTTGATTTTGGGTTTTTGGATTAGGGATATTCAACTTGTACAACTTCTTCATTTTCCCAGAGTTAATAACAGTCTTGTTTTTGTTAAATAGTGTTGTTTTTTCTATGTTATCCCCGATTCAACTTCAAACTTTTAGCCAGTTGCCTAAATCGACTTTCAAATGTTTGTATGTATCTGGTATTTTATCAGTTGCATCTTGCTGAATAAATCTTTCCTGGATTCTTTGGTTTTGTTCCAGTTTGGATTAACTAATCCCTTTATGCCCCATTTAGAGCTGTCATTCTTATCTCTGTTCACTGTTATCCCATGGATTCTTTTTGCCCTTTTTCTGAGTTGAATCTCTTGTTTCTGATCTTTCTCTGTTTGGTTTATTTTCCATTTTAGAGGAATAAATTTCCTAGTAAAGTTTTTGAGACTTTTGATATCTGAAAATGTTTTTATTCTATTGCCCTCTTGATTAGCACTTTGCCTGGGTATACAATTTTAGGTTAAAATTAACCTTCCTTCAGAATTTTGAAGGCATTTTTCCATTATCTTTGCCTCAAGTGGGTACAGGGGGAAACATACCCTTCCTCCACAGTGACTGAGTTCATGAGAAGGCAATTGGTAATAGTCACTCTATCTTTTATGAGACAGGATGAGCCAATGACTGAGCGCTTAATGGATGACTTCTCTCCAATCTGTGTCTCTGGCCCAATGAGGCTGTCAACTCCAACCTGTAAAAGGCAAAATATAAAACTCTGTCCACCCATCTCAACCAACTGCAAACCACCCTCCAGATCCCTCAAGCTGGGATCTAATGGGATCTTTCCATAGAGACACTTCAGCAAGAGGGACCATGATCAGTATTTCTCAGGGCCACAAGGTCATACAACACCTCTGAGACCAACTCAAACCTATTTGAAGCATGGGCCCTCCTCTCTTGCCAAGAAAACAAAATAAAACAACAGACACATATACACACTCATGCACTTGTGTATACAGATGTGCTCTCTTAAAGAGTGTGCTCAAATCAGAGTTAGAAGGGGGACAGATTGTGCCACTGCACTCCAGCCTGGGCAACAGAGTGAGACTCTGTCTCAAAAAAAAAGAAAAAGAAAATTGGGACTGACTCCTGAAGAAAACTTGGCTCAGGAATCTGTAGGACCCATACCAGATAAAACCTCAGGTGAGCCTCTACCTGGATTGGTTACAGATCCAAGGGAGTCCCAAGCCAGAGAGCTTATGAGAATCATAGGTAGTCCCACATTTACCCATGACTAGAGTCTTTCAGGCTGAGATTGAGAGCTCCTGTGTCTGAGTCCCAACACTATAATGGACCCTTCCTTACAAGGTCATTACTTGCCCAGGCAGTCTTGTTGAGTGAGATTTTATTCTCAGAACCCACTGTGATTTCCCTGGGGCTGATGAGGTTCAGGACTTAAAGGCCTCAATCCGGCTTCTCAAAAACAAGTCTCGATGCTCCCAAAGAACATCTCATGCCCGTCCTGGCCACACTAGCACTTACCAGGTGTTTGCTGACAATCTGGGCTGACGAATGGACTGGTGGTTCTTCTGGACAGAGAGCAGACAGCAATTTGGGCACCTTAAGGACAGAGATTTGGTCACTAAAGATCAGAAAACACCTTAGGTAGCTCTCCCTCTCCCTCTCCCTCTACCTCTCCCACTCCCCCTCCCCACGGTCTCCCTCTCCCTCTCTTTCCACGGTCTCCCTCTGATGCCGAGCCAAAGCTGGACTGTACTGCTGCCATCTCGGCTCACTGCAACCTCCCTGCCTGATTCTCCTGCCTCAGCCTGCCGACTGCCTGCAATTGCAGGCGCGCGCCGCCACGCCTGACTGGTTTTCGTATTTTTTTGGTGGAGACGGGTTTCGCTGTGTTGGCCGGGCTGGTCTCCAGCTCCTAACCGCGAGTGATCCGCCAGCCTCGGCCTCCCGAGGTGCCGGGATTGCAGACGGAGTCTGGTTCACTCAGTGCTCAATGGTGCCCAGGCTGGAGTGCAGTGGCGTGATCTCGGCTAGCTACAACCACCTCCCAGCCGCCTGCCTTGGCCTCCCAAAGAGCTGAGATTGCAGCCTCTGCCCGGCCGCCACACCGTCTGGGAAGTGAGGAGCGTCTCTGCCTGGCCGCCATCCCATCTAGGAGGTGAGGAGCACCTCTTCCCCGCTGCCATCCCATCTAGGAAGTGAGGAGCGTCTCTGCCCGGCCGCCCATAGTCTGGGATGTGGGGAGCGCCTCTGCCCCGCCGCCCCGTCTGGGATGTGAGGAGCGCCTCTGCCTGGCCGCGACCCTGTCTGGGAGGTGAGGAGCGTCTCTGCCCGGCCGCCCCGTCTGAGAAGTGAGGAGACCCTCTGCCTGGCAGCCGCCCCGTCTGAGAAGTGAGGAGCCCCTCCGTCCGGCAGCCACCCCGTCTGGGAAGTGAGGAGCGTCTCCGCCCGGCAGCCACCCCGTCCGGGAGGGAGGTGGGGGTCAGCCCCCCACCCGGCCAGCCGCCCCATCCGGGAGGTGAGGGGCGCTTCTGCCTGGCCGCCCCTACTGGGAAGTGAGGAGCCCCTCTGCCCGGCCACGACCCCCTCTGGGAGGTGTACCCAACAGCTCATTGAGAACGGGCCATGATGACAATGGCGGTTTTGTGGAATAGAAAGGCGGGAAAGGTGGGGAAAAGATTGAGAAATCGGATGGTTGCTGTGTCTGTGTAGAGAGAAGTAGACATGGGAGACTTTTCATTTTGTTCTGTACTAAGAAAAATTCTTCTGCCTTGGGATCCTGTTGATCTGCGACCTTACCCCCAACCCTGTGCTCTCTGAAACATGTGCTGTGTCCACTCAGGGTTAAATGGATTAAGGGCGGTGCAAGATGTGCTTTGTTAAACAGATGCTTGAAGGCAGCATGCTCGTTAAGAGTCATCACCACTCCCTGATCTTAAGTACCCAGGGACACAAACGCTGCGGAAGGCCACAGGGTCCTCTGCCTAGGAAAACCAGAGACCTTTGTTCACTTGTTTATCTGCTGACATTCCCTCCACTATTGTCCTATGACCCTGCCAAATCCCCCTCTGCGAGAAACACCCAAGAATGATCAATAAAAAAAAAAAAAAAAAAAAAAAAAAAAAACACCTTAGGTAGAACCCAGTGCTCAATCAGAGATACAGGGAGTTCTCAGCCATAGCTTCCTGTCTGAGTGAGGGGGAGCAGGAGGCTGCTGCATTCCCCCTAGGACCAAGATTATTTATGCAGCAGCTTCTAGATGGCCTTATTGTCAGTCTCTTAGCTTTGAATGCTCCTCCTTGAAAGTAATGCCATGTCCCTTGGCTGGGAGGCACTGAGACCAGTCTTTGAGATACCCACATACCACCTCTTGGGAAAGGAGGCCTGATCAGGTCAAGGAACACCCCGCATCCTGATCATAAGCATCCTGGGTTCCTGGTCACCTCCTGGACCACTGTGACCACGCATGAGGTGAGGATGAGATCCATTTTAGACAAATTCGAAATCAAGGACAGACCCTGAGAAGGCATCTATCCCCCAGCCAAAAGAAAACATGAAGGGGAAGTTCACACTATTCCCTCTCCAGTGTGAGAAACCTGGAAAGGTTAGAGGTATGGGGGGCTTTGGCTACCAGTCTATTAGGAAGGCACAGGTAGTGCGCCTGTCTATGATTCTCCAGCATAGACAGAATGCTGGTCAGAGCACTGTGCGTGGCAGCCACACTAGCTGACGGAGGCCTTGTCAGCACGGCTACACTGGAATGTGAAGGCTAATTCCAAGCCCCCAGCCCTAGGTTCTCTTCTTCCACACTCCACCCAAGGCCCTTCAGGCCCGTCTGCTGCATAGTCCCTGTTGGCACTTCAAAGGATACTTTTCCCAGCATGCTCACTCGAGAGCAGGGTCCCTCTTTCATGATGTGGACACAGCGGTGCACCTGTGATCTGGACAAGTCTTCCCACTCAGGTTATCCATGAACATCTTTCCAGACCAGCGTGAAAGATGCTAGTCATGGGTAAATGTGGGACTAGCTATGATTTCTCATAAGCTCTCTGGCTTGGGACTCCCTTGGATCTGTAACCAATACAGGTTGAGGCTCACCTGAGGTTTTATCTGGTGTGGGTCCTACAGATTCCTGAGCCAGGTTTTCTTCAGGAGTCAATCCCAATTTTCTTTTTCTTTTTTTTGAGACAGAGTCTCACTCTGTTGCCCAGGCTGGAGTGCAGTGGCACAATCTCAGCTTACTGCAACCTCCACCTATCAGGTTCAAGCAATTCTCCTGCCTCAGCCTCCTGAGAAGCTGGGATTACAGGTGCATGCCACCATGCTTGGCTAATTTTTGTATTTTTAGTAGAGACAGGGTTTCACCATGTTGGCCAGCCTGGTCTCGAACTCCTGACCTCAGGCGATCCACCCGTCTCAGCCTCCCAAAGTGCTGGGATTACAGGCGTGAGCCACTGTGCCCGGCCTCAATCCCAATTTTCAACAATTTCTTTTATATTATTCTGCGCTCCACTGCCACCCTGGTCTACACCTGCAATTATATTTTCACAGGGTTCTACCAGGAGCAATGTCAATAACTAATCTTTTCATTATCTCACCTCTGTTATCCTTGAATGCCACCCCAATGTAGTTCCCTCAATTATTTATCTTTTCCTATCCTCTTTTTTTTTTTTTAATACAGAGTCTCACTCTGTTGCTTAGGCTTAGGCTGGAGTGCGGTGGTGCAATCTCAGCTCACTGCAACCTCTGCATTCCAGGCTCAGGTGATCCTCCCACCTCAGCCTTCCAAGTAACTGGGACTACAGCCACATGCCACCATACCTGGCTAATTTTTGTAGTATTTTTGTAGAGACAGGATTTTGCCATGTTGCCCAGGCTGGTCTCGAACTCCTGGACTCAAGCGATCCACCTGCCTCGGCCTCCCAAATTGCTAGGATTATAGGCGTAAGACACCGTGCCCGGACTCTTTTCTTATTCTCATCTAAACCCTTTACTGCTCTGCATTTCCTTTTCCTAGTCTTATTATTCCTCCCTCCCAAAACCTTCCTCCTGGGCCTACTATACAATACAGAGTTCCTTTATACCTTCAGCCTCTTTACTGTCCCCCTCTCCACCCCCTGCCTTCATTAAGGCCTGGCTTATCTTTGAGGACACTGCTTCTCCTTCAGTGGAAGCTATTTGTTCCCCATATCTCACAAACTTCAAGGTTAAAAGGAGGGGCTAGCAAGAGACTCCTCATTAATGCTGTTTGCAGACAATTCTCTCTCAAAGTCATTCCTTTCCTGAGGCTTTGCCATCTGGCCACTCTATACTCTGCTCCTTCACCTTCTCAGGGAAGCCTCCTCTGTATGCCTATGTTTACTTCATCAGAGTAATGATTACAGAGTATTTACCTGCTTATTATGAAGTAAGTACTGCAGATATCCCCATGCTGAACAGAACAGGAGGAACCTGCTGACCCAAAGGCCAGAAGTTAGCCTTCCTGAAGATCTTAGCCTTTCCCTGGAGCCATAGAGGCCCTGACTATGGACCAGGCCCCCTGCTTCCCTTTTTGCTGCACCTGAGTACCCTAGTAGTCTCCCTTGACGTGCCAGGTCTTGCTCAACCTTGGGAATGACAGGGATTCTTAACAAGTTACTATGTACCTAATGAAGAAACAGACAAGTGGCTCAGTCTGTTTCTAGGACAAGAGCCCCATGATTTTCTAACTCATGCTCTCACCTGTCTGTTTGCTTCCATGTAGAGTCCCAGTGTGCTCACTCGAGAGCAGAGCCCCTCTTTCATGATGTGGACATAGCAGCGCACCTGTGATCTGGACAAGTCTTCCCACCTGTCTCCTCGACAGGCATTCCAGCAGGCATCATAGGGAGCCAGGTTCAGTGTATTGGCTTCTTTTATAAAACTGTAGATATCTTCAGAACAAACACCCAACCAAGGAAATAAATGAGAGAGAGATAACAGAACAGATACAGACTCAGTCAAGTTGTTTTTTTGTTTATTTAAGAGACGAGGTCTTGCTATGTTGCCTAGGCTGGTCTCAAACTCCCAGACTCAAGGGATCCTCCCACCTCAGCTTCCTGAGCAGCTGGGACTACAGGTGTGCACCACCATGCTTGGCTCTAAGTTTTAAAAGAGATTACAGCTCACACTTCTTCCTTTGAAACTCACCCACAAAACATGAACCCTGAGGAAATCCCACTAAAATCTGTAAGAGAAAGTCAAACTAAAAGAGGAAATGTACTTCCCTAAAATATCATATGATATAAAAATGCTTAATACGAGGTCCTAAAAGCATGTGACCGGTAATCAAGACCACTAGGGAAAATAAAACAGATGACCCTTGTAAATCATGAAATAACACAAGCCAGCATCCAGGCTTTAGTGGCCAGCCAGGTTGACTTTGTGCTGCTAGTCTCTATTACCATATCTGGTAGCTGTGCTATGACAGAAAGTACAGAACTTGGAGCCCAGAGTACCAGGGCTCTAGTTTTTCAGCTCTTACAACGATCCTTTGAGATCTTTTACTTTCTCATAAAAAAACTGGGGCTCAGAGGACTGAGTAACCTGCCTCAAGACACAATGCTGGCCGGGCACGGTGGCTCATGCCTGTAATCCCAGCACTTTGGGAGGCCGAGGCGGGTGGATCATGAGGTCAGGAGATCGATACCATCCTGGCTAACACAGAGAAACCCCGTCTCTACTAAAAATACAAAAATTAGCCGGGCGTGGTGGCGTGTGCCTGTAGTCCTAGCTGCTGGGGAGGCTGAGGCAGGAGAATGGCGTGAACCCGGGAGGCGGAGCTTGCAGTGAGCCGAGATTGCGCCACTGCCCTCCAGCCTGGGCGACAGAGGGAGACTCCGTCTCAAAAAAATAAAAAAAAAAAAAGACACAATGCTAGTAAGAGGCAGTCAGATTTCAAATCCAGAACTGTCTGATGCCCAGTTCTACAGTCCTAATCATCATGCTGTACTGTCAGTGTATTCATTTGATAAATACTTTTTCAGAATATCTACTATGAGTCCACGACTGGGCCGGGGATTAGGGATATGACAGCAAACAAGACAGATCCGATCTTCAGATCCTGGCACGGAGACACCTGGGTTGGCCTGTGGTTGGACTGCAATTGTACATTCCTTCACTTTCCTTCCCTTGATAAAAGAGGTTGAGTTTAATCAGGAACGGGGCTGCCTAGAGCCTAGAGAACAGGGGAACTAAGAAGTGGCAGGTGGAGTTTAAAGGCAAAATGGTCTAGTGAGGAACACAGCCAAACCAGAGCTATGAATCAGAGAATGGGGCTGGAGGCATGATTAGCCTGTTGCCGAGAGCACAGTGGCAGAATCTGCCTGAGCAAGCTTACCCAGAGCTCAGTGGGTTGGCAAGCCTGTCTTGCCTCGTAGGCTAGAAATAGTCTGCTGCCTTGAGTCAGGCATCTTGGGCTGGGCTAAGCTGCCCAACCACTCTTTCCAAAGGTGCTGCTACCCTTGCCCCTCTTACTGAACCAACCCAAGAACTGACCTAAGGACTTCAGCTCCTTTTTCTTTAGATCCTCCTCTTTTTCTTCTTGTCCCTGTTGTGAGGAAGCTGAGGAAAACTGTTTTCTCACTAAATATGGAATCAGTTCACTCCGGATAGAAGTTATTGACCTAGAAAGAAAGAATGGCCAAATATGAGAAACCTGACTGTCTGGAACATACCCGGATCAAAAGCTCTGTGCATACAAGGAAAAGCCAAATCCTTTCCTGTCATGGCACCTTGGGACTGTCAGAGATCAAATGTGGCATTGACTTGGCAGTTCGGAGAAGCAGAGTGCTTCCTGGTGGGTACTGAGACAGGATGTTGGGTCTAAGTGATCAGGAATCTGTACTAGGGGAAGAAGGGACCTGATCTTTAGTTCAGTGTGTGTTTTTTATTTATGTTTTTATTTATACTTAGCAATGGAAAGCAGAGAGATGAGAAACTAGCACATGTTTTTCAGTGTTCTCTCACACTGTGACCTTATTAGAATTTTATATTGCTAATTAATTTATGTAGCATTTACCAAGCATATGCGAGTTACTGTGCTAGGCCTTGGAAATACATCATTTCTGACTTCAAGGAATTCATAATCCAATGGACAGTAGCCTGTATGAGTTTAAGAGGAAAAGCAGAAGGTTAAGCTAATCAGGTAGGCAAGGGGGCCAGATCACGAAAGCTTTTTGTGGTGAAACCACCTTTGCAAAAATAACAGTGACAAAATTATGACAGTGAAAGAAATCTGACCTAATCAACTCCATCTTGCTGTTAACCTCCAAATTGCTCTTGCTCATTCCTGGACATAGGCTGAGCTAACTTTGGGAGAAAACTTTTTTTTTTTTTTTTCTGAGACAGGGTCTCACTCTGTCTGTTGCCCAGGCTGGAGTACAGTGGTGCGATCTCAGCTCACTGCAACCTTTGCCTCCCAGGTTCAAGTGATTCTCCCACCTCAGCCTCCTGAGTGGCTGGAAAGCTGGGATTACAGGTGTGAGAGCCACATGCCTGGCTAATTTTTTTTTTTTTTTTGAGACAGTCTTGCTCTATCGCCCAGGCTGGAGTGCAGTGGCATGATCTCAGCTCACTGCAACCTCTGCCTCCTGGGTTCAAGTGATTCTTGTGCTCCAGCCTCCCAAGTAGCTGGGACTACAGGCACATGCCACAATGCCTGGCTGTTTTTGTATTTTTTGGTAGGGATGGGGTTTTGCCATGTTGGCCAAGCTGGTCTCAAACTCCTGGCCTCAAGTGATCCGCCTGCTGCAGCCTCTTAAAGTGCTGGGATTACAGGCATGAGCCACTGTGCCTGACTTTTTTTTCTTTTTCTTTTTTTTTTTTTTTTTTTGAGATGGAGTCTCGCTCTGTGGCCCAGGCTGGAGTGTAGCGGTGCGATCTTGGCTTATCGCAACCTCCACCTCCCAGTTCAAGTGATTCTCCTGCCTCAGCCACCCAAGTAGCTGGGATTACAGGCGCCGGCCACCATGCCTGGCTAATTTTTGTATTTTGAGTAGAGATGGTGTCTCGTCATGTTGACCATCCTGAGGTCAGGAGTCTTGAACTCCTGACCTCAGGTGATCCGCTTGCTCCGGCCTCTCAACATGCTAGGATTACAGGTGTGAGCCACCATGCCTAGCCAGAAATTTATTACAGTTTATAGTTTAAATGATAATAGCCCTTCTCAAAATGAAACTGCCTTTATAAAACTAATAAAAGCGTACAAATTTAGGATTACAAGAGGGGCCTGAATTCTCATGATTACCAATCATTTTTCCAAAGGTCACAAGATTTGCAACTTCCCCAGTTACTCCTGTAAGTAACATCACTATTGTTGAACCTAAGATTGGCTTTTTAAGATGTCTTTTCTGACTTTTGCATTTCTGATGACTGGATGACTCCACTGGGACCAGTGACCCCTCTGTGGCCCCCATCCAAAACTGGGCTCAGCAGAGGACTGGTTTCCACACCCCTATGATTGCATCCCCAACCAATCAGCAGCACTCATTCCCTAGACCCCTGCCCACCAAACCATCCTTGAAAAACCCTAGCCTCAGAATTCTGGGGGAGGCTGATTTGAGTAATAATAAAATTCTGGTTTCCCGTTTAGCTGCCTCTATGTGTATTAAACTCTTTATTGCAATTCTCCCATCTTGATAAATCGTCTCTATCTCGGCAGCAGGTAAGATGAACCCACTGAGGAGTTACAGTAGCAGTCTAGAAAGTCTGGACTGAGAAGCCAGTGGTAATTTTTCCTTGTTAGACGGGGTCTTGCTCTGCTGCCCAGGCTGGAGTGCAGTGGTGCAATCACAACTCACTGCAGTCTTGACTACCTGGGCTCAAGTGATCCTCCTGCCTTGGCCTCCCAAGTAGCTGGGACCACAGGCATGTGCCACCATGCCCAGCTAATTTTTTTATTATTTGTAGAGGCAAAGTCTCACTATGTTGCCCAGGCTGGTCTTGAACTCCTGGACTCAAGCAGTCCTCCCACCTCAGCCTCCCAAAGTGCCGGGATTACAGGTGTGAGCCACCGCACCTGGCTGCCAGTGGTAGTTTTTAAGCAAGAAAGTGACATGAACAGTTTTATCTCTTATTAAGGTAATTCTGGTAGCAATGTGGAAGAAAGCCTGGAATAAGGAAACTGAAGAAAGGGAGACCAGTTACAATATTCTGAGAGATGAGATAATGAGGCCTGAGAGAGGGGTGAAAGTATGGGCAGCTCTATAAACCTGACTTGCTGCATACTTCCCACCACCTCTCCCAGCCCCCATTCAAAGCTCTGCATGCTGACACAAAACCAAACAGATGGAGTGTAGGTAGAAAGGAAGGCAAGACAGAGGCAGAGGCTGAGGAGGGTAAGGAAAACTATGAACCCTGGAGCTACACAGTTCATAGTTTCTGCAATTTTTAAAGAATCAATTTTGAAAAATTCTGTGTTAAGCTGTGAGCTCTTGTATTGAATTTCAATGTGATTTTTCTCCTGATCCTTTGATGAAGATTTAAAAATTTCCATGTGAATACAAAGAATGAAGCAACACTTACTCTTAGCTCTTTTTCTCCCCTTTTAATGCTTCAAACCAGTGTAGGCAGCAAATGTTCCTCCTCCATTGGAAAACAAGTCAGTTCCCTTTGAAGAAGTGACAAAGCACGGACAGCTAGGGGATTTCAGGGCCATGATATTTACATTACAGACCAAAAAGAACTGTCACTGCAAGAGGCAAGCAGACGAGCCTTGGCACATGGCCCCATCAGGCAGAACCTTCGAGAGGATCCATGATTTGAAGAGAGGCTATGAAACAGCCCTGCCAGGTCCCACCCACCTCTGCTGGAGCTCAACATTAGGTCAATCCCCATGATGCAGTTGACTTAGAAACATAATGAAGGAAACAATTACTCTTCCTGCTTCCTAGTTAAAGTGCAGGCAGCTCAGAGCTGTGCCAAGAAATGTTACAAAGCTACAGTGAACCATTGTGAACATCCTGGGCCTAGGCCACTTGCTGGATACAGTGCCCTGGTCAACCTTACTTTCTCCTTTCCCTCTTATACACAGCCTTCCTAGAAACACCTGTCTTATCTCATGAAATCATAAGCTCTTCTCAAGCAATCACAAAGGAGAACAATAGACTTGACTACTAGCAAACAATCCCACCAAATAAAAAGACAAAATAATTGCTATGAATAGGGCAAAGAATATTCTTAATAAACAGATATGTGTTAAAAAAACATATAAAATATTTTCAAAGAAGTAAAAAACTAAAATAAGATGCAATTTCTCCTCCAACTAAATTAACTGATTCAAAACAATTTTCATTACTGATAAGAGTGCTTTGAGAACCGTTACTGTCACATAATGGGAGTCGGAGTATAAACTGATAAAATCTCTGAAAAATAATTGGCAACATTATAGCAAAAGACTTGAAGATATTCATATAATTTCACCCTGTAATTCCATTTCTATAAGTCTATCCTAAGGAAAATATATTACTCAGTAAATATTTGCTGAATAGATGAAATCATCAGATTATAAACAAGAATCTTTCAAAAAAAGGTATTCCCGTTATTTATAAAAATGGAGAACAATAAAATATTCAACAATGATAGATCAAAATACCTCTATAACAGAATGTCATATAGGCAAAACTGTGACTGTAAAGAATTTTTTTTTTTTTTAGACGCAGTCTCGCTTGGAGTGCAATGGCACGATCCTGGCTCACTGCAACCTCCGCCTCCCAGGTTCAAGTGATTCTCCTGCCTCAGCCTTTTGAGTAGCTAGGATTACAGGTGCCTGACACCACGCTTGGCTAATTTTTTTTTTTTTTTTTGTATTTTTAGTAGAGATGGGGTTTCACCATGTTGGTCAGGCTGGTCTTGAACTCCTGACCTCGTGATCCGCCCACCTCAGCCTCCCAAAGTGCTGGGATTACAGGCGTAAGCTACCGTGCCTGGCCAAGAATTCTTTAATGATAGAATAAAATGCTTATAACACTCAATGAAAAAAGCAAATTTTTGTTTTTTTAGATAGAGTCTCGCTGGAATGCAGTGGCACGGTCTCGGTTCACTGCAACCTCCGCCTCCTGGGTTCAAGCGATTCTCCTGCCTCAAGCTCCCGAGTAGCTGGGATTACAGGCACCTGCCACCATGTTGGGCTAATTTTTTGTATTTTTAGTAGAGACGGGGTTTCAACATGTTGGCCAGGCTGGTCTCGAACTCCTGACCTCATGATCTGACCTGCCTCAGCCTCCCAAAGTGCTGGGATTACAGGCGTTAGCCACTGTGCCCGACCCCGATTATTTTTAAAGTGTGATTTCAAGCATGTATTCTTACTATATATATGAAAATAAAACAATGGAAACAAATACACTAAAATGTTCACAATAGTTATCTCACAGTAGTGGAATTATGAATGTTAAAGCAAACTAAATATGGCCTGAGAAGGACTTCATACTTCTATATTTGAGTCCTTGTGGACAAACTGCATCCTAACTTAATAGGTAGATGAGACTGAAAACCTAACTTAGGAGTATGTGCCTGTACTAATAGCTGAGAATTGGCCAATCCCAGCAGCCATAATTCAACTACTCATACACTGCTGAGTGTTCAAACCGTGTTCAAATAAGGCAAATGCCGAGCTGTAACCAATCCAGTTGTTTTTGTACCTCACTTCTGATTTCTGTACGTCACTTCCTTTTTTTGTCTAAAAATTGTCAAATGCCTCTGACCATGAGGCATCCTTGGAGTCTTTCTGAATTTGCTGTGATTCTGGGGGCTTCCTAATTCATGAATCATTAATTGTTCAATTAAACTCCTTTAAACTTAATTCAGCTTTTCTTTCTACAGATGGTGTCAGAAGTGGGATCTGAAGTAGAGCTTTAACAACCCCAGGAGCGCTGAGTGAACAAGCAAGGTACCTGCAAGGACCCACTTATGTCCATTGATCTCTCAGAGTGACTGGGGATTGTGGGTAAGCTCTCTCTCAGATTTCAGAGCTCCAAGGATTTGTGTTTTGAGCTGTCCAAGTTTCTTTGAGCAAATTTCTGATCCAAACTAGGTTTGGAAGTCACAAGAGAAACTTGAGTGGGTCCAGGATTGGACTTGATCCAGTAATTAGCTGGCTTGGATCCAGCTAATTACTTGGCTTCTTACATCTGACTGGGTCAGAAAGAAACTGGTTGTAAATGGTAATACTGTAGGGGTTGTAAAATTTGGCTCTTGAAAATTCACAGGGATGTTTGTGTTCTACCCCTTTGTTTCATTTTTCTTGTGTGCTTAGGTAGGAAAAATCATTGGCTAAATTCATCAAGGGAACCTGAGAGCAAAGCAAATATTTTAGGTAAAAATGGGATCCTTCATTTTTGGAAAACTGAATTCCTTCCAGCTTATACATTAGCTGGTAAGCAGTGAAGTCTTACAGAAATGGCGAAATCTTACTAAAGATAACTTACAGTAGAACGTTCCGAATGAACAATGCACTGAAGTGCATTGAGACTCATCTAGGGATGCTTACTGATATGCAGACGCTTCTAAAAAGATTTCAATATTTTTATTTAAAGACTTTATGAAGGCCGGGCGCGATGGCTCACATCTGTAATCCCAGCACTTTGGGAGGCCAAGGCGGGTGGTCAACATGGTGAAACACCATCTCTATTAAAAGTACAAAAATTAGCCAGCCATGGTGGCGCAGGCCTGTAATCCTGGCTACTCGGGGGGCTGAGGCATGCCTGAACTCGGGAGGCAGAGGTTGCAGTGAGCTGAGATGGCATTACTGCATTCCAGCCTGGGCGACAGAGCCAGACTCTGTCTCCCCCCAAAAAAAAAGACTTTATGAAAGGCACCTAAATGACTAATTGATTAAAAAATTAGATTTACTAATCTTTTAGCTTAGTTACTATCTGACCCAAAAGAAACAGTCTGCAGCACCAATTGGCTGACTTTGGATACGTAATGGGGATACATTTTACCTGAGTAAAGGATGGGATTGGGTGAGAGGCCCTTCCCTCAATAAAGTCCCTCTTGGTTAAAAATGGATACAGATGACAGGGCCCAACTGGGGGCAAGTTTGGGCCTTGCCAGTTCAATATTGGGTGCTAAGCATCCATATGGTGGCTAATGTCTATGTTTTGTCACATGTATTTTGCTACGTCCAGAATGGAAAATATTAGAATTCAGGTCCCCCATGCAGCCGTTTGGGCGGCAACTTACAAAATTTAGAGGATTTTGCCTGTGGTTCCATGATTTTCCTTTGTGATGCAGCTTGGCCCCAGGAGCGATGGTGTGGCAAGCAGGGTCGCTAGGGCCGCTCAGGGAAGGGGAACCCAGAAACGGGACATGCCGGCAAAGGGGTAAAAATTTCTTGCCAGTCAGACTTATGGCTTCTCAATCTCTCTCTCTCTCTCTCTCTCTCTCTCTGTGCAAATTGGCTGAATGAATGGTAAAAATCACTGTTTATCTCCTCTGTAAAGTTTTGATTAATGAGAAAAAATTCTGAGGCTCATATTAAGTTGTAACGAATCTAATGTATTTTGTGCTATGAATTTGTCTGTGTTGTTCTGTCATAAAGAAGGGTACCTTAGGATAGAACAGGGGCTTAGGACCCCATAAACTGCTCAAGACGGCCCAGCAAGCTGGTAATAAATTTTACTGCAGGTCCTTGAAACAAACAAAAAAACTGGGTGAGGTCTCCATCTGGTTTTATGTCCTTGGCAACTTGACCTTGTAACCATGTGGCCATAATGTCTCTCGGTCTCTTCCTTCCAGGGAACAGGAATTCTGGGATTCATGTCATAGCTAGCTCTAAAAATTATCTTGAGTAGTTAAAAGCCTTTGCAAGCACAAAATTAACTATTTTAGATTCCTTCTGGGAACAGTGGGAAGAGCAATGGAAACCACCAGTGCTGTAGCTCAGCAGCTAAGGCTTTGACTTTTCACAGTGATGCCCTGGGTTCAATTCCTGGCTTAGGGAATGAGTCCTTTCTGGTTTGATATCTGTGTGACCTTTACTGTTAGTTGATTATCTTTCCCTCCATGAACCATCTTGAATTTTCCTTTCCCTAAGCACCTGGGAAGTTACCTTTGGTTAAGTTCAAAAGCCAGAAATATTGTCAGTGTGGCTAGAGTCGGGTAATAAGAAATTTAAAAGTGCTTTTTAAAAGAGTCCTATGGCTAGGAGTGGTGGCTCACGCCTGTAATCCCAGCACTGTGGGAGGCTGAAGCGGGTGGATCACTTGAGGTCAGGAGTTCAAGACCAGCCTGGTGAACATGGTGAAATGGCATCTCTACTAAAAATACAAAACACCGGCCGGGTGTGGTGGCCTGTGCCTGTAATCCCTGCTACTCAGGAAGCTGAGGCAGGAGAATTGCTGGAACCTGGGAGGTGGAGGTTGCAGTGAGCTGAGATTATGCCACTGTACTCCAGCCTGGGTGACAGAGCGAGGATCCATCTTAAAAAAAAAAAAATTAAGCTGACTTTTAACCATAGTGCTTTTATTTTTATTTACTTTGTTTTTTATCTTTTTTTTTGAAAAGGAGTCTTGCTTTGTTCCAGCGATTCTCAGCCTCCTGAGTAGCTAGGATTACAGGCACACGCCACCACACCTGGATAATTTTTATATTTTTAGTAGAGATGGGGTTTCACCATGTTGCCCAGGCTGGTCTCAAATTCCTGACCTCCAGTGATCCACCTGCCTTGGCCTCCCAAAGTGCTGGGATTACAGGTGTGAGCCACTGCATCTGGCCAGTCAGCTTAATTAAAAGTGGATATTCAAGCTCTAATAGACTGGGACTCCTTGTGAAAAACAGAGGAGATGTCACAGACCCTGTTCTGGGAAAAAACTCTGTTTTCCTCATAAAACCCCAGGAATGGGTGGTGGATAGATTCCTCTGAAAATCTAAGGCTAAATATACTTTTGACAATGGCTAATGGCAGTTATCAGGGAATACGTGGCTCTTTGCATGTTTACATCAGAGAAGCATGCTCTTGGCCACCTAGAAGTTATGGAAATGTTCCCACTCCTCACTGAGAGATAAGACTCTCATGGGAGATGGGCTAATTCCCTCTTTTTGGGATCCAGGATCTGATATAAAAACGGGACTCTTGATTTTGGGGGTCTGTTTTTGTCTTCCAGCTGTGCCTGCTTATTAGGCCCCAGAAACTGCATGTTTTCCTAGACCTGTTTCTTGAAGGGCTCTACCGTGAGGCCAGTAATCCAATTAAGAAACTGGCAAATGAAAAATCTTACAACTACTGGATCTTCTTCTGTCTGTCTGTGTAGTTTATACATATGTTATGTGTGTGATGCTTATGTAAAAGCTCTAATTAATTGGCATAAAGAAAAATAAGCACTTAAATAAAATATTTTGAAAAAAATAAAAACTGTAATGCCTTTTAGTTCACGTAACTTTAGTAATCTTTGGGAAATAAAAAATGTTAAAGATTATTGGTAAAATAAAGACATTTGGTCTAAATTAGGCAGGTCAGATATTAGGTTTGCTAAATGCCTTAAGGTCATAAACTGCTTTGACTTTCGAAAATTCCTTCCAAAGCATATATGTTTTTTTTCCCCAAGGTATAGGCTCTGGGTCTGGGGGGTTGCAGTGTGGAGATCTACCTGTCTTGCACCCACCCAAGACCACGACTCTGTCTATAAGTTGCCCTAATAAATCATCCAAAACTGTCAAACTAGATTTGTCTGCCTTCTTCTTTGGTTTCTCAGCTCCTTCTGCATTTGGGGGTTGCTTTGTGATAAATGGCCCTTTCACAAAACAGCCTGACTTCTTCTTCCACTCCTCACATATAATCAATCACCAAGCACTGCTGATTCTATCCCCTAAATCTCTGTCAAGACTTTCAACTTCTCTTCATCTTTACTGCCACTGCCTGGTCCAGACTACTGTCATCATTTGCCTGGATTCCTGTACCTGCTTTTAATTGGTCTCTCTCCCTCTAGTTTTATCCACAAAATCTATCCTTCATACGGTAGATGGGAAAAAAAAGAGACTTTTTTTAAATTTTTAAATTTTTTTAAAGATGGTCTCATTCTGTCACCCAGGCTGCTGGAGTGCAGTGGTGTTATCATGGCTCACTGCAGCTTTGACCTCCTGGGCTCAAGTAATCCTCCCACCTCAGCCTCCTAAGTAGCTGGGACTACAGGCATGTGCCACCATGCTAATTTTTTTATTTTTAAATTTGTTGTAGAGATGAGGTCTCCCTAAGTTGCCCAGGCTGGTCGTGAACTCCTGGGTTCCAGTGATCCTCCTGCCTACCTCCAAGTAATCCTTCCTGCTTCAGCCTCCCAAAGTGCTGGGAATACAGGCATGAGCCACCGCACCCAGCTGACAGAATATTTCTGAAGTACAATCTGATCATGTCTCTTCTTCCTTCAATCCATCCTCTATTTTGTAGACACAGTGATTTTTCTAAAGTACAAATCTCATCCCATCTCCTTACACTTATTTAATGCTCAGGATAGTGATTACTTTTGTGTATGTGGTGGGGTAGGGGGATAGAATGAGGGGAGTTTCTGGAATTCTGGCAATGTTCTGTTTCTTAACCTGAATATAGTACTCATAAGGTATGTTCACTTTGTGAAAATTTATCAAGTCATAACACCCTTCTCAAATATGATCTCTGCTTGGAAGCCTTTTATAACATTTGTAGGCTTCTATGCTCTCACAGTAAAGACAGTTATATGTACTGCTTTTTGATCATGTGTGAGGAGGTATCATGTCTGAGGTACTATGCTAGGAAAATAATACAGATCATTTCAAGTTCTTATAGCAATGCTTATGATAGGTATTACTATTCTTATTTTATGTTTTGTAATTTTTGTAGAGATGGCATCTTGCTATGTTGCCTAGGCTGGTCTGGAACTCCTGAGTTCAGCCCATCCTCCCACTTTAGCCTCCCAAAATGCTGGGATTACAGGCGTGAGCTATTGCACCTGGCCCCTATTTTATAAAGAAGGAAATCAAGGCTTAGAGAGGTTAACTATCTTGCCTAGGGTTAATACAACTTTTATAACTGATAGAATTGAAAGTCACTCCACATCTGTCCTATAGTCCATGGCTCTTTCCACTATACCATATTAACTAGCATCTTGTGCTTAGTTCAACCAAAGCACTTTCCACAGGATTTAGAATTCTCTGCTTGCTGTCTCTTTACCCATAAACACACAGATTTTTGGATACAGAAGGTAGAGCTTTCTTGGCTGGGCCTGGTAGCTCACACTTGTAATCCCAGCTCTTTGGGAGGCCTAGGTGGGAGGATCTCTTGAGCCGAGGAGTTTGAGACCAGCCTGGGCAACATATTGAGACCCCATCTCTACAAAAAATAAGAAAATTAGCCAGTCATGGTGGTGAGTGCCTGTAGTCCCAGTTACTCGGGAGGCTGAGGAGGGAGGATCACTTAAGCCCAGGAGGTGGAGGCTGCAGTGAGCTGTTATCACACCACTGCACTCCACTCCAGCCTGGCGAAAGAGCAAGATCCTGTCTCTTAAAAAAAAAAAGTAAAGCTTTCCTAATTTGGAAATGTAATGAATTCTAAATACGTTTCTCTATTACTAATATTACTAATATTTCTAGAAGTCCCAGAGATAAAAATGAATGCAACTAGGAAGTTCAAAGGAGACTACCTTGATTTAATCTTGGCAGCACCTGCATCTTCAGATATCAGTATGCAGCCACCCAATAACAGCCCTGTTGAGAAGGTGTGTAAGTCACATACTCTTAGCTTAATTTTGTTGTTATTGAAGTAAAGGACACATTGTGCAATCTCTAGGACATCTAAGGATATGTAAGGAAACCAAGTACAGCCAAATCAATGGATGCCTGAACTGAACAGTAAGAAACCAAGACTACTACTGCCAGCCTCTCACAGCACTATCTGGTCCCTCATCTCTGCTTATCTCCACTCTGCTGTCTTGTGCTTACTCGTGGCTTTCTAGCTATTCTACACTTTCATCTTTTTTAATTTTTAACTTTCTTTTAGAGACAGGGTCTCTTTCTGTCTACCAGGCTGGAGTGCAGTGGTGCCATCATATATAGCTCACTGTAGCATCAACCTCATGGGCTCAAGTGGTCCTCCTGCCTCAGCCTCCTGAGTAGGTGAGACTAGAGGTATATGCCATCATGCCCAGCTAACATAACTTCATTTTGTATGTGGCTTTAATTATTACCTTGATTCTGACCTTGCCATGGCTGCCTATCCCCAACTCTTGACTTCACTTTGTGGGTCCTATCCTTATTTCTCTGTATCCTGACATAGCTGAGGCAAGGAAGTTGTGACTGCTCTGTTACTCTTTCAAGTGCAAATCATGTGCATGTGCATATAAGCATGTTGGCAACAGAGATATCCGACATCTGTGGTGGATGTTGCTGGCAATCAATTAAACAGTGATGGATTTTGTTGAGGCTGTGGCTGCATGATATTGAGCAAATGACTTTTGAGCATTATCTTCCTCTATAATATGAGTATAATACCTAATGAGAGAACTATTGTAAGAAATGAATATATGTGAAAAGCACCCAGCACAGTGCCTGGTACACAGTAGGTGGTTAAATTTTCTTCTTTCCTCTCTCTTCCTGCTCTGAAGGTCCAACCCCAAGACTGTAAGTACTGCATGGCAATATCAGATTCTAACACTATAAGAGGCTGACTGTAACCGTGGATACTTCTGGACAAGAAGGAAGTAATCAGCCTCAATTCTCCCTGTTAAGGAGACTAATCTTTAAGTCTCTTAAAGAGAGAAAGATAAATGGGGCTGGTGGGGGTGGGGAGCGGGGGAGGTTCTATACTAAAAGGAAATCAAGACTAATCCTGGTATACATTGCCTGGTATATATTGCCCATGGCTTTAGCTCACAAAGCTGGCATATTGGCATATTGCTTGAGTCCTTCATAGGGCCAGTGACAATCTAGGGCCCTGACTCAGGTCTAGGAGCAGCTCCTACTAAGGCAAGCAAAGAGCTGGGCCAATACCTGGGCTTCTAGATCTCCTAAGAGATCAGCTTCTTTAGGCTTAAACCAGCTGACATTATAAAACAGGGAGGAACACTCAGTTATCAAGAGGAATCACAGTCACAATACTCAGACTAAGATCTGCTTTGGCCCTGGACACAGAATCCAACACATTTTGAATTAAAATGTTCAAGAGATTCTGTGGAACATTCATCTATCATACTACACTCAGAAGTGGATAAAAAACTTGTAAAATGTGTACAGTTACTAAATTCTCATCAAAGAGAGTACAGATTTTCTTCTCTCTGCAGCTCTCCCTGTAGCTTTTCTGCTTGGTCAACTGTAGAAACCCACCTCTCTTCTTCCACTATTAATGTATTAATACTAAACTGCTTCTGTTATCTGTCACTACATCTCCTTTCCCTCATTCACCAAGTATATAATGAATGCCTTACAAATCCAGGTAGATATCCATTCTCAAAGAATTTGAGTGGAAAATGTTAACATGTAAACAAATAACAAAACCTAAGTGTGACTTTATTGAAAACATGATGCTTTTCTACATAAATAACACAGGGTAGAATATGTTAACTCTCAGAGGTAAAATATAACAAAGGATTGCTACAACAGTCCTTTCTTGAAGCTGTGTCTCCTAGGTTTACTCTTTCCTTTCCATTCCTAAAGGAGTCATCATCTGATGACCAGATGATTATAAGTGCCTCCTACTTATCTTGAAGAAATCTCTTTCCCATGCAGAATGGTTTATGTTCACTTGCCAGGTTGTATCATTGCTCATTTCCTGTAAGACTATTCTGTTTAAAGATCTGTAACTCCCTGCTCAGCTTTCAAGACCTTCTACATGCTGCTACCTACCACCAACCAATTCAATCCCATCTCCCACAACCTTTCAAAGACCTTCACTATTCCAGCCAGGAGTAAAGACTGTCCCTCAAGTAACATTCTAATTTGCCCTGCTGTGCCTTTTTACTTTTTCCAATATATTGAAATATATCAATTTTCAATATATGCTCTTTGATTGTAGCGACTCTGAGAGGTCAAGGTAGATGCGGGGAGGAAAGAGATAAGGGTCTCCTAAACAGATCTTGAGGTGGGGAAACAGTATGTGCTGAGGCTCTGTATCATTCTCTACTGCAGCAGGTTCTGGGAAAGTCCCATTTGGCAGAGCTTCTGGCCAGGACCTATAGCCATATCACAAACTTCAGGCTTGTCCTCAAGGTACACACACCATTGTGTTACACTTGCCAGGTGTGGGAATAACTAACTGGTAGTGGCCAAATGAACTACAAATAAGCTATAACAACCAGGATGAGATGACTAGGTTTGCTGTAAAACTGCCTGCATATACAGACACCAAAAGCCACAATCCTCTTTGATAGTATTAAGAAAGCACTGTCAGTTTTTTGAAGGTGTGATAATGATATTAAGGTATTTATTTAAAAAAAGCCTCTCTCTCTCTCTCTCTATATATATATATGTACATATACATAAAATATATATCTATTTTAAATATCCTTATCCTGGAAGCGTCCTTATATTTTAACTATACATGCTGAAATATATTTACAGATGAAATTATATCAAAATATTTACAGATGAAATTATATCAAAATGCCTTGCTTTAAAACAATTTAGGGTAATGGGGGGAGAGAAACGGTGGCATATATAAAACAAAATTGACAATGAGTTGATAATTGTTGAAACTGTGTGATGGATACATGGGAGTTCATTATTTTCTTTACTTTTGCATTTATGTGAAATTTTCCATAGTAAATCATTTTTTAAAAAGTCATCCTTTCTAACACAGTTGTGTTCTCTTCTGCCTATCAAGGCCTAGGCTCATTTCATATGGCTTCATTTTTATTTGGGAGTGAAAAATAAACCCTTCAATGGCCAAGAGTTAATTTCATTTTTGGAATACAAACAGCTTAGACTGGTCACTGAGAAATAGCTCTTGGATCACCCTCTAAATCTTGGCAACAAGTTACCCTGCTATCTAAAAAGCAAGGTCTCCACATTCCACCATGAGCTTAGGCTGTAATTTCCATGAGGGCAGGGCCATATCTGTTTATTTATCATTGATCCCATGGTTGATCTAGCACAATGCCTGGCTCATAATGGGTGCTTAATAAGTATGTGTAGATGGAATGAAAACATTTTTCAGAGGTCAGAAGGGAGCAGGGCAACTGTGTCCTTGGTAGGGGAAACAGAGCTATAACAATCCTTGGGAAAGCTTTCTAAAAGTCCAAATGATTTGTTTTACCATTGGCTCTACATGGGCCTCTCCACAGGAACTTAGCAAGTGTTGTGGGGGGGTGACAGGTAGGACACTGCAAGAAAGATCATACTGGGCAGGGGAGCAATCCTCCTTCCTCTTAATATTCCGATATATATTCAAGTCCATCAGCCAAAGGCAGAGCTAGCATTTAAACTCAGGTTCTCAAATTCTTTTCTCCAGATGGTCGGAGATACCTCTTGCTACTGTGGTATCTGTTCACCTAGATAAGTTTCCGCCTTGGATAGCACTGGTGAACTTTCCAAACTTATCCAGCAGTCATCAAGGGAAGCTAGCTGCTCCTATTCTTAACCATGCAGTTATTAAATCTTTTTCCACCTGTTCCTTTGAGGACTGTAGCTGCTTTTCTTATAAAAAATCCTTGAGATCAACTGCAAAAGGGGTTTTCTCTTTGAAAACTCAAGTCCGGTGATCTGCCAGACACAATCTCTGGAAACTATTTAAGTCCTACAATTCTGTTCTAAAACAAACAAACAAAAAAATCAGAAAATGTGCCAAATTTTGTTTCTCTGCACTCACTGAAGTGGGCTTCTTTTCTAAAATTGGGGGGAAACTTGCTCTCCTTTTTCTCTTCTATGGTTAAGTCTGTAGCCCTTTGCTAAGAGGGCCCATCTACAGGATAACTGCCTAGGAGAACATGTAATTAGAGACAAACAGCATAAGGGCTGTGGAGCTCACTCCTGTCAAAGGAGGGAAGAAGAGCCTGGAACTGGGCAGAAAGAGGCATCATGGGTTACCGTTAAGTGTTACAAAATATTTTGCTGATTTATTATAACACACGCTGCAAAAATATAAGCAGGGGACTCTGTGGTACAGATAAAACAACACTATATTGATGACATAATTTCATTTCTAAAACAAAAATGAGAACTAACTGTGCTATTGTGCTAATTTTAGAAACTGGTTATCTAAATTATGAAGGTTTAAAATTTAAGGAATTCACAAAGTAGCTTGTTAAGTACTGTAGGTTTGACTCTACCACCCTTTTTCTTACCCATTTTCCATTAGGAAATCCACGATGTATTTTTTCAAACAGTAGAGGTGGGCATCCACAAGACCCGTGTGGAAACGTATTCTAGGATGCCTGCAAAAAAATAAAAAATAAAAGAAAGAAAGAAGAGGCTCACAATCAGGTAACATGGTCTCCATTCTATTATCAGGTAGTAGGCACTGGTAAGTTTATGAGGGTCAGAGGCATGCTGCCTACATCTCTTTCTGGGGAGACCAGGACAGTGGACCCCAGCCCTGACTCTACCACATAAAAGGTGTTTTCCCTAGAAACCCTATGGCATACTTTCTGAGGCTTTTACGATTCTAAAGAAATCTGGTGAGACATCATATCACTGATAATCTACCTTCTTCTATTTGATCGTTAACTTTTTTTTTTTTTTTTTTTGAGACAGTCTTGCTTTGTTGCCTAGGCTGGAGTGCAGTGGCGTGATCTCGGCTCACTGCAAGCTCCGTCTCCCAGGCTCAAGCAATTCTTGTGCCTCAGCCTACCGAGTAGCTGAAACTATAGTTGTACACCACCATGCCCAGCTAATTTTTGTATTTTAGTAGAGATGGGGTTTCACCATGTTGGCCAGGCTGGTCTCGAACTCCTGGTCTCAAGTGATCCACCCACCTCAGCCTCCCAGAGTGGTTGGATTACAGGTGTGAGCCACCACACCTGGCCTCTATTATAAATTCCTACACACAATTCTTATAACAAACATTTTCCTGCTTCTACCCTAATTATCCTATTTTCCTCAGACCATGCCATGCTTTCTTTTGCCTCCACAATTTGGTATGTATTCTCCATCTTCACAGAAGATGGAGTAAAATTCTATGAATAATCCTAACTTGCTACTCTTATTTATTCCTCAGGACTCACCCCAGGATACACTTCCTCTAGGAATCCTTCACTGACAACAGTGAAGTTTGTGCTCCCACAAAACTTGGTATCTACCTCTATTGGATAACTTAACATATAGTAAAGAAATAGACTATTTACTTGTCTCTCTCTCTCCCACTAGACTGAAATTCAGTAGAGCAGAGATTTATCTTCACATCCTTAGCACTTAGCATTGTGCCTGACACAGAGTAAATGTCCAATAAATAGTTGTTGAATAAACAAATAAATGAATAAATGAGGTCAAATTAAGGCATCTGCCTAGGTGTAAAAAATGCCATGCTTGTAATGTTTGAGGTCATTCTATTTAATAAAAATAAATACACAGGGAAGGGGAGTATGGTTAAAAAAAAAAAAGAAGATTCCAGTCATAGATGCCTGGTTGTCTTCTAACTCTGTGTTGCTTGGCTTCGACTGCCTTGTAGGTTTTTATGTTTACTTTTAGAGACAGGGTCTTGCTCTGACTGGAGATAGCCACTTGCCTAGGCTGGAGTGCAGTGGCACAATGATTGCTCACTGTAGCCTCTACCTCCTGGGCTCAAGTGATCCTCCTGCCTCAGCCTCCTGTAGCTGGCACTGCAGGCATGCATCACTACAGCTGGCTAATTTTTTTTATTTTTGGTAGAGACAAGGTCTCGCTATGTTGCCCAGGCTGGTCTTGAACTCCTGAGCTCAAGCAATCCCCCTACCTCAGCCTCCCAAGCAGCTAGGACCACAGGAGCAAGCTGCCACACCTGGCTAATTTTGTATTTTTGTATGGGGCTTCACCATGTTGCCTAGGCTAATCTTGAACTCCCAGCCTCAAGCGATACTTGTATCTTGCCCTCTAAAAGTGCTGGGATTACAGGCATGAGCCACTGCATTCAGCCTATGTCTTAAACAAAACAAAACAAAATGAAACAAAACAAACAGCTTTATGGAAGTGTCATTTACATACCATAAAATTCACCTGTTTTAGACATACAATTTAATGATTTTTAGAAAATGTACAGAGCTATAAAACTATCACCACAATCCAGTTACAGAACATTTCTTTTACTCAAATAAGATCTCACATGACTGTTTATAATCAAACATTCCCCTTTCCATCTGATTAAAGAGCTTCTGCACAGCAAAAGAAACTACTGTTCTGTAAACAGACAACCTACAGAAATGGGAGGAAATATTCTCAAACTATGCAAATGACAAAGGTGTAATATCAAGCATCTATAAAGAACTTAAATCAACAAGCAAAAAACAACCCCATTAAAGGGTGGGCAAAGGACATAAACAGACACTTCTCAAAAGAAGACATACAGGCAGACAACAAACACATGAAGAAATGCTCAATATCACTAATCATCAGAGAAATATGAATCAAAGCCACAATGAGATACCACCTCATGCCAGTCAGAATGGCTACTATTAAAAAGTCAAACAACAACAACAACAACAGATGCCGGTGAGACTGTGGAGAAAAAGAAATGTTTATATACTGTTGGTGGGAATGTAAACTAGTTCAGCCACTGTGGAAAGCAGTTTGGAGATATTTCAAAGAACTAAAACTAGAACTACCTCTCAACCAGCAATCCATTACTGGGTATATATCCAAAGGAAAAGAAATTGTTCTACCAAAAAGACAAGTGTACTTGCATGTTCATCACAGTACTAGTCACAATAGCAAAGACATGGATTCAACCTAGGTGCCCATCAACAGTGGACTGGATAAAGAAAATGTAGTGCAATATATATCATGAAATACTATGCAGCTATAAAAAAGAACAAAATCATGTCCTTTGCAGCAACATGGATGCAGCTGGAGGCCACTATCCTAAGCAAAGTAATGTAGAAACAGAAAACCAGATATTACATGGTCTCACTTATAAGTGGGAGCTAAACACTGAATACACATGGACATTAAGATGGGAACAAAAGTCTGGGAACAGTGGCTCACACCTGTAATCCCAGCACTTTGGGAAGCCAAGGTGGGTGGATCACTTGAGGTTAGGAGTTTGAGAACAGTCTGGCCAACGCAGTGAAACCCCATCTCTACTAACAATACAAAAATTAGCTGGGTGTGCTGGCGGATACCTGTAATCCCAGCTACTCAGGAGGGTGAGGCAGGATAATTGCTTGCACCCGGGAGGTAGAGGTTGCAGTTAGCTGATAACATGCCACTGCACTCCAGCCTGGGCAACAGAGCGAGAATCATCTCAAAAAAAAAAAAAAAAAAAAAAAGGGAACAACAGACAACAAGGATACACAACCAGGGGGAGGGAGGAGAGCAAGAGTTGAAAAAATACCTGTTTTGTTCTATGCTCACTACCTGGGTGATGGGTTCAATCGCACCCAAATCTCACCATCACACAATATACCATGTAACATACTTGCACATCTAAATAACAGTTGAAATAATAATTTAAAAAAAACCAATCCCCTTTCTTATCACATCTCAGGCAATCATTAATCTGCCTCCTGTCTCTATAGATTTATAGATTTGCTTTTTCTGTCACTTAAAAAAAACTGCAGCCATTCTAATGGGTGTGAAGCAGTATCATCAAAGTTTTGGTCTGCATTTCCCTATGACATGATGTTGAGGATCTTTTCATGTGCTTGTTAGCCATTTGTGTATTTTCTTTGGTGAAATGTTCATTCAAGTCTTTTGCCTATTTTGAAATTAGGCTGTTAGTGATTTTTTTGAGTTGGAAGAGTTCTTATCTTTTCATTTCCTTATTTTCTTTCTTTTCTCAGAGACAGGGTTTCGCTCCATCACCCAGGCATGATCAAAACTGCAGCCTAGAACTCCTGGGCTCAAGTGATCCTAATGCCTCAGTTTCCCAAAGAGGTGGGACTACAGGTTCGTGCCATGCCTGGCTAATTGAAAAAAAAATTTTTTTTTTTTGAGACGGAGTTTTGCTCTTGTTGCCCAGGCTGGAGTGGAATGGCGTGATCTCGGCTCACTGCAACCCCTGCCTCCCAGGTTTAAGCAATTCTCCTGCCTCAGCCTCCATAGGAGGTGAGATTACAAGCGCCCACCACCATGCCCAACTAATTTTTGTATTTTCAGTAGAGATGGGGTTTTGCCATGTTGGCCAGGCTGGTCTCAAACTCCTGACCTCAGGTGATCCACCCGCCTCGGCCTCCCAAAGTGTTGGGATTACAGGCGTGAGCCACTGCGCCCAGTCCCTTTAAGATTTTTTTATAGAGATAGGGTCTCACTTTGTTGCCCAGGCTCTTCTCAAACTCCTGGCCCCAAGCGATCCTCCTGCCTCAGACTCCCAAAGCGCTGGGATGACAGGCATGAGCCACTGGGCCTGGCCTTTTTTTTTTTTTTTTTTTTTTTCTTGAGACAGGGTCTTACTCTGTCATCCAGGCTGGAGTGCTGTGGCGTGATCACAGCTCACTGCCCCCTCAACCTCCCTGGGCTCAGGTGATCCTCCCTCCTCAGCCTCCTGAGTAGCTGGGACTATAGGCACGTGACACCACACCTGGCTACTTTTTGCATTTTCTTTGTAGAGACGGGTTTTGCCATGTTCCCCAGGCTGGTCTTGAACTCCTGGTTCAAGCAATCCACCTGGTTTGGCCTCCCAAAATGCTGGGATTACCTGCAAGAGCCACTGCACCCGGCCCTCATTTTCTTAATAGTGTCTTTGGGGTTCAAAATCTTTAATTTTTAAGAAATAAAATCTATACAACTCTTACAGTTTTAGCTCTCATGTTAGGTCTGTAATCCATTTTCTTTTTTCTGTATGGAGTGAGGTAAGGTTCTAAATCAATCTTTCTGCAAGTAAGGATCAAACTGTTCTAGCACAATTTGTGTAAAAATCTATCCTTTTCCTGTTGAGTTGCCTGGACATCTCAGGTAAAAATCAAATGACCATAAACCTAAGGGTTTATTTTTGGACTCTTAGTTCTGTTCCACAGATCTGTCTGTCTGTCCTTATGCCAGTACCATACTTGTCTTGACTACCATAGCTTTATAGTAAGTTTTGAGCTTGGGAAGCATAATTTCTTCAACTTTTTTGTTGTTTTTCAACATTGTTCTGGATATTCTGTGTTCTTTGTATTTCCATATAACTTTTAAGATCAACTTGTCAATTTCAGCAAAAATATCCAACTGAGATTCTAATAGGGTTTGTGATAATCCTATAGATCTGTGAGAGCTGCCCTCTTAGACCACCTGGGCCCAGGAAGTCGAGGCTGCAGTGAGCTATGATTGCACTACTGCACCCCAGCACCTAGGCGACTAAGCAAGACCCTGTCTCATAATAATTAAAAAAAAGAAAAAAAGAAAGAAAGAAATGTTTCCAGTCAGGCACAGTGGCTCATGCATGTAATCCCAACACTTTGGGATGCCAGTGTGGGAGGACTGCTCAAGCTCAGGAGTTCAAGACCAGCCTGGGCAATATAAGGAGACCTTGTCTCCACAAAAAATAAAGAAAGAAAAACTAGCCAGGCATGGTGGCATGTGCCTGTGGTCCCAGCTACTCGGGTGTCTCAGGTGGGAGGACTGTTTGAGCCCAGGAGCTCGAGGCTGCTGCGAGCCATGAACGTGCTACTGCACTCCAGCCTGGGCAACAGAAAAGAGACTCTTTCTTTAAAAAAAAAAAAAAAAAAAAAAAAAAAGAAAGCTCCCAAAGAAGCGGCTGCCTGCTTTGGGCAGATTACTTTTAAATTTCGAGTAGTTCAAGAACCAAGCTGTACCCGTGTTTCAATATTTATTTACCCAAGTTTGTTCCAAATATTAACAACACATACTGTATGTCAGGGGCAAAGCTTTAGGATTTCTAGGGAAGCTGTAAGAAAGACTAACACACAGCTACTGGTCTATGAGATTATGCAGGACTGCATACTTTGAACTTTTCTGAGATTTGCTTTAATTTAAAGAAAGCTGAACACAAAGATATATGTACCATGAACACTGTACAAAACATCTGTGAACGATAGAGCTAGGGAATAAAAAAAGCAGTTCTGAAAGGCAGCCTTGAAAGAAGGAAATATGTCCATGAAAGACAAAATTAGTACTTTACATGTCCAAAGCTCTTAGTGACTCTAAAAAAAGGTCTTTAGTTAACAACAAGATCTTTAATTTTCCCCCAAAAGATCTCCAGGGATTTTCAGATCCTCATTCCCTTCAAATCTACAAAGGTCCCCAGGCTCAGGGCAATGCCAAATGTTCTTGAAGTCTGCTCCCTTCTTCCCCATTCCCAGCATCATCATGTGTGTGGGAGGAACTGAGTTGTTTTTATCCTGCTCACTGCCTAAGTACAGCAGAAGCCAACTGGGAGTTCTATTCCCCAATATGCTCATTGTACAATGCTTAGTTCCTAGAAGGGTGGGTAGAAAAGAGCTGACAGGCAAAGAAGCAGTTTATAGTAGCTGCATGTTTAAAAACTGAAATTCATCTAGACACCCTGTGTGAACACATTTAGATTTTCAGCATTGCTGTGAATGAGACCGTAAGAATTTCTAGCCTAGTGGGAGAACTGGTATGCATGTTGATATAGTCCACAGTTACTCAGTGAGAAAGGAAAGCCATCATTAATTTAAACTGAGTGTGTTGGCTAGGTGTGGTGGCTCATGCCATAATCCCAGCACTTTGGGAGGCTGACATGGATGGATCACCTGAGGTCAGGAGTTCGAGACCAGCCTGGCCAACATGGCAAAACCCCATCTCTACTAAAACTACAAAAAAAATTAGCCAGGTGTGGTAGCACACACCTGTAATCTCAGCTACTCAGGAGGCCAAGGCAGGAGAATCGCTTGAACCCGGGAGGTGGAGGTTGCAATGAGCTGAGATCATGCCACTGCACTCCAGCCTGGGAGACAGGGCAGACTCCATCTCAAAAAAACAAAACAAACAAACAAAAAAACCCAAAAAACTGAGTGTGTCCTGCCAGCTTATATGGCTGCACAGAATGACTTTTTCCTAACCAAGCTAAGTTCAAAGTTTGGGGACCAGAGAATGGTATTGGGTGAGAACAGAATGAAGAAAACCCAGTTGCACAAAAAAAAGTCAAATACAAGAGAAAATTAATTTTATCACAGGCTTCTCTTTGCATGAATATGAATGTTAACAGAGAAGGAAGTGTCATGGATGGCTTCTGAATTCAGATGCCAGTGGAACTGGAGCTTGAAACAGTTATTCATAAAACCAGAGATAACAATTCAGATGAGGATAAAAGCCTCCTACAGTAACTTAACTATCTTGCAGTGTTCAATGCAGCAACATAAACAACTCCTCTATTTGAAGACCTTCAGATAATCACCTTCTACTTTATTTGGCAATCTTTTTTTTTTTGAGACGGAGTCTCGTTCTGTTGCCCAGGCTGGAGTGCAGTGGCACAATCTCGGCTCACTGCAAGCTCTGCCTCCTGGGTTCATGCCATTCTCCTGCCTCAGCCTCCTGAGTAGCTGGAACTACAGGTGCCTGCCACCGTGCCCGGCTAATTTTTTGTATTTTTAGTAGAGATGGGGTTTCACCGTGTTAGCCAGGATGGTCTCGATCTCCTGACCTCGTGATCTGCCCACCTCGGCCTCCCAAAGTGCTGGGATTACAGGCATGAGCCACCATGTCCAGCCAGATTTGGCAATCTTAAACATATTCCAACAAAGAAGCATCTTCTCTCCCGCTAAAAGAATCAGAGCTAATTCACTACTCCCTAATCACTGCAATTTAGAAGAAACTAGAGACCAAGATATGCTTGAAATAATCAAGTTTTCTCAGAACTAGGGAAAAGGGAATGACCTATGGCTACTACTTACTAGCTACCTATAATTTTAACAAGAGGTGCTGGGGCAAGCACCTGTGGTGTGGCTATCTGGTATTTGCTACATAGGAAGGCACTAACCATACCATCCCAATGCCTGATCTTGGTCACACTGTAAGTGGTAGGAATAACAGATTCTCGATTGTTAGGAGTGCATATGGAGTTATCAAACTAGAGGTCTGCCTGTTCAGCAGGGTAGGCTATGACACCATAGCCCTGAGGTGCTCAGGCCCTCTCCAAAAAAAGCAGTTGTGTTGAGGTGAAAACCCTGGACTCAAAGCAGCAGAGACTGCCAACAGTGGAAGGATTCTTAAGAGTTCCAAGTTCTGCTCCAGGTCCAGTTTTTAGGTGACCTTGTGGGTTTGTTCTTGTTCTTGTCCAGATCCAGCTTTCCTTTCTGACTGATGGTCTGGCTGACTGATAGTGATTTCAGGCTCAACACTAGACACAGAAACAACAGCATACATACACTACTCTACGAGCTTCCGTAATTGTGTAATAAATCCTTTATTCTCTATGACTCACAGCATTTCTGTTTCTCTGATATAAAAATTGCTACTAGAAGTGGTCCTGGAAAAAAAAAAATCTTAAAGATGGGTTTGCTGAACTTGTTCTGTGTTATTTGGAATTGGTTCTCTGATCTGATTAGATTTAAAGGCCTATCAACTAATTGGATGAGGCCCACCCAGATTAGCCAAGATAATCTCTCTTACTTAAAATCAATGGATTGTTGATATTAATTACATACAAAAATACCTTCATAACAACACCTAGATTAGTGTTTGATGGAATAAATAGGTACTACAGACTAGCAAAATTGATACATAAAACTAACCATCACACAGACTAATGAGAGCCACATGTCTAATAAGTAACACAGGAATTAGCAAAGCCTTCCTAGGCAGAATCACACTGCTGTTCACCCTCACCCATCTCAACTCAGCGTGCCAGAACCTGCTGAGATCTAGAAGCATCTCACTCCCCAAGAGGTGCTCAAGAAAGCATTCTGCACAGCACCACTGACAAGAAGCTTCTACTCAAAGATAAGCCCAAGAGTGTTACATCTTTCAAGCTATCCTTCTAAGCTGTCTGGCCCATACAACTCTGGGTGGGGAAAACTGACACATTAATTTGCACTCCACTCTAGTCTCACTGGTCTAGCTAATATGACATTTCAGCAGGTCATGCCCATCATGAGGTAGAGTCTATTTTCTCGTCTCATGAATCTAGGCTGGCCTTGTGACAGCCTTGACCAGAATTATCCCAAGTACACAAGCAATATTCCTACTGTCTTCAGGCCTGGTTCCAAGCTGGTTGTGTAGGAGATGGTCACGGCAAAGGTTCAGTGAAGGATCACTCAGGAGTTCATGCCTCAAAGCTTTGTTTCAGCTTCTGCATGGCTAGAGTTATACTAAATTAGACAGAGTTTCACTCTTGTTGCCCAGGCTGGAGTGCAGTGGCACGATCTCGACTCACTGCAACCTCCGCCTCTCAGGTTCAAGCGATTCTCCTGCCTCAGCCTCCCGAGTAGCTGGGATTACAGGCATGCGCCACCATACCCGGCTCATTTTTTGTATTTAGTAGAGACAGGGTTTCATTATGTTGGTCAGGCTGGTCTTGAACTCCTGACCTCAGGTGATCCGCCCACCTCGGCCTCCCAAAGTGCTGGGATTACAGGCATGAGCCACCGTGCCCGGGATAAAAGATATTATGAAACAACCTAGCTCAGACATTCCCCACCCTTGAGGTTCAACAGCTGGGCAAATAACTTTCTCCTAAGTACCAGGTATGTACAAGACACTAAGTTGACATCTATATATTAATGCTTACAAATTTATATCTGAAGCATAGTCCTATCCTCTGAACACCGAGTCTATATATGACTTACTCCTGTTTACCTGGATCCCCAAATGAACTTCGGATCTCCCTGCCACAAACCCAGTGCTTCCTATCTGATTATTATCCTGCTGCTCAAACCTGAAATGTGAGTCTTTTTTGACACCACTACACTTCTCAACCCCAAGGTTCAAACACCAAGTCCTCAGATTTTACCTGCTAAATCCTTCTCTAACTTATCTACTTTTCTCCAACTCCACTGTCAATACCCTAGTTCAAATTACCATTACTTCTTACCTGGATTACTACAATACCTTCCCTTACTTGGTCTCTCTGCATCCTCTCTTACCCAACTCCAATCCTTTCTCCATATTGTATCCAGAGTTATCTTTCGAAGGCAAATTTGATTGTGTCATTCCCTGCTTAAAATGCTTTGGTAGTGGCTGGGCGCGGTGGCTCATGCCTGTACTCCCAGCACTTTGGGTGGCCGAGGTGGGTGGATCACGAGGTCAGGGGATGGAGACCATCCTGGCCAACATGGTGAAACCTCATTTCTACTAAAAATACAAAAATTAGCTGGGCGTGGTGGGGCGTGCCTGTAATCCCAGCTACTTGGGAAGCTGAGGCAGGAGAATTGCTTGAACCAGGAAGTCAGAGGTGGCAGTGAGCCAAGATCGTGCCATTGCACTCCAGCCTGGCGACAGAGCAAAACTCCTTCTCAAAAACAAACAAAAAATGCTTTGGTAGTTGGGACTACAGTAGATTGTTTTAAAAATGGTCACAGCCGGGCACGGTGGCTCATGCCTGTAATCCCAGCACTTTGGGAGGCTGAGGTGGGGGGATCACCTGAGGTCAGGAGTTCAAGACCAGCCTGACCAACATGGAGAAACCCTGTCTCTATTAAAAATACAAAATTAGCCGGGCATGGTGGTGCATGCCAGCTACTCGGTGGCTAAGGCAGGAGAATCGCTTGAACCCAGGAGGTGGAGGTTGCAGTGAGCCGAGATCACGCCATTGCACTCCAGTCTGGGCAACAAGAGCGAAACTCCATCTCAAAAAAAAAAAAAAAAAAAAAAAAAAGATGGCCACAATTATTCCCCTCTCTGTACTCATATCCTTTTGTAAAGTAACTTTGCAGCTCCTCCCATCATGAGGTAGAGTCTATTTTGCATCTCATGACTCTGGGCTGGGCTTATGACTGCTTTGATCTGAAGAATGTGGTGCAAATAATGCTGTTCCAGCCCTTTCTCCAATTCACAAGATTAAGAAGTCTCAGCTCTGCCTATAAAGACTCTGTTGCCAAAGCACATTCAAACACAAGGTGACACTCTGGCTCCATTAATGTCCTCTTCCAACAAATTTACTGGGATCCTACTATGTCAGGCCATGTATTAGACCTTAGGCCTACAAAGACAAAATACAACCACTATCCTTATGTAACTTATAGTCCAGAGCAATACAGGGTTATAAATGTTACCACAGAACTTTCTTCAGTATATAGGGGAGCACAAAGGAAGAAGCACGGTTCTGCCTATGACAGGAAAGATTAGAAAAATCTTCACAGAAAAATGATATTTGAGCTGAGTCTTGAAAGAAAAATAAGTTCTTAGCCAGGGAGAGAAGAGTAACTTTGGCTGAAGGATTACCAGGAACGGTGAAAAGTAAAAGGACAAAGACATTACAAGGAATGCAGAAGTTAACAGAACTATAAGCAATTTTTCATAGCTACTGATAGAATGTTGAGAATGGGGTTGTGTTAGAGAAAGATGAGATATAAGGCTGGAGGGGTAAGCATGATTAGATAACTGAGGGCTTTAGGAATGTGTGCTTTATTCTACAAGCAATGTATTTATAGATTTGGGATAAAGAGATAGTGGAAAGCAAAGTTGAAAATTCTGGAGAATGTTGAAAAAACTAATGGAGAAAAGGTTCCAGGAGTGGCAGAAGAAAGGGGGTAAAAGGCATAAATGAAGGGACTGGCCCCAAACTTCTTCTAATGCTGGAGGAAAGGAATCGAAGGTGGGTCTGAATAAAGGCAAAGTCATGGATGGGGTAGCTGGGGAAATCAGCAGGCCCATGTTTTGACAGGAGAATGGTGATGGTAGAGAACAGCTTCTGAGAGGAGTGGAAAGCTGGCCCAGGACAAATGGAAGAATGAAGAGTGGTTCTGAGGGTTCAGCTAAGATAGGAGCCATGAATTTATAGTGCTGCCAATTTATATCCGTGCATAATATTTCTCCTAAAGACTTTGGACTTGGAGAGAAATGCCTGAAGGCACAGGACCTAGATTGGATGAAGAAGGAAATGAGGGGGGAAAAGAGAGAGAGAGGGAGAGAAAAAAGAGAGGGTAGGAGTGGTGGTAGTAAGGGACTAGAAAGATTTGAGGCTGAAATAAGGAAACAGGATTCTGGGTAAAGATGGCAGATTAAACATAAGCGTTAACCCATCCTCTTTCTGAAAACTCACTGAAGTGTCAGTACAGATTTTTTTTTTTTTTAAAGACATAAACCCACAAGGACAAAGACCACAAGAAGAGATGACAACAAAATTTTGGAAGCTGGAAAACAAAAGGATGGTGGTGGTAACAGATTTAGCATATCCAAGAAAGGTGAATCCTAAACCATCTATAAGGAAAGCTAAGAAGCAGCTTGATTTGTATCTCAGGAGCCCTGAAATGATCAGGAATTGGCAGCACAGCTTTTACCCACCCAGGCAGGAGATTGGAAGATTTTTCTCTGAAGTCTATATGGCCAGCTCCAAAGCAAAGACTTAAAGATATTGACATGGGTTATCTTACAGCCATATCATTTTATAGAAGTAAATTAAAAGTACAAAAGAGTAAGAATACACTGGACAAGATACCTTGGGAAAGGTTTGTGATCCTAACTTCCACAAGCCCTTCTTCCCTTCTGTACCTGCCCCCATCCCAAACTGCAAATTAAGAGAGGTATTTTGGGAATTAGGGCTGGTTAGGAGCAGCAGAGGTACTAACTTACATAAATAGTATTTCAAGACTCCCACACCATTGGGAAAATAATCAAGGGTTTAAACCATTTCTCATCATCTGTAGTCCCAGAAATACAGATCTGGCCATGATCTTTGAGGTCTTGACTGAAGTCCTTGACTCCCCAGATATAGATGTCTAAACCTTCCAAGATGACCTTGTGAACATTTTATTCCATTTTAAAGATATCCTTTAGGAGCTTGTTTTAATATTTTCATTACTCTTCCAGTAAAAAAGCTTGACAACTATTCAAAAGAAAACAATGTAACATTGGGGAAAAGCTACATGATTTTCTTATTAAATATTTGGCACAAATATCTTTTACTTATGAACTATTAAAAACATATGTCTGTCAGAAATAAAGCAGGAATTTTAGAGCTGGAGGGGGGTTTCTTTAAAGACCAACTAAGCCAATTTCAGCTGGGGGAAACTGAGGCTTAGAAAAATAAAGTTATTTGCTCAAGGTCACACAGCTGGTTTGTCTCCAGACTAGACTGCAAATTCTCTGAACCTGAATTTTCAGTAACAAGCTCCTTCTACCAGAACATTCTTTCCTACTACATGTAATGCCTCTCCAAGTCAGAAATGCAACAATCAGACATGTAGGAAAGGTGTTGTGCTTTGTTTAAATCCAACAAGGTCATAAGAATCTGGGCCCTTTGAGGTAAAGTTACTAGTACTGACTGATGACTAGCTTGCTGGGGAGGCTGCCTCTGCACCTGACCATATTCTAACAGGTGTCTTTGAAATCAAGCAAACATTTTATCCCTCCCCACCCCCCCAAGTAATGCTTTTTTTTTTTTTTTTTTTTTTTTTTAAAAGAGAGAAATGGGTCTTGCTATGTTGCCCAGGCTGGTCTGAAACTTCTGGGCTCAAGCAATCCTTCCACCTCAGCCTCCTAAAGTGCTGGGATTACAGGTGTGAGCCACCACACCCAGCCTCTCTCTCAGAAAGAGAAAACTGATGGGATGTACATTCTGTCATTGTCCTTTTCTCTCTCTCTTTCTTTTTTAAATTTTTTTTCCATAGGTTTTGGGGGAACAGGTGGTATTTGGTTACATGAGTAAGTTCTTCAGTGGTAATCTGAGATTTTGGCGCACCCATCTCCTGAGCAGTATAGACTGAACCCAATTTACAAAAGTTAAAAAAACTTTACAAGAAGTTTCTGATTTTCCTATATACATGAAGGCCGTATCCAAGATAACTGGTGTTTGCTCACTAGGAGCTAACCTCCATCTTTGGAAATTCAGCGTTTTAAAAAAGATAAAAACAGAAGGAAGTACTGTATTCTCATAATCAGAAAGTGCTTGAAAATCTGAATCTAATTAGCTTTTAACCAGCATCTCACTTGAGGCAGGAGGAGCACAACACCCCAGAGGGTCATAGGAATGAGAGAATATTTTTATGCATATTTATCCAGCCTGCAACCCTTTTATAACTACACACCAAAGATCCTGAATCACTGGGGTGTGGATTATAAATCAGAAGAACAAGGAAAAAAATCTGCCAACAACTAAAAATGCAGCCTAGTCTTAGGAAACTGATAGAAGATCTGCTCTCAATGACCCCAGTGCTTAGTCAAGGCCCTGAGCTTGACATCTATGAAGGAAAAAGACACATCCACCTGCTCTTCATTATCACCTCACCTCTGACTAGGTCCATCTTCTTTGCTCCCATCATGCCCAAGCCTTGCTCTCATTGTCAAATGTAATTACAATTAAGGCAGTTACTAACACTCCATTGTATGGAGCCATAAACTAGTTCCCACAGAGGTTAAAAAGAAAACAGAAAACAACCTCCACCCACCCTTTAGTTGTAACCAGAGAAACGTATGAGTCTTGCTTTTTTGTTTGTTTGTTTTGTTTTGTTTTGTTTTTTTATTATACTTTAAGTTTTAGGGTACATGTGCACAATGTGCAGGTTAGTTACATATGTATACATGTGCCATGCTGGTGCGCTGCACCCACTAACTCGTCATCTAGCATTAGGTATATCTCCCAATGCTATCCCTCCCCCCTCCCCCAACCCACAACAGTCCCCAGAGTGTGATGTTCCCCTTCCTGTGTCCATGTGTTCTCATTGTTCAATTCCCACCTATGAGTGAGAACATGCGGTGTTTGGTTTTTTGTTCTTGCGATAGTTTACTGAGAATGATGATTTCCAATTTCATCCATGTCCCTACAAAGGACATGAACTCATCATTTTTTATGGCTGCATAGTATTCCATGGTGTATATGTGCCACATTTTCTTAATCCAGTCTATCATTGTTGGACATTTGGGTTGGTTCCAAGTCTTTGCTATTGTGAATAGTGCTTTTAAGAACTTAATGTCTAGGGCTGCTATCTCTAATACAGAACAAAGCATAAACATCAGTGCTTGATGGATGCATGTGAGTCAGGACCCTCATTTCACATAATAATTGCTAATCACAATTAGTTTTCCTTTCTGTATTCCAAAGGACAGAATTCCTTGAGAGTCTTGAATTTAGCAATCCAACACTGTGATACTTTTCAAGTCTTATATACCTTAAATCTATCCTACATACTTCTGTCAGATTATTTTTTTTCAGAATCCTATATTTGAATAATCATTTCCTTCCTCAAAAGTTTTTAATAATTCCCTGGTATTCAAGGCTCTCTATTTTTAGACCAACTTAACATCTCAGCCTTATCTCCTCAAGTTTCCCAACATGAACCTTCCATTCAGGTCAAACTGTCCTTCCCCACCTTTGCTCGTGGCATTCTCGGCATATAGGATTCAGCTGGCTTCCCATGTCCCTTTCCATATCCGGACCAAATCAATCCTTCAAGTCTGAATTATTCTATTCTGTTTCCCTGACCACCTCAGCGCCTAGGATTAGATACCTCCTTTGAATTCTTAGAACACTGTCTGTTGGACATAACTGTTCAGTATCTGATATCCCTTGCTATTGTTTGTTAACCTTTTCCATGCATAATTGAATCTTCCACCAAGGCTGATGAGCTATTTGAGATAAAGTCCCCTGCCTCAAGGAAAAAGTCTTCTGCCTTAAATACCAAAACAGTGGTTTGACCAGATTTGAAGGATGTGTTCCTGAAAGTAGAATGTCCTCATGAATAAGGACTAGTTCTGTCCCTAACTAGATACATTGAACAAAACCCCTTCTTCCTTGCTTTCAGAATCATTGCCTGAAATATAGAAGACTAGACTAACTAAATGACCTTCCAGCTGTGGCAGTTCGTAATTCTAGAAATATTACATTGGTGCAAAAGCAATTGCGGTTTTTGTTAAAAAAAAAAAAAAAAAAAAAAAAAGGCAAAAACCGCAACTACTTTTGCACCAACCTAATAGCTACAAATAAGATCATATTTTTTAATACATTAAGAGATATTGTTTAATTGCATCTTGTGGCGAGCTTTTCTGAAATACAAAAAAACTCCCTCTGCTTCCTACGTTTTTATTTTGATAAATGGATTTAGGAAAAAAAAATCCAAAACAAAACCCTTACTTCTTTCTTCGCAGAATTCCAGAGCTAGTCAGCTATATCCTGACCACTGTAAGAAACAAGCTGTGCTCACAAGGCTCTGTCACAGATATTCTTTATGGAGAAAAAAAAGAATCCGAGTGGGGTCAGCAAACTACAGCCTGCCAGTTAGATGGCCCTGTTGCCTGTTTTAATGGAAAAAAAAAAAAAATCTTGTACAGATAGGGTCTCACTCTGTCACCCAGGCTAGAGTTCAGTGGCATGAAAAAAGTTCACTGTAGCCTCAAACTCCTGAGTGCAAGGGATCTTCCCGTCTCCGCCTCCCAAGTAGCTGGGACTACAGGCACGCGTCACCATGCCCAGGTATTTCTTCAAAAACTGAGATGGGGGTCACAGGATGTTGCCCAGGCTGGTCTCAAACTCCTGGCCTCAAGTGATCCTCTTGCCTCTGTCTCCCAAAGTGGACATTAGAGGTGTGAGCCACCGCACCCAGCCTTACTTGCTTTTAAAACTTTTTAAATTGGGAATTTTTTTTTTTTTAGATGGAGTTTCACTCTTGTTGTCCAAGCTGGAGTGCAATGGCACAATCTCGGCTCACTGCAACCTCCGCCTCCCGGGTTCAAGTGATTCTGCAGCCTCAGCCTCCCAAGTAGCTGGGACTACAGGCACGCGTCAACATGCCCAGGTAATTTTTTCAAAAACTTTTTGTAGAGATGTAGTCTCAGGATGTTGCCCAGGCTGGTCTCAAACTCCTGGCCTCAAGTTATTCTCTTGCCTTGGTCTCTCAAAGTGGACATTAGTGGTGTGAGCCACCGCACCCAGCCTTACTTGCTTTTAAAACTTTTTAAATTGGGAATTTTTTTTTTTTTTTTTGAGGCAGAGTTCCACTCTTGTTGCCCAAGCTGGAATGCAATGGCGTGATCTTGGCTCACTGCAACCTCCGCCTCCCAGGTTCAAGTGATTCTCCTGCCTCAGCCTCCCAAGTAGCTGGGATTACAGGTGTGCGCCACCATGCCTGGGTAATTTTTTGTATTTTTAGTAGAAATGGGTTTCACTGTGTTAGCCAGGCTGGTCTCAAATTCCTTACCTCAGGTGATCCGTCCACCTCGGCCTCTCAAAGTGTTGGGATTATAGGCGTGAGCCACTGTGCCCAGCCAGAAAATTTTTTAAAATACAGAAAAGTACAAAGAAAAAAATAATAATCATCAATACTTCCACATTCCAGAATTGTTACTATCTCAGCATAAATGTTGTTTTTAAAAAAGAAACATCACATTTATTTTATGAAAAAAGATGTACTTATTTTACAGAATTCAAGGATTTTAGAGAATTACTAAGAGTTTAAAAAATTCTCCTTCCTTCCTTCCTTCCTTTCTTCCCTCCCTCCCTTCCTTCCTTTTTTGAGACGGAGTCTCGCTCTGTCACCCAGGCCGGAGTGCAGTAGCACGGTCTTGGCTCACTGCTAGCTCCGCCACCCTGTTTCACGACATTCTCCTGCCTCAGCCTCCCAAGTGGCTGGGACTACAAGTTCCCGCCACCACGCCCAGCTAATTTTTTGTATTTTTAGTAGAGATGCGGTTTCAACCGTGTTAGCCAGGATGGTCTCGAACTCCTGACCTTGTGATCCGCCCACTTCGGCCTCCCAAAGTGCTGGGATTACAGGTGTGAGCCACCATGCCCCGCCCATTATTTTAAATTTTATTTTATTTTTTGGTCAGGCGTGGTGGCTCACACCTGTAATCCCAGCACTTTGGGAGGCCGAGGCAGGTAGATCATTTGAGGTCAGCAGTTCAAGACCAGCCTGGCCAACATGGTGAAACCCTGTCTCTACTTAAAATACAAAAATTAGCTGAGTGGTAGTGGCACATGCCTGTAATCCCACCTACTTGGGAGGCTGAGGCAGGAGAATTGCTTGAGCCTGGGAGGCGGAGATTGCAGCAAGCAGAGATTGTGCCGCTGCACTCCAGTCTGGGTGACAGAGTGAGACCCTGTCTCAAAAAAAAAAAATTATTATTATTATTTTTTGAGATAGGGTCTCGTTCTGTCATCTAGGCTGGAATGCAATGGCATGATCACAACGCACTGCAGCCTCGAACTCCCCGGTAATTCCTCTCAAGAATGATGAAAGTTCACTGCAGCCTTGGCCTCCCAGGCTCAAGCAATCCTCCTGTCTCAGCCACCTAAGCAGCTGGGATTAAAGACATGTGCTGCCATGCCCAGCGAATTAAAAAAAAATATTTATAGAGATGAGGTCCTGCTATGTTGCCCAGGCTGCTCTTGAAATCCTGGGCTAAAGTGATTCTCCAGCCTAGGTCTCCCAAAGTGCTGGGATTACAGGAGTGAGCCACTGTGCCTGGCTTTAATTCTTATTACCCAGGAATAACAATCATTATAGACATTTCTTTATGTACATATACAAATAGATGTACTGTTATAAAAAACAAAATGCTATTTTAAAAATTTTATTTTTAATATAAAAATGACTATTCAATTTTACTGGTATTTAACAAAAGAAAAAAGAAAAAGTAAAAATGAAGGAAATAGTAAACTTAATATATCTTCACCATTAAAGATACTATTTCTTAGAAGATCTTGTGCCTAAAAACAGATTTTAAGAACAAAATATTAAGAGGTTGAAATTATTATGGTTTTTTTAGGTCTGTTAATGTTTTCTAACTTCCTACTATGAAAGATGATGTTATTAATATCTAGCAATGTTTTTTCTTCCCACACTTTTATCTCTTGATTTTTGGCAGTTATATTTTTATGTTGTCCAGGTTCAAGATATTTAAATTACATTCTGCAACCATAATTCCTATAGTTGTTGTGTGTCAGTTCTACATATAAATGGGCTAAATGTTAATGAACATGGTTTCTCTATTACCATATTCTTTATTTTGACTCAATTCTTGGCATTTTATTTTATTTTAATTTTGAGACAGGGTCTCTCTCTGTTGTCCAGGCTAGAGTGCAGTGGCATCATCTTGGCTCTCTGCAGCCTCTGCCTCCTGGGCTCACACAATTCTCCTACCTTGGCCTCCGGAGTAGCTGGGACTACAGGGATACACCACCATGCTTGGTTATTTTTTTTTATTTTTATTTTTATAGAGACAAGATCTCACCATATTGCCCAGGCTGATCTCAAACTCCAGGGCTCAAGTGATCCTCCCACCTTGGCCTCCCAAAGTGCTAGGATTACAGGCTGGTTGAAGTTTTATTTTCAAGAAGGGCTCAGGCCTGGCATGGTGGCTCACTCCTGTAATCCCAGCACTTTGGGAGGCCAAGGTGGGAGGATCACTTGAGCCCAGGGGTTTGAGACCAGCCTGGGCAATATAATGAGACTTCCTCGCAACAAAAAACAAACAAAAATTAGCCAAATGTGGTGGTGCACACCCATAGTGGTAGCTACTCAGGAGGCTGAGGTAGGAGGATTGATTGAGCCCAGGAGGCAGAGGCTGCAGTGAGCCACTGTACTCCAGCCTTGAGACAGAGCAAGATTCTGTCGCAAAAAAAAAAAAAGAAAAAAGAAAAGGAAGGGCTCAGGGCTCATATGTCATAAGTCTTTTCATGCCTGAGAATGCCTACTGCTTTTATATTTGAATAAAATCTTCATTGTTTATAATATTCTTTTTTTTCTGGTTATCTATCAATCTGCATACTCAGTTTATAATATTCTCGAGTTCCACTTGCTTTCCCTGAAAAGTCTGTGGACGGGACATTGTTCCTCTTGTATTAAATGTTGGGAATAACTCAGAGGTAAGCCTAATTTTTTTCTTCCATGTAAATGATTTGCTTTTTGCCTCTGGATACTTGAATTCTCTCTTTATCCCTGAAGCTTCATAAGTACATTAGGATAAATCTGGCCAAATTATCTTAGAACACACTATACTCTTAAAATCTGCAGATGTGCCAGGTGCGGTGGCTCACACCTGTAATCCCAGCACTTTGTGAGGCTAAGGCGGGCCAATCACCTGAGGTCAGGAGTTTGAGACCAGCCTGACCAACATGGTGAAACCCCGTCTCTACTAAAAATACAAAATCAGCCAGGCATAGTGGCTCATGCCTATAATCCCAGCTACTCTGGTGGCTGAGGCAGGAGAATATCTTGAACCCGGGAGGCAGAGGTTGCGGTGAGCCGAGATCACGCCATTATACTCAAGCCTAGGCAACAACAGCAAAAACTCCATCTCAAAAAAAAAAAAAAGAAAAAAAAATCTTCAGATTTTACTTGATTCAGAAATTTTAATGTATTATATATCTTGCTCTTATTTTAAAAAATTAAAATTGAAGTTATATATGCATATAAAGAGGCAAGTAGTTTCTCAAGGCTTTTAATGAAAAAAACTGAATCATCTATTCCCTTTCCTGCCCATTTTCTGTTCCCCAGATATGCCCATTTGTAACTCTTTTAGCAGATCCACTTAGTATTTATTTTGCCACCAATAACACTCTTTTTTTTTTTTTTTTTTTTTTTTTTTTTTTTTTTTGAGACGGAGTCTTCCTCTGTTGCCCAGGCTGGAGTTCAGTGGTGCGATCTCGGCTCACTGCAAGCTCCGCCTCCCGGGTTCACACCATTCTCCTGCCTCAGCATCCTGAGTAGCTGGGACTACAGGCGCCTGCCACCACGCCCGGCTAATTTTTTGTATTTTTAGTAGAGACGGGGTTTCACCGTGTTAGCCAGGATGGTCTCAATCTCCTGACCTCATGATCCACCCGCCTCGGCCTCCCAAAGTGCTGGGATTACAGGCATGAGCCACTGTGCCCAGCCTTTTTTTTTTTTTTTTTTTTTTTGAGATGGAGTCTCGCTCTGTCCCCCAGGCTGGAATGCAGTGCAGTGGCACAATCTTGGCTCCACTGTAATCTCTGCCTCCCAAGTTCAAGCGATTCTCCTGCCTCAGCCTCCCGAGTAGCTGGGATTACATGCATCCACCACCACGCTCAAATAATTTTTCTAATTTTAGTAGAGAGGATTTCACCATGTTGACCAGTCTGGTCTCAAACTTCTGACCTCAAGTGACCTGGCCGTCTTGGCCTCCCAAAGTGCTGGGATTATAGGAGTGAGCCTCTGTGCCCAGCAATAGCATAGTAGCTTTTTTTTTTTTAAGACGGAGTTTCACTCTTGTTGCACAAGCTGGAGTGCAATGGCGCCAGCTTGGCTTACTGTAACCTCCGCCTCCCAGGTTCAAGCAATTCTCCTGCCTCAGCCTCCTGGGTAGCTGGGATTACCAGTGCACACCACCACACCCGGCTAATTTTTTGTATTTTTAGTAGAAACAGGGTTTCACCAAGTTAGCCAGGCTGGTTTCAAACTCCTGGCCTCAGGTGATCCACCTGCCTCTGCCTCCCAAAGTGCTGGGATTACAGGCGTAAGCCACTGCACCTAACCAATAGCATTCTTATATTGGTATTTTTCAGGTTTTCCATTTCAGGAATAATCTGATTTTCCATTGTGGAAAACAGGATTTAACTTATTTTCATCATCAACCCTGCTCCCATCATATACACCCATACTTCCTTATGCGTTTTACCTTCCCAATAATTGTTATATTATTTTGGTCAGCTCAATAATCAATGCTTAAGTTATTATGACTTCAGCTCTACGTATTAGCTATTTACTATAGAAAAGGACGATTTCACTCTTTTATTCCCTCATGCTTCCAACATACTAACCTCATCTCATCATTCCAAAGTAATTAAATCATAATTTGGGTTAGACTGTATCAGTGACTGCATTAGTATGCATATTTAAATATTAGTTACAGGCCGGGCTCAGTGGCTAATGCCTGTAATCCTAGCACTTTGGGAGGCTGAGGTGGGTGGATCACTTGAGGTCAGGAGTTCGAAACCAGCCTGGCCAACATGGTGAAACTCCATCTCTATTAAAAATACAAAAAAATTAGCTGGGCGTGGTGGCACACGCCTGTAATCCCAACTACTCGGGAGGCTGAGGCAGGAGAATCACTTGAACCCAGGAGGTGGAGGTTGCAGTGAGCTGAGATCACGGCACTGCACTCCAGCCTGGGCAACAGACTGAGACTCCCTCTCAAAAAAAAAAAAAAAAATTAGTTACAGCTGAACCACACAGTCACTAAGAATTTTTTCACCTGCACATTTTTGTGGTTTGCCTTGGTGTGAATAATTGTCTTATTTCTTAGTTTTCTAGGTGCTTACCAATAGTTCAACTCCAAACTAACTACTTAAGTGCTCCAAATCGTCTCAAAATGTTGAAACACATCACATGTTGTGTCATTTTCATCAGAAGAAATATGATCATCTTGAAGAAATCATTCCCAAGTTTTCTGACCTATTCCAGTGTGGTCTGGTTGCCATTTATACTGGGTGTACATGTGTTAGCCTGGAATCTCCCTTCATCATCATACTGGGGATTCATTTCATCTTAATTGAATGTCCTTTTTTTTTTTTTTTTTTTTGAGACGGAGGCTCACTCTGTCACCAGGCTGCAGTGCAGTGGTGCAATCTCGGCTCACCGCAATCTCCACCTCCCGGGTTCAAGCGATTCTCCTGCCTCAGCCTCCCAAGTAGCTGGGATTACACGCATGCGACAACATGCCTGGCTACTTTTTTTTTTTTTTTTTTAGTAGATATGGAGTTTCTCCATGTTGGCCAGGATGGTCTTGATCTCCTGACCTCGTGATCCGCCCACCTCGGCCTCCCAAAGTGCTGGGATTATAGGCATGAACCACTGCACCCGGCCTGAATGTCCTTTTTCTTTCTTTTTTTTTTTTTTCGAGCAGAGTCTCCCTCTGTCGTTCAGGCTGGAGTGCAATGATGCGATCTAGGCTCACTGCAACCTCTGCCTCCCAGGTTCAAGCATCAGTGCCCTTTTTCTTATATCCTGTGTCTTCCTCTTTCTTAGTTTATGCTAAGGTTTTGGTGCTATATAAACTCTAGCAGCTTTCCTTTTTTAATTTAATTTTTAATTTTTGTGAGTACATGCTAGGTACATACACTGATGGGTTACATGAGATATTTTGACACAGGCATGCAATACGTAATAATCACATCAGGGTAAATGGGGGTATCCATTACCTCAAGCATTTATCTTTTGTGTGACAAACAATCCAATTATACTCTCTTAGTTATTTTAAAATGTACAATTAAATTATTTTTTATTATAGTCACCCTGTTGTGCTAGCAAATATTAGGTTTTATTCATTCTTTCTAACTAATTTTTTGTACCCATTAACCATTCCCCACTCCCACCACCCCCACACTCTCTACCCTTTCCAGCCTCTGGTAATCATCCTTCTACTCTCTACTTCCATGAGTTCCATTGATTTTTAGCTCACACAAACAAGTAAGTGAAAACATGCAGTTTGTCTTTCTGAGCCTGGCTTATTTCACTTAACATAATGACCTCCAGTTCCATCCATGTTGTAGTAAATGACAGGATCTCATTCTTTTTTATGTCTGAATAGTACTTAATTGTGTATATGTACCACATTTTCTTTATCCATTCATCTGTTGATGGACGCTTAGGTTGCTTCCAAACCTTGGCTATTGTGAACAGTGCTGCAATAAACATAGGAACGCAAATATCTCTTCAATATACTGATTTCCTTTCTTGTGGGTATATACCTAGGAGTGGGATTGCTGGATTGTATGGTAGCTCTATTTTTTACTTTTTTGAGGAACCTCCAAACTGTTCTCCATAGTGGCTGTACTAATTTATATTCCCATAAACAGTATATGAGAGTTCCCCTTTCTCTACAACCTTGCCAGCATTTGCTACTACCTCACTTTTGGATAAAAGGCATTTTACCTAAGGTGAGATGACATCTCATTGTTTTTATTTGCATTCTCTGATGATCAGTGATGTTGAACACCTTTTCATATATCTGCTTGGCATTTATTTGTATGACTTCTTTTGAGAAATGTCTATTCAAATCTTTTGCCTATTTAAAAGTCAGATTAGGTTTTCTCCTATAGAGTTGTTTGAGCTCCTTCTATATTCTGGTTATTAATCCCTTGTCAGATGGGTAGTTTGCAAATATTTTCTCTCATTCTGTGGGTTGTCTCTTTACTTTATTGATTGTTTCCTTTGCTGTGCAAAAGCTTTTTAACTTGATATGATCCCATTTGTCCATTTTGCTTTGGTTGCCTGTGCTTGTGGGGTATTACTCAAGACATCTTTGCTCAGACCAATGTCCTGGAGACTTTCCTCAATGGTTTCTTGTAGTAGCTTCATAGTTTGAGGTCTTAGATTTAGGTCTTTAACCATTTTTATTTGATTTTTGTATATGGCAAGAGACAGGGGTCTAGTTTCATTCTTTTGCATATGGATATCCAGTTTTCCTAGCACCATTTATTGAAGAGATTGTCCTTTCCCCAACGTATATTCTTGGCACCTTTGTCAAAAATGAGTTCACTGAAGGTGTATGGATTTATCTCTGGTTCTCTATTCTGTTCCACTGACCTATGTGTCTGTTTTTATGTCAGTACCATGCTGTTTTGGTTACCAAAGCTCTGTAGTATAATTTGAAGTCAGGTAATATGATTCCTGTAGCTTTGTTCTTTTTGCTTAGGATAACTTTGGCTATTCTGGGTCTTCTGTAATTCCATATATATATATTTTTTTATTTTATTTTATTTTATTTATTTTTTTTTGAGATGGAGTCTTGCTCTGTCACCCAGGCTGGAGTGCAATGGCGCAATCTCAGCTCACTGCAACCTCCATCTCATGTGATACTCCTGCCTCAGCCTCCCAAGTAGCTGGGATCACAGGCGCCCACAACCACGCTCAGCTAATTTTTGTATTTTTAGTAGAGATGGGGTTTCACCACACTGGCCAGGCTGGTCTCTGGTCTCTAACTCCTGATCTCAAATGATTCACCCGCCTTGGCCTCCCAAAGTGCTGGAATTACAGGCGTGAGCCACCATGCCCAGCCAATTCCATATAAACTTTAGGATTGTTTTTTCTATTTCTGTGAAGAATGTCATTGGTATTTTGATAGGGATTGCATAAAATCTATAGATTGCAGCCAGGCATGGTGGCTCACGCCTGTAATCTCAGCACTTTGGGAGGCCGAGGCGGGAGGGTCACCTGAGGTCAGGAGTTCAAGACCAGCCTGGGCAACATGGTGAAACCCCATCTCCACTAAAAATACAAAAATTAGCTGGGCATGGTGGTGGGCGCCTGTAATCCCAGCTACTTGGGCGGCTGAGGCAGGAGAATCATTTGAGCCCGGGAGGTGGAGGTTGCAGTGAGCTGAGATCACACCACTGCACTCTAGCCTGGGATATAGAGCGAGACTCTGTCTCAAGACAAAAAAAAAAAAAAAAAAATCTGCAGATTGCTTTGAGGAGTATGGATATTGTAACAATACTGATTTTTTCAATCCATGAACATGGAATATCTTTCCATTTTTTGTGTCCTCTTCAAATTCTTGCATCAATATTTTATAATTTTCATTGTAGAGACCTTTTGCTTCTTTGGTTAAGTTAATCCCCAGGTAATTTATTTTATTTGTAGCTATTGTAATAGAATTACTTTCTTGATTTCTTTTTCAGATTTTTTTTTTTTTTTTTTTTTTTTTTTGAGACTGAGTCTTGCTCTGTTGCCCAGGCTGGAGTGCAGCGGCACCATCTCGGCTCGCTGTAACCTCTGCCTCCCAGCTTCAAGCACTTCTCATGCGTTAGCCTCCCAAGTAGCTGGGACTACAGGCACATACCACCATGCCTGGCTAATTCTTTTTCAGATCCTTTGCTGTTAGCATATAGAAATACTACTGATTTTCATATATTGACTTTGTATCCTGGAACTTTACTATATTTATCAGTTCTAATAGTTTTTCATGGAGTCTTTAGTTTTTTCCAAATACAAGATTATTTCATCTGCAAACACAGATAATTTGACTTCTTCCTTTCCAATTTAGATGCCCTTTATTTCCTTCTCTTGTTTGACTGCTCTAGCTAGGACTTCCAGTACTATGCTGGGTAACAGCAGTGAAAGTGGGCATCCTTGTCTAGTAAGCTTTCTCAAAATAGATGCATGGAAAACAAATGTCTAAAAAGTTCTCATTCTACTCTCATATTTGATTGATAGTTTGATTAGATAGAAATAAGAATGTTAAAGTCATTGTTTATAGTTGCCAGTATTGCTGTTAGGAAGTTCAAAGCTATTTTAATTCCTTTGTATATGATATCCTCTCTCCTCTCCGGGAGCTTGTAAGATCTCTTTGTTAGCAGTTATAAAATTTCACAATGATAACCTTGGTATGTTTCTTTTCTCCATTTTACTGGGAACTCAGTTTCCTTTCAGTCTAGAAACCCAGTTCCTTTTATCCTCAGAAAATTTTAAAAATTATTTCACTGATGTTTTCTTCTCTCCATTTCTTTCTTTCTAGAAATCCATGTTCTAATTCAGAGGCATTAATTCATTAATTACATTTAATCATCTTTGTATTTCATTTCTATGAGATTCTAATTTCTTTCTTTTCCTCCCTTCCTTCCTCCCTCCCTCCTTCTCTTTCTCTCTTTCTTTCTTTCATTTTTTTGAGACAGGGTCTCACTCTGTCACCCAGCCTGGAGTGCAGTAGTACAATCATGGCTCACTGCAGCCTCAACCTCCTAGGCTCAAGCAATCCTCCAACCTCAGAGATTCTAATTTCTTTCCTTTTTTTTTTTTTTTTTTGAGACAGAGTCTCGCTGTGTCACCCAGGCTGGAGTACAGCGGTGCAATCTCGGCTCACTGCAAGCTCTGCCTCCCAGGTTCATGCCATTCTCCTGCCTCAGCCTCCCGAGTAGCTGGGACTACAGGTGCCTGCCACCACACCCAGCTAATTTTTTGTATTTTTAGTAGAGACAGGGTTTCACCGTGTTAGCCAAGATGGTCTTGATCTCCTGACCTCGTGATCCCCCCGCCTAGGCCTCCCAAAGTGCTGGGATTACAGGCGTGAGCCACCGCGCCCAGCCAGAGATTCTAATTTCTTAAACGATTTTCTTTTTTACCTAGATCACTGATATCTCAGACCATTCCTCTTTGTCAATAATTTGATTTTCAGTGGTGTCTATGCCATTCTTTAGCTATTTTAAAATTTATTAACTCTGTAATAATTTAATCCTTTTTTTGTTTGTTTGTTTTTGTTTGTTTTTTGAGACCGAGTCTCACTCTGTCGCCCAGCGCAATCTAGGCTCACTGCAACCCCTGACTCTTGGGTTCAAGCAATTCTCCTGCCTCAGCCTCCCAAGTAGCTGGGACTACAGGCACATGCCACCACGCCTGGCTAATTTTTGTATTTTTAGTAGAGACGGGGTTTCACTGTGTTAGCCAGGATAGTCTCGATCTCCCGACCTTGTGATCCACCTGCCTCTGCCTCCCAAAGTGCTGGAATTACAGGCGTGAGCCACCATGCCTGGCCAATCCTCTTTTTTTTGGTTCTATAATATCCTCTTTTTTATCATCTCATTACTGAACTTTTATTTATTAAATTCATGTTGTAATAAGTAGTTTTATGGTTATACAGTTGCATAGTTTTAAGAAAATTTCTTCTGTTTCTTGAGTTATATTCTTTTCAGGATAGCTTCTTTGTCTTTTACGGGACATTTTTCTTGCTTTCATTTTGTTTTCTGTAGTATATTTGTACAGCTGACATTCTGATTCTTTTGAGCTTACTCATGCTTGAGTCATGGCTCTGCCCAGATGTTTTATTTGTTTTGATATAACATAAATGAATTCTCTTTTCCTTCTGTATCTGAGACCAGCTACCATGTAAGTACTGGTGTGGAGAAACTGGGGCTCTTATGCACTGTTGGTGGGATTGTAAAATAGTGAAAATGCCATGGAAACAGTATGTAGTTTCCTCAAAAAATTAAACATCATAGTTCTCTACCATATGATCCAGTAATCCCACTTCTAAATATATATCCAAAAGAACTGAAAGCAAGGTCTTGAAGAGATGTCTGTACACCCACGTTCACTGCAGCACTATTCACAATAGCCAAGAGGTGGCAGCAACTCAAATGTCTGTCAGAAGATAAATGGATGACAAAATGTGGCTACATACATACAACGGAGTATTATTCAGCCTTAAAAAAAACGAAATCCGTTATATGCTACGGCATGGACAAACCTTGAGGACATTATGCTAAGTAAAATTAGCCAGTCACAAAAAGACCAATATTGTATGATTTCACTTAGATATTTAAAGTAGAATCGTGGGTAGCAAGGCCTTGCGGGGAGAAAAAAATGGGGAGGGGAGCTGTTGTTTGATAGGTATAGAATTTCAGATTTGCAAGATGAAAGTTCTCGAGATCTGTTTCACCACAATGTGAACACATTTAACACTACTCAACTGTTCACTTAAAAATGGCCACTTAGGGCTGGGCACGGTGGCTCACTCCTGTAATCCCCAGCACTTTGGGGGCTGAGGCGGGTGGACTACGGGTCAGGAGTTCAATACCAGCCCAGCCAATATGGTGAAACCCCGTATCTACTAAAAATACAAAAATTAGCTGGGTGTGGTGGCACATGCCTGTAGTCCCAGCTGCTTGGGAGGCTGAGGCAGGAGAATCGCTTGAACCTGGGAGGCGGAGGTTACAGTGAGCCAAGATTGCACCATTGCATTCCAGCCTGGGCAACAGAGCAAGACTCCCTCTCCAAAAAAAAAGGCCACTTAGAATGGGCCGCACGGTGGCTCACGCCTGTAATCCTAGCACTTTGGGGGGCCGAGGTGGGCGGATCACTTGAGGTCAGGAGCTAGAGACCAGCCTGGCCAACATGGTGAAACTCCGTCTCTACTAAAAATACAAAAATTAGCTGGGCGTGGTGGCGCATACCTGTAATCCCAGCTACTCAGGAGGCTGAGGCAGGAGAATCACTTGAACCCAGGAGGCAGAGGTCGCAGTGAGCCAAGATTGCACCACTGTACTCCAGCCTGGGTGACAGAGTGAGACTCAGTCTCAAAAAACTTAAAACAAAAACCAAAGCCAAACCAAACCAAACCAAAACAAAACAAAAAAACAAAGGTTACAATGGTACATTTTATGTCATGTGTTTTTTTTACCACTTTTTTTTTTAAAGGGGATTTATAACACTGTCAGAAAGACAGTCCTGTTCTCCTCACAGCTGCTTTGCTTTACTCTTTTGCAGGATTTGGCTCTACCTTGGCAAGAAAAGACAGGGAAACAGGCTTATGCAGTGAAGAAAAGCCTTCATCCTGTCTCATGGGAAAAATATTCACATACTTTTGTCAATTTCACACAGTATAGTCTAGTTTTCATTCCCTCTTTCCCATCCACTGGGTGGTTTTATTTTGTTTTAAGACAAGGAGAATTGCCAGAAGAAAAAACCCTAGGGCTTACTTCTGTAGGATGGATCCCTTAATGACCAGCTCTTCATCCAAGTCTGCTTCATTAGCCATGAAGAGCAGCCTCTTTCCTGTGCTGTCCACTCCAATGAAGTCACGCTGCTCCACTGAATCATACAAAAGAAAAAAAAAATCAAATAAAGCCATTTGCCCTGCCTGTATGAATACACCAGGGAACACAGTATCTGCTCAGTGCTCTTGGAAACAACACAGGATTGAAGGGTGGGTGCAGTGGCTCACGCCTGTAATCCCAAGACTTTGGGAGGCCAAGGTGGGTGGATCACCTGGGGTCAGGACTTTGAGACCAGCCTGGCCAACATGGCGAAAGACTGTCTCTACTAAAAATACAAAAATTAGCCGAGTGTGGTGTTACGCCCTGTAGTCCCAGCTGCTTGGGAGGCTGAGGCAGGAGAATTACTTGAACCCGGGAGGTGGAGGTTGCAGTGAGCTGAGATCGTGCCACTGTAGTGCACTCCAGCTTGGGTGACAGAGTGAGATTCCATCTCAAAAAAAAAAAACAGGATTGAGATGAGAGAGGAGCTATAATAAGTGCGTTAGGCCATTTTGCGTTACTATAAAGAATCTGCAACTAGGTAATTTACAAAGAAAGATTTATAATTTATAATTGTCTCATGGTTCTGCAGGGTATACAGGAAGCATACAGGAGGTTTCTGGGGAAGCCTCAGGGAACTTTTTACTCATGGCAGAAGGTAAAGCGAGAGCAGGCTGGTCACATGGCAAGAGAGGGAATAAGAGAGAGCTGGGGGAGAGATGCCATACACCTTTAAATGAGAACTCACTCACTATCACAAGAACAGCACCAAGCCATGAGGGATCCGCACCCATGACCCAAACACCTCCCACCAGGCCCTACCTCCAACACTGGGGATTACATTTCAACAAGAGATTTGGGGGAACATCCAAACTATACCAATGAGTGTCCTATAGCACATGCCATGGTGTTTAAAACATAGGTGATCAAATTTGTTTTGTACTGCTCTAAAGGATATTATTAATTGGTGACGTTTAAACAAGGTCTGTATGTTAAAGTATGGTACCAATGTAATTTCCTGTTTTGAGAGACTATCATTTTTGGAGGAGAGGGAGGAAATACTTATTGACGTATTTAAAGGCAAAGGAAAATCATATCTGCAACTTATTCTCAGATAGCTCAGAAAATAATAATCATATATATTATATTATGTATGCATTATATATATTGAATATATATTACAAAGAAAGAGAGAGTGGCTGGGCAGTGGTTCCTGCCTGTAATTCCAGCACTTTGGGAGGCTGAGGCAGAAGCATCACTTGAGCCCAGGAATTCAAGATCAGCCTGGGCAACACTGCAAGACCTCATCTCTACAAATAATAAAAAAATTAGCTGGGCATGGTGGCATGCACCTATAGTGAGGAAGCTGAGGCAGGGGGATCCCTTTAGCCTGGGAGGCTAAGGCTGCAGTGAGCCATGACTGCTGTACTGCACTCCAGCTCGGGTGACAGACCAAGACCTTCTCTCAGAAATAAATAGGCCGGGCATGGTGGCTCACACCTGTAATCCCAGCACTTTGGGAGGCCAAGGCAGGTGGATCACCTGAGGTCAGGAGTTCCAGACCAGCCTGGCCAACATGGTGAAACTCGTCTCTACTAAAAATAAAAAAATCAGCTGCCGAGTGTGGTGGCAGGCGCCTGTAATCCCAGGTACTTGGGAGGCTGAGGCAGGAGAATCACTTGTACCTGGGAGGCAGAGGCTGCAGTGAGCTGAGATCACACCACTGCACTCCAGCCTGGGCGACAGAGTGAGACTCCATCTCAATAAATAAATTAATTAATTAAGTAAAGTTACTTTATTTATTTAGGGCGCTTCGTTTTTTTTTTTTTTAAAGAATTTTCTCTCTGCAAATAATAACCTAGGTCTTCTTACTGTGAAAATGGGAATAATATTATTTAAAGTCATCCACATTCAACCAACATTAACTACAGGCAGTAGATTCTATGCTATGTATAGTCTATATTTTATTATGTGTGAAGAGGTCTTGGTAGACAGTGATCTTACAGGCTGCTATATTATTGCTATTTTCTATGTCATACTTCTCTTCCCCGACTAGATTATAAACTTTTCAAAGGCAGGCTTCTGATTCTTTTCTATCTCCCATAACATCTAGTACAGTGTTACATACTTAATAATATGTGCTACTAACATCTGTACAGTATCTATAGCTTACAGAAACATTTTCTCATAGTGACAAAATAGCAGAATGATTAAGAACAGAACTTCTGGAGCCAGACTGCCTAGGTATGAATCCCAGCTCAGCCAATTACCAGTTTATGTTAGAGCAAGTTACTTAACCTCTCTTCCTCAGTTTCATCTATAAAATGGGGATAATAATAGTGTTTGTCTCACAGGTTTATTATGCAGAATAAGTGAATTAATATTTGTAAAGAATTTATAATAGTGTTATTAACTAAAACATTAAATAAAATGTTAAGTTTAAAAATTAAACAAAATACACCCTCTAATTTAATCCTCACAACAACCACATAAAGCAATGCCTCAATACCTCTTTACATAGGAGAAACAGAAAGTTTAGCTCTAGGAAAAATGAGATCTGTAAAGATGAATTTGCTTCCTACTGACAGACAATGGCTGCTAAATAACAGAATATGTTTCGCTGTTGGCTAAAGCTGCCTGTATACCTATAACCAAATATATGATTCAATTGTACAATACGTTTAGCTCAGGTACTTGAAAGTATTCAAGATCACCAATCAGATGGTCTCTGGTCATCTTATATGCAGTGTTTTAATATAAATGAGGAAAAACAATTATAAAAAATTATATGTTGGGGTTTTTTAGTTCAATAACCAAATGAAATCCAAAAAAGGAAGAGCAAATGCTGCCAATCTGAAGCTAAATTTTGCAGAGAATTTCAAATGCCACATAGCAGCTTAGACATATATCAACTTATACATTACATGGAAACTTGAGAATGTAACAAAGTCTGTAAGGGTCTCATTATGAGCCAGCCATTTAACAAAAGAAACACGGAGATGTTATTTTTGGATATAATTTGGAATGCTTCCCCTACTCAAGTCCTAAGGCTCACAGAAACCTTGAATCACTGATGTCCTGGGAGCAATAATTTCCAGCCAGCCAATTTTTCAGCTATGTTGCACTTTAGTCATTTTTCTCTCCCTCTCAGACCCTCCACCTTGTATTGCTTCTTTGCAGCTATTACAGTAACTGGGACTTCAGAATGTGATACAAATTATAGAAACTTGGAAAGGTTTCTTTCTGTTCTGCTTTAGCAAAATAGGAATTTCACTTTGGGAGCAGAGCAGGTAATTGTAGAATGTCTTCCTAAGAAGAAAGGCTACACAAACTTAAGAAAGCAGACAAAACTGAACTTCTATTAAAAAAAAAGTCCGTCATATTCAAGTATTCACGTTTTTTTCCCTAGTTGATTTTTACTTTTCTGACTGATTCTTCTGTCTCATCTACAGGCATTTTGCTTATCCATTCATTCATTGATTCATTCATTCTACCAATAAATATCTTTGTACACCTACCCTATGGTAGGTGCTATGTCTAGAGTTAGGAATTCCAACTCATTTTATAAGGCCAGCATGATCCTGATGCCAAAACCAGGCAAGGATATTATGAGAAAGGAACAGGCAAATTTACTCATTAGCAAGTCAAAATAGTATGTCGAGTAGATTAAAAAGGGTCACAAACTTGTTGGAGCTCCTCCTATCCAAAGGTAAGGTTAGTTCCCTATCCTTTATATCTGGGCTTGCTCCATAACTAGCTTTGAACTAACAGAGCGCAGCAGCTGAAGTGACAGTGTGTGTTTTGAGTTTAGACTTCAAGAGACTTTGTAGCCTCTGCTGTCATGCTTAGAACCTGCTGCTGCTACCTTGTAAACAAGCCTGGGCTAACCCCCTGGATGGTAAGAGACTAGATGAAAAGAAAAATCCAGCTGTCAAGGCTGAGGCTCTCCCTATATATTTTTTTTCTTTTTTTTGGAGGTGCAGTCTTGCTCTGTCGCCCAGGCTGGAGTGCAGTGGTGCAACCTTGGCTCACTGCAACCTCCGCCTCTCGGGTTCAAGCAATTCTCCTGCCTCAACCTCCCAAGTAGCTGGGACCACAGGCATGTGCTACCATGTCCAGCTAATTTTTGTATTTTTAGTAGAGACGGGGTTTTGCCATGTTGGCCAGGCTGGTCTCGAACTCCTGACCTCAGGTGATCCACCCACCTCCCAAAGTGCTGGGATTACAGGTGTGAGCCACTGTGCCCAACCAAGGCTCTATACATATTAATGAGCCCAGTTACAGGAGACTAAGATAAGAATGATAGTTGCCTCCTGGTATTCACATTCTTGTATATCCCTTCTTGAATGTGGGCTGGCCTAGTGACTTGCTTCTAACCAACAGAACGTGGCAAAGGTAATAAAATGTTACTTCTATAATTAGGTTACATAAGATTGTGACTTCTGTCTTTCTAGAAGAGTTTCTCCCTTGCTGGCTTTGATGAAGTAAGTTTCCAAGTTGGAAAGGCCCAAGTGATAAAGAAAGGAGGGTAGCTTCTGGCCAACAGCATGGTGGAAACTGAGGTTCAGTCCAACAGTCCTAGGGAAATGAAATTCTCCCAATAACCAAGTAAGCTTGGAACCAAATCCCTTCCCAGTTGAGCCTTCAGATGAGACTCCAGCCCTAGCTGACATCTTGACTGCAGCCTTCTGAAAGACTGGTGGACCAGCTAAGTCATGCCTGGATTCTTGGCCCACAGTGTTGTTTTAAACTGTTAAATGTGTGGCAACTTTTATAAGTAATTAATTGTTAAAACACTAGCTGATATCACTTGAACAGAGATGAGCCATCTTGGCTACACTTAGGCCAAACTGCCAACCTACAGACTCATAAGCAAGTAAATGTTTGTTGTTTTAAGCCACTAGAGTTTACGAACATTTGTTATGTAGTAAAAACTAACACAACATGTAAAAGGATAATAAGCCATGACCGAGTTGGGTTTATCCCAGGTATCATCATCACATCATCAGAGAAAAATCATATACCACTTGATAGATGCAGAAAAAGCATCTGATAAAATTTATATCCTTAGGCCAAGAAGCTCCCAATAAACCAGAACTAGAAAGGAACTTTCTCAATCTGATAACAAGTACCTATAAAAATGTATAGTACGCTGGGCATGGTGGCTCACGCCTATAATCCCAGCACTTTGGGAGGCCAAGGCAGGTGGATCATTTGAGGCTAGGAGTTCAAGATCATCTCTGCTAACATGGCAAAACCTCATACCAAAACACAAATATTAGCTGGGCATGGTGGCACATGCTGGTAATCCCAGCTACTTGGGAGGTTGAAGCAGGAGAATTGCTTGAACCCAGGAGGCGGAGGTTGCAGTGAGCCAAGATTGTGCCACTGCCTTCTAGCCTGGACAACAGAGAGAGACTGTCTCAAAACGAACACACACACACACACACACACACCCCTATAGTAATAAACATCATTTTAACTGGAGAGATGTTGAAAATATTCCTTTTAAAATCAGGAATGAGAAAAGGGTGCCAACTAGCATCATTTGTACACATAATTTTATTGGAGGTCCTGGCCAGCACAGTAAGACAAGAAAAAGAAACCAGAAACTTAGACTACTGGGTGGGGGTGGGAAGTCTACAGCCATATCACCCTGAAGGCATCTGATCTCATCTGATCTATGCAGGGTCAGGCCTAGTTAGTACTTGCATGGAAGTCTGCTTAGGAATACCATGTGATAAACAAACAAACAAACAAACAAAAAACTATTGTGAGACCTTTGTCAAAGAATACAAAATTTCACTTAGGAGGAATAAGCTCATAAAGAGACCTAATACAACCTGGTGACTAGTTAGTAACAATGTATTGTATTCTTGAAAATTCCTAAGAGAGTAGATTTTAAGTGTTCTCACTTGAAGAACTTCGGAAACAAAAAGATCCTATAAGCTCCCCCTCCCATCCCAAGAAAAAGAGGAAAAAAGTGTTTCATGCAAAGAATCAAGAATCAGAATGATGTTGGACTTCTTAAAAGAAAAGCTAGAAGACAGTAAAACAAAACAAAACAAAACAAAACAAAAAACCTTCAAAATTTTGAGGGGATATGATTTCCAAGAGAAGTTTATATCCAGCCAAAATATGAAACAAATATGTGGGCAGAATAAAGACACTTTCAGGGATACAAAAGCTCAAAAATTTACTTCTCACAATCTGTACCTCAGGAGGCTTCCAGAGGATGTGTCCTACAGAAAATGTGGGTATAAAGTAAGAAAGAAGAAAACGTGAGGTTCAAGATATGACAGTGAAGGGTGAACCTAAAATGACAGCTCTACAGCAGGGCAACTAACTCAGGTTAGAAAAGCTTTAGGAGAGGTACCTTGAAGAATTTGAAATTGAGAGGACATCTAGTGTGTTGCAATGTAAGGAGAGGAAATTCACACAATTGGAGCTTGGGTTGAATTAGTGACAAATACATAAAAAACAAGCAAATGAAAAAACAAGACAATCTTTAGGAAAACAAAAGGAGGAAAGAGAAAAGTAATCATATACTACAAGGCTCAACTGTGAATACTATTTATACAGTCATGATAATATAAACATAAAATATTCAGTTAATTAATAATACAATATGAATAACTATATTAGGAAATTGGGCCAAATACAAGGTTGCATACATGTAGTGGGGGCAGAGCATGTGGTAAAATAGAACCAAATCTTTACATTCTATAGTAAGAAGTGAACAGATAATTCTTAAAGCTAAAAAAATTAAGACACAGAAAATAAAAGCACGTTATTTGGAGATATGGAGTTAAATGCCAAAAAATTAGCTGAAAATGTTGAAAGTGGCATCTCTAAGTGGGGTGAGGATAGATAGGGTGAGGGGCTGCTATTTATTATAATATATCTTAGATAATTAGATACTCTTTAAATTTTGGGCATATAAAACTTTGATAAAGATAAAAACTAAATTCAAAAAAGAAATAGCACAGGTTATGGAATCAGAAGGCATGGGTTTGAGTTCTGGCTCTTACCACTTACCACTGATGTTATCTCGAGCAACTGTCCACAAAATGCTATTAGGCCATAAATGCTATTAGGTCAAAATGCTATTAGGCCATAAAAAACAAGACAAACACTTGGTAAATAAGAAAATTATGGCTGGGCACAGTGGCTCACACCTGTAATCCCAGCACTTTGGGAGGCCGAGGCGGGAAGATCACCTGAGGTTGGGAGTTTGAGACCAGCCTGACCAAAATGGAGAAACCCCGTCTCTACTAAAAATACAAAATTAGCCAGGCATGGTGGCACATGCCTGTAATCCCAGCTACTAGGGAGGCTGAGGCAAGAGAATCACTTGAATCCAGGAGGTGGAGGTTGCGGTGAGCCAAGATCGTGCCATTGCACTCCAACCTGGGCAACAAGAGTGAAACAGGCTGGGCACAGTGGCTCACACCTGTAATCCCGGCACTTTGGGAGGCTGAGGCAGGTGGATCACGAGGTAAGGAGTTCAAGACCAGCCTGGCCAAGATGGTAAAACCTCGTCTTTACTAAAAAATACAAAAAATTAGCTAGGTGCAGTGGCAGGCGCCTGTAATCCCAGCTACTCGGGAGGCTGAGGCAGGAGAATCACTTGAACTCGGAGGGCAGAGGTTGCAGTGAGCCAAGATTGTGCCACTGCGATCTAGCCTGGGTGACAGAGTGAGACTCTGTCTCAAAAAACAAAACAAAACAAAACAAAATTCAATTTTGAGTATGTAGGAATTTCAAGTCACTTTATTTTTATTTTGTTTTTTAAATTTTTTTAATTTTTTATTATTTTTTATTTTATTTTTATTTTTTGAGAAGGAATTTTGTTCTTGTTGCCCAGGCTGGAGTGCAGTGGTGATCCCAGCTCACTACAACCTCCACCTCCCAGGTTCAAGCAATTCTCCTGCCTTAGCCTCCCAAGTAGCTGGGATTACAGGCACCCACCACCACGCCCAGCTAATTTTTGTATTTTTAGTAGAGACAGGGTTTCACCATGTTGGCCAGACTGGTCTTGAATTCCTGACCTCAGGTGATCCACCCACCTCAGCCTCCCAAAGTGCTGGGATTATAGGTGTGTGCCACACGCCTGGCCCACTTTATTTTTTAAAATGGGGTGGGATTTGGAAGACTGAGAGGAGAAAATAGTTAACACAGAAGCCCAAACAGGTTTTTTTTTGGTAGTACAGCTTCAAGAGAAGTAAAGAAAGCTGTAGCAAAAGAAATACTGTACAGGCTCAGAACTGCCTGCCAACATCTGTTAGTGCAGAGGGAGCTAAGCCGATTAAGAGGTGACAGCCAAGTAAGAGTTTTCACTCATGGTTCTGAAGTACATTAACATGTACTGATTCTAGTCTGGGCCAAGGCCATATAACTCTGAGAACTAAGGAGTTTGGGAAATACTACAGTGAATTGGATTGGTTAAATAAAGTTTCCTAGAACATTTTCTATTTCAAGTATTCCAAGAGATACAGTGGGACTATAGAGACAATAGTCAATGATTTGTGTCATTAAATCATGATAGTATTAAACAATTACATAGAGGAATGTACAGGAAAAAAAGCCCCCTAATAAACATATTATCTGCAATAAAGCAATATAAATATATTATCTTCTCACTGAAATTGAGAAAAGGAAAGTTTCTAACAAGGGATGGAAAACAAATTATTTTTACATATTATTGCAAGTTTAAGATATATATGCATATACGGTGTCACTGAAATTCTCTATGTGTCGTCTTTACTGTTTGATGTTTGTGAATGTAAACAATTACAAATGAGAGGCTTTTATAAATTCTTTTTTTATTTTGGAGATGGAGTCTTGCTCTGTTGCCCAGGGTGGAATACAGTGGCGTGATCTTGGCTCACTGCAACCTCTGCCTCCCGGGTTCAAGCAATTCTCCTGCCTCAGCCTCCCGAGTAGCTGGGACTACAGGCATGTGCCACCACACCCAGCTAATTTTTTTGTATTTTTAGAGAGAGAGGGTTTCACCATGTTGGTCAGGCTGGTCTCAAACTGCTGACCTCAAATGATCCTCCCACCTTGGCCTCCCAAACTGCTGGGATTATAGGCGTGAGCCACTGCACCCAGCCTGTAAATTCTTTTAAAAACACAATACCTAGTCTAATTTTCCCCATCAGACTCCAAGTTTCTTAAAATGCCCTATGACTGGGGAGAGTACAATGAACACTTTTTTGTGTCTCCTTGAGGGTAGGGATATTGTGGCATTTTGGTTTTTTTTTTTTTCTGTTTCTATAGCCTTGGTGCCTAGTTCAGGAGTTGGCATAATACATACTCAGTAACTGTGGTAAGCTGATCTCTTCACCCTTTCACTCAGTAAGTAGTATCAAGCAATGGCGAGACAATGGCTGAATAATAATGGTATCTACTGATGAAAAAAAAGAAATGAGGTTTCTCAGAGTTTAGAACCCCATTTCCCCGCACAGCCTTAGCTGGGTTTCTGGGTCTTGCTTACACTTCTAAGTTGTCCATTTCTTTCCTGAGAAAAAAATTTTTTTTTCAAAAGTTGGTACATTCTAGAAAATGCTAGAAAGCAGGGCTGTTTGAATCACTAGAAAAGTTACATGTGGGCTGGGCGCAGTAGCTCATGGCTGTAATCCTAGCACTTTGGGAGGCCAAGGCGGGTGGATCACTTGAGGTCAGGAGTTCAAAACCAGTCTGGCCAACATGGTGAAACCCCATCTCTACTAAAAATACAAAAAAAAAAAAAAAATTAGCTGAGCGTGGTGGTGGACGCCTGTAAACCCACCTACTCAGGAGGCTGAGGCAGGAGAATTGCTTGAACCCGAGAGGCAGAGGTTGCAGTGAGCCAAGATCGCGCCATTGCACTCCAGCCTGGGTGACAGAATGAGACTCTGTCTCAAAAAAAGTTACATGTGAGCCTTCCAGAGAGGCTTGTCTAGACATTTGTCACTATGAGTTTCCCTTCAAACTTACAAGCTATTATGGTAAAAATGCAAACAAAAACACTCTGATATTCTGTGGTTTTTTAAAGTACTGCCATTTTACATGAAATAAATATGTGATATAGAATGTTTACAAAGTTATTAAATGAGATTTGTTAAGTTTCAGTACCAAATTACAATAGTAATTACAAATTATTAAGCATCTACTATCTTTCAGGTAACGAATGGGCCACATGCCTTATAAACATGTCATTTAATTCTCACAAAAATCCTGAAAGGATTCAGGCTCACTTTACAACAGAAGAAAATGAAATTCATGAAGATCAAGGTAATTTGCCCAAAATCCCACAGCTTTTGAGCACTGAAACCCAGTCTGAACTCTATAGACCTTGTGCTCTTAACAATCATGGTGCAGTGCTGGGTATTTTTTTAAAAATCTTGAAACCATTTCTAAACATAAAATTAATAGACAATGTAGTCAGTATCAGTCTGCTAGATCCATATTGCTAAAAGCATTACAAGCTCACGCGCTCTTGTAATACCTACTTATGAATCCAACTATAGCTCAGACTAACATCTTTAGGATTTTAAACTGCTAGTGCTCAGGTCTATCTTCACTTACCTGGGGTGGGGGGCAAGAAGAGCTGCCTTTATAAGCAGGCCATTCAATAATATTTATTGATTGTTCACCATGGGACATAACTGGGCCAGGTGCTGGGAATAAAATAAACAAAACAGATATGATCCCTTCCCTTATGGAGCTTATAGTCCAGTAGGGGAAAGAGTAAATAAGAGAGCAGGCTGCTATATGTAGGCAAACAAAAGGATATAGTTTATATTAAAAGGTCAGGATAGGTCTTTCTCAGAAATAACTTGAAGGCTAAGCTGGATTTGGAATATATGTGTTCGGAGGAGAAAGGGACTAGAGAGCATTTCAGGCAAGGAAGCTGTGTAAAGACCTGCAGCAGACCGGGCGCGGTGGCTCACGCCTGTAATCCCAGCACTTTGGGAGGCCGAGGCGGGCGGATCACGAGGTCAGGAGATCGAGACCATCCTGGCTAACACAGTGAAACCCCGTCTCTACTAAAAAACACAAAAAATTAGCCGGGCGTGGTGGCGGGCGCCTGTGGTCCCAGCTACGCGGGAGGCTGAGGCAGGAGAATGCCGTGAACCCGGGAGGCGGAGCTTGCAGTGAGCCGAGATCGCGCCACTGCACTCCAGCCTGGGCGACAGAGCGAGACTCCGTCTCAAAAAAAAAAAAAAAAAAAAAAAAAAAAAAAAAAAAAAGACCTGCAGCAGGAATGAAATACTCCAAAAAGTCTAAACATGAATTTGATCCTGCCCTCTTAGTATCAGTATCTCCTATAAATTTTCTGAGAAGAAAGTGCAAGGGGAAGAAAGGTGGCTCCAGAAACATCCAGAGATTAGCCATTCCCCTATAAGTCAGTAAGAACGCCATTTGAGGAAGTTGGGTCTAGAAGATCTAGACTATTAAACAATATCTGGGAAACAGTGGACTGCAGGCTGTTCTGGCACACAACAGCAGCCAAGAGGCATGCCAAATATATAATCTGAAAAACTTACGATTCTTTAAAAAATGCTTATGATGGAAATGCATAGCATTCTATGGGAGGAATTTAAAACTCAATTATTTAGGTGAATCTTAGCCTTCAAATGTAACAAAATATAGGTATTGAGAAGTTTAAAATTTCATATTAAGAATGAAAACTTGACAGGAGTGATGGCTGGTACCTGTAATACCAGCTACTTGGCAGGCTGAGGTGGGAGAATTGCTTGAGGTCAAGAGTTTGAGACCAGCCTGGGCAACATAATGAGACCTAATTTCTCTCTCTCTCTCTCTCTCTCTGTTTTTTTTTGGGACAGAGTGAGACTCTGGAGTGCAGTGGCATGATCATGGTTCACTGTAGCCTCGACATCCCGGGCTCAAGTGATCCTCTCACCTCAGCCTCCCAGGTAGCTGGGACTAGAGGCTCACAAGCCACCATGCCCAGCTAATTTTTAAAAAATTGTTTGTAGAGATGGGGTTTCACCATGTTACCCAGACTGGTCTCAAACTCCTGGGCTCAAGCCATCTGTTTGCCTCAGCTTCCCAAAGTGCTAGGATTACGGTCCTGAGCCATGGTGCCCCCCAGTATCTTTTTAAAAAGAAAGAAAGAAAGAGGCCAAGTGTGGTGACTCATGCCTCTAATCCCAGCACTTTGGGAGACTGAGGCAGGGAGATTGCTTTTGAGCTCAAGAGTTCGAGGCCAGCCTGGGCAACATTGTGAAACCCTGTGCCTACAAAAAATACAAAAAGTTAGCCAGGCATGGTGGCGAGTGCCTATAGTCCCAGTTACTCGGGAGGCTGAGGTGGGAGGATTGCTTGAGCCCAGGAAGCAGAGGTTTGCAGCGAGCCAAGATTGAGCCACTGCACTCTAGCCTCGGCAACAGAGTAAGACCCTGTCTCAAAAAAAAAAAAAAAAAAAAAAAAAGAAACAAAAGGAAAGAAAAATCTTCTTAAAACATTAATCTAATCTAATTATGACACTATCTTGTTTACTTCAACAACTTCCTCACTGTTTTGGGCAAGAATTCAAACTCTTTCGTCTGATATCTGGCTCTTCTCCAGTCCTATCTGCTTCTCTGCCTCCTATATTCACACTCCAGCTATAGAAAGTTACCAGTATACATCATACTTTTTCAGAGGATAAAGGATCCAGCTTAAAGGACTTCCATTGGCCAAACTGACAATTTAAGCATGAAAACATTTAAAAATGGATGGTAGGTAGCTAATAGTTACAGTTAATTTAAAATAGAATTATGTTGTAAATATAGTTAACAAGAGTATTGTACATTTCAAAATTGCTAAGAGAGTAAATTTCAAATGTTCTCACCATGAAAAATGTTAAGTATTTGAGGGATGGATATGTTAACCTGTTTAATTTAATTATTCCACATTGTATACATAAATTATAACATCGCTTTGTATCCCATAAATTTATACAATTATAAATTGTTAAATTTACAATAAAAGAAAAGGAATTGTGAAAATCTGTGCATTTATAATGATACTTAAGACATAAAAACTATATATAAAGTGTATTAAAAAGTTTTATCAATGCCTATGAAAAGGGAGAAAATTTAAAGAAAAGTTCTAATGACAAGAAGAATAAGTTGATTTTTTAATTGATTTTTATAAATAGAGTACAAAGGAAACAAAAAAATTAATTATGAAACATATATCTGTTTATAAAATCTGGTTATATATTTATTTCTATCTGTGTAGGCAGAAAAGAATGAATACAGGGAATTGTAAGTAAACCAGACCTTGCAAAAGCAGAAACTATATGAAGAACAAAAAGACTGATCAGCATGAGTATCATCACATAACAATAATGTAGAAAAAGTATCCAACAATTAATCTGCACCAGTGATCATCTGAACACAAAAAGCAACTAGAAACAAGTTTCAATGTTATACTGGAAAATTATAATTTAACCAAACGTCCTAAAATATTAACTAGATTATTCAAATCCTAAGTATGAAGGCTCTCAGTGGCTCTATTAATAATAGTAAGAAATTAATAAGCTATACATAGTCTAATAATTGTAACAAAATATGCCAACATATAATAATGACAAAATAGTGGGTTACATAATGCTGGCAAAGCAAAACCTAAAGAATACATCATTCCAGAGGAAAACTTCAAGGAAAAAAACACATCATTCAGGAAAATTTAAACCCATAAAAGGACTACTAGAATCCTAGGAAAATAAGTATCAAAATAAGTATGTTACAATCAAAATAAGTATGTTATAATCCTAGGAAGATAAGCATGATTAACAACTATCAGCTGGGCACAGTGGCTCATGCCTGTAATCCTAGCACTTTGGGAGACAGAGGCAGGTGGATCACGGGGTCAAGAGATAAGTAAGAGACCATCCTGGCCAACATGGTGAAACCCCGTCTCTACTAAAAATACAAAAATTAGCTGGGTGTGGTGGCATGTGCATGTAGTCCCAGCTACTCGGGAGGCTGAGGCAGGTGAAGTGCTTGAACCCGGGAGGTGGAGATTGGAGTGAACCGAGATGGTGCCACTGCACTCCAGCCTGGCAACAGAGCGAGTCTCCATCTCAAAAAAAAGAAAGAAAAAGAAAAAGAAAAAGAAACAACTATCACATTTATTGGTCATTTAGGGTGACTGAAGCATTGAAAGAACCAGCCATACTAAATTTGTGATAGTAACTTTAATTCCTTTTCTCCCCCCACCGAGATGGAGTCTTGCTCTGTTGCCTAGGCTGGAGTGCAGTGGCGTGATCTCGGCTCACTGCAACCTCCCCTTCCTGGGTTCAAGCAATTCTCCTCCCTCAGCCTCCTGAGTAGCTGGGATTACAGGCACACGCCACCACGCCCAGCTAATTTTTGTATTTTTAGTAGAGATGGGGTTTCACCATGTTGGCCAGGCTGGTCTCAAACTCCTGACCTTGTGATCCCCCTGCCTCGGTCTCCCAAAGTGCTGGGATCACAGGTGTGAGCCACCGCACCTGGCCTATTTTTAAAAGTTAATTTTAAATTGGATTTTTGTTTGTTTGTTTCTTAGATATACGTATTCAATTATTTGAGCCTTAAATACAATGCAAATAGTTCTGAATGTTCCTCTCTGCATACAAAAGGACATTAAAGAATCTAATCAATAGTTCTAAGCATTTTCCATTCAGGGACTGTGTCTTATTTGACTTTATGTCATCAACTCCTAGCACAGAATCTGTGATGTATAGTAGATTCTTAATAAATGTTTTTTCAGGGAAAGCATGAGTGAGAATAATAATTACGAAAACTCAACAAACAAAACAAACTCCAATCTTCCTTACCTGCTTTTTTTTTCCCCTTTTGACCGGGAACAGGTTCTATGCTATCTTGGCCTTTTCTCATCAACATAGCAAGTGATGCATCATAAGCTCTAAACAGGTCCACAACCTCATGTAAGGCAACGTCTGTTATCAGATCACAGCTCAGCACCAGCACATCTGTCTGTTAAATGGAGATGGGAAAAGTCAATATCATAAAGGACAATGGATTACACAAATCATCACAAGACAAAATTAGGATGGCTTAAAACCACACAAATCAGACAATACTCTTCAAGCATTTTTCATAGCCAAACAAGTAAAATAAATGGGGTTGTTCTCATTGAATTGTGCTGGTATAGGGTCTGGAAACTCTACCTCTCCCTTGTGTACCTCAGGAACTGTGTGGGCAGTCCCTGAGACATCTCTGGAACCCTAGGTTCTAAGAAACAGTCTGAAAACCACCACATTGTCTATTTCTATGACTATGGAATATATGATCTTATATTTATACATCTCTTTATAGTTTAAAAGAGCATTTTCACATAGTTTGATGACTTAATATGGCAAAGAACAATCACTTTACTACAGTACTAGGAAATAACAGGATGAACAGAATACAATGCTTCATTCTTAGGAACTTAACATTCTATAGTAAATAATTACAATGTAACCTCAGGTATGTACAAGGCACCCATTCAATCTTATAAAAATAGCATAAGAATGACAGAAAGGCATTGTTATTATTAATATTACTGGCCTCTATTTTTATAGCTGAGAAAAATAAGGCCTGTTACCAGTGTCTGACACACAGTTGGTATTTAATAATTGTTTAACAAATGAATGAATAAATCAACGAAGAAAAGGTTTTCTCTTATTGGTGGGCTTTCTGATTTTATATATATATATATATATATATATATATATATATATATATTTTTTTTTTTTTTTTTTTTTTTTTTTCCAGACAGGGTCTTACTCTGTCACCTAGACTGGAATGCAGCGGTGCGGTCACAGCTCACTGCAGCCTCGACCTGCCAGGCTCAAGTCATCCTCCTGCCTCAGCCTCCCAAGTAGCTGGGACTACAGGTATGTACCACCACACTTGGCTAATTTTTACATTTTTTGTAGAGATGGTGTCTCCCTATGTTGCCTAGGCTAGTCTCAAACTCCTGGGTTCAAATGATCCACTCACCTCGGCCTCCCAAAGTGTTGGGATTATAGGCATGAGCTACCATGCCTGATTATAATTCTAATATCTCAGATTAATTATAATAAAAACTAACAATGATAACTAATGTTTACTGAATGCTTACTATTGGCCAGGAATTGTGATAACACTTTGCAAACATTATTTATTTTATTTTATTTTATTTTATTTATTTATTTTTTGAGACAGAGTCTCCCTCTGTTGCCCAAGCTGGAGTGCACTGGCAAGATCTCGGCTCACGGCAAGCTCCGCCTCCCGGGTTCATGCCATTCTCCTGCCTCAGCCTCCTGAGTAGCTGGGACTACAGGCGCCCGCCACCACGCCCGGCTAATTTTTTTTGTGTTTTTAGTAGAGACGGTGTTTCACCGTGTTAGCCAGGATGGTCTTGATTTCCTGACCTCGTGATCCACCTGCCTTGGCCTCCCAAAGTGCTGGGATTACAGGTGTGAGCCACCACGCCCGGCCTTATTTTTTATTTTAATTTTATTTTTAAATTAAAAAAAAAATAGAGACAGGGTCTCACTATGTTTCTCACTATGTAGTCCAGGTTGGTCTTGAACTGGTGGGCTCAAACAATCCTGTCTCAGCCTCCCAAAGTGCTGAGATTACAGGTGTGAGCCACCACGCCTGGCCAAAAACATATTTCAATCTTCACAACAACCATATGCAGGAAGAACTATCTATATCTATATCTATATCTATATCTATATCTATATCTATATCTATATCTAAATTTTTGTTTTTTTGAGACAGGGTCTTGTTCTGTTACCCAGGCTGGAGTGCAGTGGCATGATCATGGCTTACTGCAGCCTCGACTTCCTGGGCTCAAGTGATCCTCCCACCTCAGCCTCCCTAGTAGCTGGGACTACAGGCGTGCCCCACCACACCTGGCTAATTTTTATTTTTATTTTTAGTAGAGACAGGGTCTTCCTATGTTTCCCAGGCTGGACTCGAACTCCTGGACTCAAGCAATTTGCCCACTTTGGCCTCCCAAAGTGCTAGGAGTACAGGCGTGAGCCACCGCGCCTAGCCCAGAGCTGTTATTATTAGCACTTTACCAACGAAGAAACAGATTTATAGTAGTTATGTAACTAAGATTTAACAATTAGTAATGGCTATTTGTATAACTAAAGAATCTGTATTACTGAATAGTGTTAAAGAAATATAGTTTAGGCTGGGCGCAGTGGCTCATGCCTGTATCCCAGCATTTTGGGACGCCAAGGTGGGCGGAGTGCCTGAGTTCAGGAGTTTGAGACCAGCCTGAGCAACACAGTGAAACCCTATCTCTACTAAAATACAAAAATTAGCCGGGCATGGTGGCACATGCCTATAGTCCCAGCTACTCGGGAGGCTGAGGCAGGAGAATTGCTTGAACCCAGGAGGTGGAAATTGCAGTGGGCCGAGATAGCACCACTGCACTCCAGCTTGGGTGACAGAGCAAGACTCTATCTCCAAAGAAAGAAAAAAAAGAAACATAGTTTAGGGCCAGGCACAGTAGCACATGCCTGTAATCCCAGAGGTGCCTCAGGGAAAGGCAGGTTCTGATTTGCCCTTCGTGAATCAACCAAGGCAGCTCCTCTTTTATTAATTTTATTTTCCAGGCTTCTGGATAAGCTTTGTCTTGGAAAACCAATTATGCTACTTTAAAAAAGTCTAGGCTGGGCAGAGTGGCTCACACCTGTAATCCCAGTGCTTTGGGATGCCAAGGCAGGAGGACTGCATGAGCCCAGGAGTTCAAGGTTAGAGTGAGCTATGATCACATCACTGCACTTCTGCCTGGGTGACAGTGCAAGATGCTGTCTCAAAAAAAAAAAAAAAAGGCCTGGCACAGTGTCTTGCACCTGTAAGCCAAGCTACTCTGGAGGCTGAGGCAGGAGCATCACTTGAGGCCAGGAGTTTGAGGCCAGCCTGAACAACACAGTAAGACCCCATCTCTAAAAATACATAAAACATTTTTTAAATTAGCAAATAAAATTTTTTAAAAGTTAGCCAGGTGTGGTGGCATGCACTTATAGTCCCAGCTACTTGGGAGGCTGAGGCAAGAGGATTGCTTAAACCTCAGAGGAGTTCAAGACTCTAGTGAGCTACAATTACTCCACTGGATTCCAGCCTGGGTGACAGAGTGAGGCCTTGTCTCAAATAAATAAATAGTCTGGAAAACATTGGACCAAATTATTTTGGGTTCAAGAATGAAGTGAGTCTACATGTATTTTTTTTTTTGTAAGTACTCCAAACTTTCCTAATATTTTAATTTAAAATCATGATTCCTGGTTTGGGTGGGAAAATGGATGATTTCAACTCATAGTCTACCAAATCAAAGAGTCTTGTTTGCTCAGAAAGTGAGACTCAACCATCAGAATGCCTTATGTTACTGCCTGAAATTTCTTATTCTGAATATAGAATCTGCAACAGAATCACCATTTCTTTTTCCACATGTAACTTGTTATTTATAGCCTGAACAATTTCTTTTGAAGGCCTTTTAAAGTTAAGCTCAAATTCGGATTGTTTCCTACTCTTCTGCTTAAGGCTCTCTAAATTCTTTTTAGATTTTAACTCTGAGACTAAAAAAAAAAAAAGTTCCCACTGGGCGCGGTGGCTCACACCTGTAATCCCAGCACTTTGGGAGGCCGAGGCGGGTGGATCACAACGTCAGGAGATCGAGACCATCCTGGCTACCATGGTGAAACCTCGTCTCTACTAAAAGTACAAAAAATCAGCAGGGCGTGGTGGCAGGCGCCTGTAGTCCCAGCTACTCGGGAGGCTGAGGCAGGAGAATGGCATGAACCCAGGGGGCGGAGCTTGCCGTGAGCCGAGATCGCGCCACTGCACTCCAGCCTGGGTAACAGCGCAAGACTCCGTCTCAAAAAAAAAAAAAAAGTTCCCATAAACATCTCTTTAGGAAAAAAAAAAACCCTACACCTGCAACTCACCATGCAGGAAGCAGCAAACGTGAACAAATCAGACCACATACATACAAACTAAAGAAACAGCCTGCAGAATCCTACTTAGAACAATGCTTAGAAAGACAAGGAGACAAATCATTACTAAAGACATTCACAGAGTTGTCATTACAACAGTACAGAAGTTGCCCCATTTCATCAGAATGAAAATGACAATTTGCTGAGGAAAAAAATCCCCTTTCTATTTTTCTAAGTTTCTCTAATAAGATGGCTGTTTTTTTGCAAGTTTACTGATCTACAATAAATTGAACTATTAAGTATACTCCAAAATCAAGAAAATGACTCCAATGCAGATGCCTCAGAAGTGGTAACAATGTTGTCTTGGCAAATAAATGCTGTTATCATTCGATATCTGCAAAAGTGTTTAAATCTGTCAGTACAGTGAATGCCAAACAAGTCCTGCATAATTGTGAACAGGCTGTAGGCTCATTTCTCTCTTTGCGTTTTGATGACTTTTTGCTAAACTGAATGCAAAATCCCCAAGGATCACAAGGAACAGACCCCTCCACTCAATGTCTGGTTGCCATCTGTTCTTAGTGTGAAAAGAAAGGCGTGGGTCTGAAAGAACAGGGCCTAGCATACAGACGGAGGTGCTGTTCCATCAGCCCCTCTCCTGCCTCTGTTCCCAGAGAATGCACCATGTAAGAGTCACTGAGACCAAACACATCTCATCCTCTGTGCAACTCCATCACTTCCAAAGGAAAGTGTTTGTTGTCTGATCAATTTCCAAAGCTGGAAATCTCAGAAGAAGAAAGAAAGGAAAGCTAAATCACACTTATACCTTCATAATACCTTTTTTTTTTTGAGACAGGGTCTCAGTCTGTTGCCCAGGCTGGAGTGCAGAGGTGTGATCATAGCTCACTGTAACCTCAAATTCTTGGACTCAAGCATCCTACCACCTCGGCTTCCTAAGTAGCTGGGACTACAGGCACCACATGCCACTATGTCCACTAATTTTAATTTCTTCTTCTTCTTCTTTTTTTTTTTTTTTTGTAGAGACGGGATCTCACTATGTTGCCAGGGCTGGTCTCAAACTCTTAGGCTCAAGTGATCTTCCTGTCTCAGCCTCCCAAAGTGCTGGAATTACAGGCATAAGCCACTGAGCCTGGCCTGATTTTATAAACGCTGTAACAGAAAGAAATGATCATTGTTTTTATTTTTATTCTAAAATGTAAAGCCCATTCTAGGAATGCAAATGGCTTTCTAGTAACTGGAGCCCAGAGAGAGAAAGTAGAAAAACTGATAAGACCCAGAGAAGTATTTTTGATCATGTGTGACCACAAGCCATGAATAAACATGGACTGTTTGGACTGTGAAGCAACTGTGTGTCAGAAATGCAGTTAATTTTAAAGTTCCCTGAACATGCCAACACTCAGCTGCCTTTGTTTCATGGACCCACTTCTTTTCTAATGCCAACAGTATGCCTCTTCTGCAGAGACCAACTGGCCTCTCCAAAGATCTCCCTACTCACTATTCCAACAGTCATTGGTATGCCTCATCCCAAGCCTGCTCCTCTAGAGAAGCCAGGGCAATGTCAAGGGCAGAAAGCACAACTCAGAAGGAAAGCAGATGTGTGCACTCTTGACAATATAGAAACATGCAAGGTTTCAAGGGAAGGCAGCACTTTAGTGTTTAAAGTGTCCAAAACACCCAGGAATTCAAAATCCAAACTGCTGCCAGTTAGTCTTGACTAAAGTAAACAAATTAAGCTCAGAAAACCCAATTACCAAGCCATGGCAAAGCCCAGAAATCTCTCATTACAAGAACATTTTCGATCAAGCCAAAACCACTGAGTAAAATTAGAGGGGAAAAAAGGTTAAATCAGAAAACCGGATGTGTGTGTGTGTGGCTGTAGTGGTGGGGCGGGAGGTGAGGAGAGCTACTGGGAATAGCCTCTTTTCTTTTCCTGGCAGCTGTTCCATGACAGATTGTTATAAATAACACAATCTGGCAACCGATTTCTTATGACAAGGAGAAAGAAAAACACATTTACTCCCTTGGAAAAAAACTGTCAGGGCAAGGTAACTACCATGCTTCTCTACTCACCCAGTGCTTCCACAAATAATGGCTATGATCCAAATCACCAGCCTGCATGCCACCCCTGCCCATATGGAACTCATGAATTCAGCTACTTGGTGTGACTATGAAGGTCACATTTTACATTTTCCTATGTGGTCCAATCCCAGTCAAATCCCCAAGAGTAGTTTGTGTGCTTTTTCTTTTCTTTTCTTTTTTTTTAGACAAGGGGTCTCCCTATATTGCCCAGGCTGGTCTCAAACTCCTGGACTCAAGCAATCCTCCTGCCTCAGCCTCCCAAAATGCTGGGATTACATGCATGAGCCACTGCACCTGGCATAGTTTGTGTGCTTGAATAAACACCAAAGGCTAACTGCAATGGAGACCTCAGTTTTGGTTTAAAATGCTTGGAAAAGATTCCAGTCTATAGTCCTCAAAGTGCAAGGCCAAGGGCCAACTGCCACATTGTTTTCACTGAGGTTGGGGCAGTAGCTCTAGGAAGGGAAATGACCAACTCAGTCAGTAAGTAAGAAATGTGATAATCCTTGGGCTCACAGCTAAATATCCTTACTATATTCCTTAGTTTAATCATGCTGTTGCTACCATCCAGAATCTGATGCCAGAAATCCGCCCATAGTCCAGGATGGAAGTCCTTCCTCTCCTGCCCTGTCCCCTACTCTTCCCCTATTGCACTGCCTTAGTTCAGGTCTCAAAATCTTCTTCCAGTCTCTTGGCTGGTGTCTCTCTTGCTCCAGTTTTCCCTTATTCTAATCCATACTCTAATTTCTACTGCATATGTCTTTTCCCTGCTCAAAGACACCCTAAAACAGTGTTTTCCAAACATCAAAAAAGTTGAACTTATTGCCACTTACCTTAAAATTTTTAAAAAAATATATAGATCACTATAATATGATATGCTCTTTATATAATATATATAAAGATAGACATTTAAAAAGGAATAAATAAAACATTTAAAAACAAGAAATTCTAACATTTTCCTCTGGTACTTAATTCTGTACACCACCTGGCTTTGAGTACAGCCTATTTTGGAGATTGCTGCTCAACAAGATTAAGTTGGAATTCCTTAGCATGATTTTAAGGGTCTTCAAAATATGACTCCACCTACCTAATTCAGTCTTCTCTCCCCCAACTCCCCTCCACATAGCCAATGTTAACTTTTTCTTTTCTTTTCTTTTCTTTTTTTTTGAGAAAGAGTCTCGCTCTATTGCCCAGGCTATTGCCCAGGCTGGAGTAAAATGGCACGATCACGGCTCACTGCAACCTCCGCCCCCCGAGGTTCAAGCAATTCTTGTGCCTCAGCCTCCCAAGTAGCTGGGATTACAGGTACATGCCACCATGCCCAGCTAATTTTTACATTTTTAGTACAGACAGTGTTTCGCCATGTTGGCCAGGCTAGTTCTCAAACTCCTGACCTCAAGTGATCCTCCTGCCTTGGCTTCCTCAGGTGCTGGGATTACAGGCATGAGCCACTGCACCTGGCCGCCAGTGTTAATTTGATAGAGTCGACTGCCAAGAATGTATACCCTAGTCTGTCTTCCTACTCTATTATATATTTATCCATCAAAATTCAGGTCTTGTCACAGTTACTAGAAAGGGCAGAGCCGATATATTATCTCCCCTAGAGATGATGCATTTTCTGATCCATTACAGACCTTAAATCACTAATTGGATTACATATATATTTTTTCCATCTAGACTTTGAGCTCCATAAGGAGCCCTTTTATCTTTGTATATTCAGAGTTCAACCTAGTGCTGGCAAACACGCATGAGTAAATGTTAGTACTTTTCCTGTTATCTCCTTCTCTTTGTTTAATTTGACTCAAATATTAAAACATCTGATTTTAAATGTTTAGAAACAGTATACATTCTGACAGAGGTGAATGCTCCCTTTGTAGAGACTGACTGTTCAGAGTTAGGACAGGGGCCACAGAGACAACTTTGCAGTTCCCTAATGCAAGAAGGTAGGAAATGAACCTGCTACTACCAAAGAAGCAAAAGGCAGAGATGTCTGAAAGGAAAGAAGTCAAAAGCAGCTGTCCTGGAGGGCACGGCTGAAGAATGATGATATGCTTGCTAGATTTACAACTTAAAATGAAGGCTCAACATTTATGGTTCTAATATTCATAATTCATTCACGTCCTCCAAGGAAATTTTCCTCTTCAGATTAAGAACAAATAGAGGAATTATATTCTTCCTTACTGTGTGAAGCTAGGAAAGAAGCACCTATATTAATTTTTAATTATGTTCAAATGAGTTCCCTATAAAAATGCCTGTCACGTCTCTTCTAGGATTTAGATATATGCAATTTAATTTTCATCTCTAAATGCACTGACTTGGAATAGAAAAAAACAAGAGATTTTTTTTGTTCTCCCAAATCAAACTTTCACTCTAAAGGGAAGTTCATAACAATGAGAAAAAATACAACTAATAAATCTTTTTAAAACTTAGGGTTGGCTGAGCACAATGGCTCATGCCTGTAACCCCAGCATTTTGGGAGGCCAAGGTGGGAGAACTGTTTGAGGCCAGGAGTTTGAAACCAGCCTGGGCAACATAGCGAGACCTTATCTCTACAAAAAATTTTAAAAATTAGCCAGGCATGGTGGTGCATGCCTGTAGTCCCAGCTACTTGAGAGGTTGAGGCAGGAGGATCATTTGAGCCCAGGTTTCAGGCTGCAGTAAGCTATGATTGTGCCATTGCACTCCAGCACCCGTGACAGAGTGAGATCGTGTTTCTAAAAAACAAACAAACAAAACAGAAAATTCAAGAAGTAACAATTTTAGCATGTTATTTAGAGACATACAGATAAAAAACAAAGTAGCTAAAAGAAGAGAACCTTTCGGGTTAGGGATATGGGGTGGGGGTGGTCAGGGGACTAATATTTTTAGGAACAAAGCTTGAACTATTGAATTATTTAAATTATTAAATTATTAATTTATTAAATGATATTGAATTATTTAAATGATATATACATATAACTTCAATAAGTATAAGGTGTTTATTTATTTATTTATTTTTTGAGACAAGAGTCTTGCTCTATCGCCCAGACTGGAGTGCAATGGTGCGATCTTGGCTCACTGCAACCTCCACCTCTGGGGTTCAAGCGATTCTTGTGCCTCAGCTTCCAGAGTAGCTAGGATTACAGGCATGTGTCACCACACCTGGCTGATTTTTGTATTTTCAGTAGAGACAGGATTATGCCATGTTGGCCAGGCTGGTTTCAAACTCCTAGCCTCAAGTGATCCACCCACCTTGGCCTCCCGAAGTGTTGGGATTACAGGCGTAAGCCACTGCACCTGACCAGTATGAGTTTTTTAAAAAAGACATTAGGACTATTTTCTTATCTCTGTTTTTTAAAAAAATTACTTCAGTGACTTTAACATCCTTATGGCTGAGACTCCATGACCTCATCACGTTCAATTATTTTTTTTCTCCTTCTCGCCTTAGTCACTCAACCACTTTGTTATACTCTACTCCTTGGCATTACCAAAAATTGCACCAACTCCAAAATCTCACTTTAAAATATCATATTAATTCATGTGACACACATATATTGAACCCTGAATATGGCCAGGCATTATAGAGATACAGCAATGAACAAACAAACAAAAATCCCTGACCTCAAAAAGCTTACATCCTATTGTCTGATCACCACCTTCTATTTTTCCAACTCACTGACTTTTTACTCTGGCTCCAGCAATTCTGATTCTAACAGGATCCTCAATCCATTTGTTACACTGATTTATAGCACCCTAATTCCTTTGGTGGTCTCGTTTACACAGCTTATGTGGTCCATCACTATAAATACTCCTTAATATACATCACTGTCTTCCTTACTACTCTCATCCCTTGTACTCACCAGGTAAAGATGCTAGTTATATCCTAACTCTCTGCCTACTTTGCATATGAACCCAAGAAGCTAAACATGGATAGAAAACTGGTAACAGCATTGGCTAGTCTCCTTTTAAACTGATAACCCAAATCTCAAGGGGATCCTTCACACTGTCCAGCAATACATTTCCTAGCCAATTAACTTTTACATTCTCAGAGATAATTTCATATATTCTCATCCTTCCTTAAAACTTCAGCAGCTTCTCCCTTCCTCTTTTTTTTTTTTTTGAGACGGGGTCTCGCTCTGTCACCCAGGCTGGAGTGCAGTGGCTCAATCTCAGCTCACTGCAGCCTCCGCTTCACAGGTTCAAGCAATTCTCCCACCTCAGCCTCCCGAGTAGCTGGGATTACAGGGGCGCACCACCATGCCTGGCTAATTTTTTTTTTTTTTTTTTTTTTTTTTGAGACGGAGTCTCGCTCTGTTGCCCAGGCTGGAGTGCAGTGGCGGGAACTCGGCTCACTGCAAGCTCCGCCTCCTGGGTTCACGCCATTCTCCTGCCTCAGCCTCCCAAGTAGCTGGGACTACAGGCGCCCGCCACTACGCCCGGCTAATTTTTTTGTATTTTTAGTAGAGACGGGGTTTCACCGTTTTAGCCAGGATGGTCTCGATCTCCTGACCTCGTGATCCGCCCGCCTCGGCCTCCCAAAGTGCTGGGATTACAGGCGTGAGCCACCGCGCCCGGCCCTAATTTTTGCATTTTTAGTAGAGATGGGGTTTCGCCATTTTGGCCAGGCTGGTCTTGAACTCCTGATCTCAGGTGATCCACCTGCCTCGGCCTCCCAAAGTGCTGGGATTACCAGCGTAAGCCACTGAGCCTGGCCCTACTGACTCTTAACTGGTGGCTTTACATCTTATTTCAATAAGAAAATACAAGCAATTAGAAGCAGCAAACATCTTTCTGACACAAAATTAATTAATCTATATGCATTACATATTATACATTCTGCCTGTACAATAAATTAAATGTCTTTTCTCCAATTTTTTTTTTTTTTTTGAGACAGAGCCTCACTGTCACCCAGGCTAGAGTGCAGTGGCGTGATGTCGGCTCACTGCAAGCTCCGCCTCCCGGGTTCACGCCATTCTCCTGCCTCAGCCTCCCGAGTAGCTGGGACTACAGGCGCCCGCCACCACGCCCGGCTAATTTTTTGTATTTTTAGTAGAGACGGGGTTTCACTGTGTTAGCCAGGATGGTCTCGATCTCCTTACCTCGTGATCCGCCCGCCTCGGCCTCCCAAAGTGCTGGGATTACAGGCATGAGCCACCACGCCTGGCCGTCCTTTCTCCAATTTAAGGGAAACCCATCCACTCGTGCACCAGATCACAGTCCCTCTCATCTACTCTAAAAATGCCACAAGGGCAGGAACTTTGTTTTACTCACTGTTCATCCTAAGCATACATCATACAGTGATTAGTTCCTTGTAGGTAGCAAAAATATAGTTGTTGAATCGAATAATTGAATGCTTTATTTTCTCTATCATCAATTTATTCCTCTCCTCTTTGGGATCACTCCCGTCAGTATAGAACATACAAAAATACCTACCTTAAAAAAAACCCAACTTGCCTCCATAAGTGTAAAAAAAAAAAAAAAACCAGAAAACACACAATTTATTTTTATAAGCTGGGCAAGGAAGCACTTATTTATATCACATTCTTTTATAGGTATGAAATTTTTCATTGAAAAAAAAGAAAAAAAAAAGAACCAGCCTCACTCTGGTCCAATTTCTGGTCCAATTTCTGCCCTGTTTTTCTTCTTCCTTCATATCATAATTTCTCAAAAAAAGTTAGCTGTCTCACTGTCTTCATTTTCTCATTCCTCTCCCATTCTCTCTAATCAGGCTTTTGTCCCTACCACTCCAGCAAGGGTTTAAGTCATCACTGAACCTAACTTGCCAATTCTCTTTATTAATATCAGTTCTTGCCGGGTGCAGTGGCTCACGCCTGTAATCCCAGCACTTTGGGAAGCTAAGGTGTGCATATCACTTGAGCCCAGGAGTTCGAGATCAGCCTGGGCAACATGGCGAAAAAAACACAAAGACTTAGCCATCTCTACAAAAAATACAAAAATTTAGCCAGGTGTGGTGGTGTGTGCCTGTAGTCCCAGCTACCAAGGAGGCTGAGGTGGGAAGACTGCTTGAGCCCAGGAGGTCGAGGCTACAGTGAGCCATGATCACATCACTGCACTTCAGCTTGGGCACTGGAGTGACATTCTGTCTCAAAAATAAATTATTAAAATAACAACAGCATTTACAACAGGCATGTCAGTCACATCAATAAATGGAAATGAGCATAATTCACTCATTGAAAGCAAAAGGTTTTCAATTTGCTTGAAAGTAAAATCTAATTCTATGCTGTATGCAAGAGACAGACCTAAATCAGAGATTTAGAAACGCTAAAAAATTTTTAAAAAGCAAAGATATACCAGGCAAATGGAAACAATAAGAAAGTGATCCTGCTATCAGACAAAGTAGAATTACGCCAAAATCATTAAATAAAACAAAGGTTATTTTATAATGCTAGAAGCCAAAATTAAAAGTGAAAATACAATAGTTCTTCATATCTATGCAGCAAAAAAGACAAAACAACTCATATAAAGCAAAAACATCAGGAGATGAATTACGAAATCAATAGAATTGTCTTGGCTATATGGGCTCTTTTTGGTTCCATATGAAATTTAAAGTAGTTTTTCCTAATTTTGTGAAGAAAGTTAATGGTAGCTTGATTTGAATCTATAAATTACTTTGGGCAGTATGGGCATTTTCACAATATTGATTCTTCCTATCCATGAGCATGGAATGTTTTTCCATTTGTTTGTGTCCGCTCTTATTTCCTTCAGCAGTAGTTTGTAGTTCTCCTTGAAGAGGTCCTTCACATCCCTTGTGAGTTGGATTCCTAGGTATTTTATTCCCTTTTTAGCAATTGTGAATGGGCGTTAACTCATGATTTGGCTGTTTATTATTGGTGTATAGGAATGCTTGTGATTTTTGCACATTGATTTTGTATCCTGAGACTTTGCTGAAGTTGCTTATCAGCTTAAGGAGATTTTGGGCTGGGACGATGGGGTTTTCTAAATACACACCCATGTCATCTGCAAATAGAGACAATTTGACTTCCTCTCTTCCTATTTGAATACCTTTATTTCTTTCTCTTGCCTGATTGCCCTGACCAGAACTTCCAATACTATGTTGAATAGGAGTGGTGAGAGAGGGTATCCTTGTCTTGTGCTGGTTTTCAAAGGGAATGCTTCCAGCTTTTGCCCATTCAGTATGATATTGGCTGTGGGTTTGTCATAAATAGCTCTTATTATGAGATACGTTCCATCAATACCTAGTTTACTGAGAGTTTTTTAGCATGAAGGGGTGTTGAATTTTATTGAAGGCTTTTTCTGCATCTGTTAAGAAATCATGTGGTTTTTGTCATTGTTTCTGTTTATGTGACAGATTATGTTTATTGATTTGCATACGTTCAGCCAGTCTTGCATCCCAGGGATGAAGCCGACTTGATTGTGGTGGCTGGAGGCATCATGCTACCTGACTTCAAACTATACTACAAGGCTACAGTAACCAAAACGGCATGGTACTGGTACCAAAACAGATATATAGACCAGTGGAACAGAGGCCTCAGAAATAACGCCGCACATCTACAACCATATGATCTTTGACAAACCTGACAAAAACAAGAAATGAGGAAAGGATTCCCTATTTAATAAATGGTGTTGGGAAGACTGGCTAGCCATATGTAGAAAGCTGAAACTGGACCCCTTTCTTATACCTTATACAAAAATTAAATCGAGATGGATTAAAGACTTAAACGTAAGACCCAAAACCATAAAAACCCTAGAAGAAAACCTAGGCAATACCATTCAGGAGATAGGCATGGGCAAAGACTCCACGACTAAAACACCAAAAGCAATGGCAACAAAAGCCAAAATTGACAAATGGAATCTAATTAAACTAAAGAGCTTCTGCATAGCAAAAGAAACTATCATCAGAGTGAACAAGCAACCTACAGAATGGGAGAAAATTTTGCAATCTATCCATCTGACAAAAAGGCTAATATCCAGAATCTACAAGGAACTTAAACAAATTTATAAGAAAAAAAAACCCCATCAAAAAGTGGGCAAACGATATGAACAGACACTTCTCAAAAGAAGACATTTATGTGGCCAAGAAACATATGAAAAAAAGCTCATCATCACTGGTCATTAGAAAAATCCCAATCAAAACCACAATGAGATACCATCTAATTTCAGTTAGAATGGCGATCATTAAAAAGTCAGGAAACAACCAGATGCTGGAGAGGATGTGGAGAAACAGGAATGCTTTTACACTGTTGGTGGTAGTGTAAAATAGTTCAACCATTGTGGAAGACAGTGTGGTGATTCCTCAAGGATCTAGAACCAGAAATATACCATTTGACCCAGCAATCCCATTACTGGGTATATACCCAAAGGATTATAAATCATTCTACTATAAAGACACATGCACACGTATGTTTACTGCGGCACTGTTCACAATAGCTAAGACTTGGAACCAACCCAAATACCCATTGATGATAGGCTAGATAAAGAAAATGTGGCACTTATACACCATGGAATACTATGCAGCCATAAAAAAGGATGAGTTCATGTCCTTTGCAGAGACATGGATGAAGCTGGAAACCATCATTCTTAGCAAACTAACACAGGAACAGAAAACCAAACACTGCATGTTCTCACTCATAAGTGGGAGTTGAACAATGAGAACACGTGGACATAGGGAGAGGAACATCACACACCAGGGCCTGTCGGGGGGTGGGGGGACTAGGAGAGGGATAGCATTAGGAGAAATACCTAATGTAGATGTGGGCTGATGGGTGCAGCAAACCACCATGGCACATGTATTCATATGTAACAAATCTGCAACTTAAAGTATAAAAAAAAATCAATAGAAACCACTAATAATAAGGAGCTTTAACACACTACTATTAGTAAAAGATAGATGAAGCAGATAAAAAATAAAAATGGATATAGAAAATTTAAAAATATGATCAATAAGATCTTATGGCTATATATACATATATGTATATATGTGTGTATATAAATTGACTCAGCTTGGGAATTTAGTATATGATAATCGTGAAACTTAAATAACAAGGGCAAAATGAATATTTTAATAAATGGTGATGGGAAACTGAATAAGCATTTGGAAAAAGGATAAAATTAGATTCACTGTTCATACCGTACACAAGACAAACATCAAATGGATCAGAGACCTAAATGTAAAAAAGTGAAACTATACAAGTACTAGAAGGAAACAAAAGTAGGTTTCTCTATAACCTAAATGTGGGAAGAAACTTTCTAATTGTTATTCAAAATCCAGATGAATTAAAGATTGTTAAATTTGACTACATAAATATAAAAACAAGGCTGGGAGTGGTGGCTCATGCCTGTAATCCCAGCATTTTGAGAGACCAAGGTGGGAGGATTACTTGAACTCATGAGTTCGAGACTAGCTAGCCTAGGCAACATCCAGACCCTGTCTCCACAAAAAAGAAAAAAAATTAGCCGGGTATGGTGACGTGTGCCTGTATTTCCAGCTACTCAGGAGGCTGAGGTAGGAAGATCACCTGAGCTCAGGGGATGGAGGCTGCAGTAAGGCGAGATCGTGCCATGGCACTCTAGCCTAGGCGACAGGGCAAGACCTAAAAGTTTTCTATGCCCCCAAACACCACAAAGTCAAAAGACATCAAACTGCTACAGTTACAGAACTTCTAAAATTCAAGAAGGAAAACAACAAAAACTGAAGGTACTTTTAAAATTGAGAAAAAATAAAGTACATGAACAATTTACAAAGAAAGATCATAATGTATTCAATTTTTAAATGGTCCTTAAACATATAAAAAGATATTTAACTTCACTCATAATAAGAAAAATGCAGCTCACACCTGTGATCCCAGTACTTTAGGAGGCAGAGGCAGGCAGATCACTTGAGCTCAGGAGTTCGAGACCAGCCTGGCCAACATGACAAAACCTGGTCTCTACTAAAAATACAAAAATCAGCTGGGCGTGGTGGCATGTGCCTGTAATCCCAGCTACTTTGGAGGCTGAGGCAGGATAATCACTTGAACCTGAGAGGTGAAGGCTGCAGTGAGCTGAGATTGCGCCATTGCATTCCAGCCTGGATGACAGAGCAAGACTCCGTCTCCAAAAAAAAAAGAAAAATGCAAATTAAAATTCAAATGACTCTGAGCTACCATTTCTCACCAATTAGACTGGTGAGTCCATGTGGAAATAAACACTGTCATATATTGTTGCTAGGAATGCTAACTAGTACAACACTTTTGGATGGAAATTTGGTCATTTTTAACAAAGCTACACATGCAGTTTTATCCTTTGACCCAGTAATCCCACTTGTAAGAATTTATCATGCAACAATACCACTACTAATTGCAAAGTTATTCATTGCAGCAAAATATTGGAAGCTACCTAAAAACCCAACCATAGGAGTTGGTTGAGTAAAATATGTACAATGACTTTTTTTCCTTTCCATTTTGGTGGGCCGGTTGAAGATGAAATCCACTGAGAAGGGAAGGCCTGGGTCTTCAGCACCCTGTGTGCCAGTCCAGAACTGGCCTATCTACAGACCCCCTGAAAATCAAATGGGCTTGGATTTGGACATTCTCAATAAAAAGGGTTAAAGGCTGATGGGACCTAAAGCCTGGTACTTGAATTTTGATCAAGATACGCTGCCTTAAGTTCTCTTCATTACACAGATGATCCTAGGTAATTGATAGATCCTGTGGTTCAACTTGATTTCTAGATAGAAGCTGGATTCATGTGATGCCAGAGAAGTAAAATTTTAAGAGACCGAAACCAGATCGGAGTCTCACTGTTCCAGTCTGGACCTCTTTGGTGCTGTAAATCCTGGATATACAGTAGATGATTACTGCGTTTTTCTTTTATGGGCTGTCTTTAGCTTCTGGAGACCTCACTATCCTATTATGTCTTTGTGTGAAGACATGCTACTTTGTAATTATCAAAAGTGTGGCATCAAACTCTATGGCTATGCATGGGTCACTGCCTGCTCTCACATATTCTGTGATCAGCATGGCAGTGGTGAGTTTAGTCGCTCACCAGCTATCTGTGCTGCCTGAAACAGTACCCTTTCTGGAAAGCTAGATATTGTCCGCACAGAACTCAATCCATCAGAGAAATATAAAGCTATGGTATTGGCAGGACTGCGACAAGAGATCGTGTTGGACGTTAGCTCCTGAGCAGTGGGCTTCTGGACATATCAGGTACATCAGGAACATCTCTATCAAGAACACAATTTCATCAAGGCTGAGGGCCATCTGAAACAGACGGAGAAAATATATACTCAGCAAATACAAAGCGAGGATGTAGAATTGACCTCTATGAAAGGGGAAGTCACCTCCATGAAGAAAGTGCTAGAAGAATACAAGAAAAAGTTCAGTGACATCTGAGAAACTTATGGAACGCCATCTTCAGCATCAAAAGCTCCAAGGCCTCTATGATAGCCTTAGGCTACGTAACATCCCTATTGCTAACCGTGAAGGCACCCTTGAACCATCTACGATTGCACAGTCTGGTGTTTTTGGCTTCCCATTAGGAATAACAACTCCAAGTTTCCTTTGGATAGTACACCTGTTTAAATCAGGGTGATGGAGATGGAGATTTTCAGTTCAGACCTTTTTTTTTGTGGGTTCTTCCACAGCACCTGAAACCAGCAACAGCTTATTTAGTTTTGCCTCTCCTCTCTGAGTGGTGAATTAGAGCAGCAGCAATTTCTAGCAGGGCCTTCAAAGTAAAAAGAATTTGAGCCAGGCATGGTGTCACACACCTGTGATCCCAGCTACTTAGGAGACTGAGGCTGGGAGGATCACTTGAGCCCAGGAGTATGACACTGTAATGATCTAAGATCATGCCACTGCACTCCAGCCTGGGCAACAGAGTGAGACCCTATTTCTAAAAAACGTAAAGATAATTTAGCTAACTTTACAGAATGTTTCCAGGTTCACCTTCAGTAATTTCATTTAGCAAATCTTTTATCTAGATACGACTCCCCAGCCTCCCTGTGCTTTTAAGTCTCTGAAGTTGTCATCAAATTATCAACATAACAAACTCATTGGCAATGGGGAATGGTTTAGAGTCTGGTTTCTCTGTTCCTATTAATTAAAGCATGAGCATTTTATTAATCTCAATTTCATTGTGAACTGCTGAATCTTCATCCCTAGTGAGAAGGTCACAATAGTATTTGTTTCAACTCTGGGCTGTTTCTGACTGAGCTGTGTTGTTTATGCCTTAAGTACCTGTGTTATATGCTACACGTCACTTTGAATTCTAGTATTTATGCATATCTGTATATGTAAGTGTGTTAATTTACACTGATATTTTGCTGTATTTGCCAGTATGTTTATGTGAAAATTGGAAAATGGTGGGTGATATGTGGCTTGTTATTTGGGTATGTGTATTTATTTGTATATATTTATGTATTTACCTTCATATTAACTTGTTTGGAGGTGTGCTTATGTCAGTGAATGAGAGTACAATTTGATGCATGTATGTTCAGTCCCTATATGTATTTAAAAATAACTCACATTGATAAAGTTATTTTTTAAAGTTGACTTTTTTGACATTTACAGTTGGCCCTCTGTATCTGCAGGTACTGCATCTGCAGATTCAGCCAACCATATATCAAAAATATTCGAGAAAAAATAAAAATAATAATATAACAATAAAAAATACAAACTAAAAACTAATACTGTTTAAAAACCAATACTGGGCCGGGCGTGGTGGCTCACATCTGTAATCCCAGCACTTTGGGAGGCCGAGGCAGGCGGATCATGAGGTCAGGAGATCGAGACCATCCTGGCTAACACGGTGAAACCCCGTCTCTACTAAAGATACAAAAAATTAGCCAGGCGAGGTGGCGGGCGCCTGTAGTCCCAGCTACTCCGGAGGCTGAGGCAGGAGAATGGCGTGAACCCGGGGGCGGAGCTTGCAGTGAGCCGAGATCGCGCCACTGCACTCCAGCCTGGGCAACACAGCGAGACCCCGTCTCAAAAAAAAAAGACAAAAAACCAATACTGGATAACAACTATTTGGATAGCATTTACACTGTAGATATTATAAATAATTTAGAGGTGATTTAAAGTATTTGGGAGAACTTGTAGGTTATATGCAAATACCATGCCATTTTATAAAAGCAACATGAGCATCCAAGGATTTTGGTATCTGTGAGGGTTCCTGGAACCAATACCCCAAAGATACCAAAGGACGACTGTATTTTAAAATAAAGCTACTTCTTTCCTTACCTTTTTGTCAACTGTTGCCTTTGGTTTACTTATTCAGGAATATACTTCTGCAGAAAGTTTACCAATGTGTTACTGATCTCAAGAGACTGTATTAAAATAATTTAAAAGATTTTTAAAAATATATGTACAATGAGGTACTATGTAGCTGTTAAAAAAAAAAAATCTGGTCAAGCAGTTTCTTACACTTGTCATCCTAGCAGTCTGGGAGGCTGAGGCAGGAGGATTGCTTGAGGCCAGGACTTCAAGAGCAGCCTGGACAACAAAGCAAGACCCCCTTTCTACAAAAAATAAAAAAAAGATCAGCTGGGAGTGGTGGTGAGTACCTCTAGTCCCAGCTACAGGCTTGAGCCCAGGAAGACGAGGCTGCAGTGAGCCATGATCATGCCACTGCACTCCAACCTGGGCAACAGAGTGAGACCCTGTCTCAAAAAAAAAAAAAAAAAAAAGTCTCCATTAACTGAAATGGAGTGATTTCCAGGATATACTGTCAAGTGAAAAACAGGGCCGGGTGCATTGGCTCATCACACCTGTAATCCTAGCACTTTAGGAGGCAGAGGCAGGAGGACTGCTTGAGCCCAGAAATTTGAGACCAGCCTGGGTAACATAGCAAGACCTCATCTCCACAAAAATAATTTTTTAAATTAGGCAGGTGTGGTGGTGTGTGCCTGTATTCCCAGCTACTTGGAGCTGAAGTGGGAAGATCGCCTTGTTTATTTCTCTCTCCTTATAGAGTAGATCTAAGAGGACAGGTATCTTTTTTATCTGGATTACCACTATATTTATAGCATCTCTGAATAGGATATATACTAAGTATTCAACACATATTTGTTGAATAAGCTAAAAATATTAATATTTTATAGATGAATCAAATGCAAGTTTGAAAGGGACTCATAACTTCCAAGGTCACATAGCTAGTGAATGACAGAACAAGAATTATCTATCTAGGTCTACCTCTCTTATGAAAGCCTGTGTTCTTTTCACCACATCACCCTACCTTATCACAAAAAATAAAATAATCCTGCCAGGCACAGTGGCTCACACCTGTAATCCCAGCACTTTGGGAGGCCAAGGCGGGTGGATCACTTGAGGTCAGGAGTTCAAGACCAGCCTGGGCAACATGATGAAATCTTGTCTCTACTAAAAACACAAAAAGTAACTGGGTGTAGTGGCATGCACCCATAATCGCAGCTACTCAGGAGGCTGAGACAGGAGAATCACTTGAACCTGGGAGGCAGAGGTTGCAGTGAGCTGAGACTGCGCCACTGCACTCCAGCCTGGGTGACAAGAGCGAAACTCCGTCTCAATCATCATCAACATCATCATCATCATCATCATCATCATCATCATCATCATCCTTCCTCTGGGAGAACATTCTTGGGGTAGAGGACCAGCCATGTCAGTAAACTTAGGGCTTGTTGGAAACTCACAGATGCAAATAAAGTGAACACCAAGCAGCCAATGCTATAATCAGTTCTTCTAATCTACAGTCACTGAAATTCATCCTTAGGTTCACATAAACATGCATCTATTTATTTTTTAGAGATGAGTTTCTCACTTTATTGGCCAGGTTGGGGAGCAGTGGCGCGATCACAGCACTGTTGCCTAAAATTCTTGGGCTCAGGGGATCCTCCCTCTTCAGCTTCCCAAGTAGCTGTGACTACTGGTGCACACCACTGTACCTGGCTAATCTAAAAAAATTTGTGTAGCGATGAGGGAGTCTCACCATCTTGCCCAGGTTGGCCTCAAACTCCTGGGCTCAAGTGATCCTCCTGCCTTGGCCTCCCAAAGTGCTGGGATTACAGGTGTGAGCCACTGTACCTGACCTAAACATGTGTGTCTATATTAAGGGAGTAAGGAACTTAAGGAACTTATTTTAAATGTTTACAAATAACTTGCTTCCGGCTGTCATTCATTCATTCAACAAATAATATTGGACAAACTCTTTGTGCCAGGCCCAGATATAGTTCTTGCCTCACAGTATAGCAACAATATGACAGATGTCTTCTAATCCCTGTGTAAATACAGAAAAATGACACCGGATTCAGTCTTAAAAGACCAGACAGCTGGGTGCAGTGGCTCATGCCTGTAATCCCAACATTTTGGGAGGTGAGCAGACTGCTTGAGCCCAGGAGTTCGAGCCTGGGCACCATGGCAAAACCCCATCTCTTCAAAAAATTAGATGGGCATGGTGGTACACACTTGTAGTCCCAGTTACTGGGGAGGCTGAGGTGAGAGGATCACCTGATCCCAGGAGGCTGAGGTTGCAGTGAGCTGAGATCATGCCACTGTACTCCAGCCTGGGCAAGAGTGAGATCTGGACTCAAAAAACAAAAACAAAAACAAAAAAAACAAAACAAAAAAAAACCCCAGAAAACCAGGGGGGAAATCTTTTTTTTTTTTGACAGGGTCTCACTCTGTTGCTCGGGCTGAAGTGCAGTGGCTGATCTCAGCTCACTGCAACCTCTGTCTCCCAGGCTCAGGTGATCCTCCCACCTCAGCCTCTTGAGTAGCTGGGACTACAGGCACATGCCATCACACCTGGCTAACTGTTACATTTTTTGTAGAGACAGGGTTTTGCCACGTTGTCCAGGCTAGTCTCAAACTCCTGGGCTCAAGCAATTCACCCGCCTCAGCCTCCCAAAGTGCTGGGATTACAGGCATGAGCCACTGTGCCTGGCCAACCAGGGAAGTCTTGTTGGCACAGATGATGCCTAAGTTAAGAGCCTAAGTAGCTACAGGCTACTTCAAATGAACTCTCTGGTCATGGTGACAGAATGCTTACTGACTTCCCATAAATTGTACTGCACCTTTCCACTACTCGGGCTGTAATGTTACTTCATGATTCAGAGTAGAATAAGTGGCCCTACTAAGAGTTTCCAAAAATCAAAGTCATGCAGGCTGCTTATTATCCAATGATGCAGTAAGTTTGTGATGACAGTCTGTGTTATCACAGTTGCTAGCTAGTAACTTTTCCCTCTACCCTATAGCCCTTCATCCCCTGACAGGGTCCTAAGGAAGGAAAATGACTTAAAAGAATCAGACTCAAACACAGGGCTTGCAAGTTTTTTGGCTGTCAAATTAAGTACAGGGCTACAGAAGTCCTATCCCACAGATCAGAGTTCCAAAAAGTAACAGTCTGAAAAAGTAAGGTGAAAACATTTCAATGTTGTAGATACATATACTAGGTTAGTATCAAAATAGGTTAGTATCAAAAGAAAAGCTCCATTGAGATTTCTTGGCCAAAAAAAAAAAAAAAAGACTCCAAAATTTTTATATCCAACTCGTTTCTGCCAGTAATGTTGGGCTTTTCACTACGCCACCAGTAGACTCCAGGAAGGCATCATCAGGATTACACTGAGGCTGTCGTAAGCAACCATGGCCCACCAAAGCAGTCTTAAGGAACGTTGCCACTTAATAAAGTCTTTAAGCAAGTTGGGACCAAGTTCTCAGATCTTCCCTTGACCAACTGTATTTACTCTTTTCAAGATGATAGAAATCTGACAAATAAAAATCTCTGGGAAAAATGAAAGGTTCCAGGAAAGAATGACAGAGATTTGTAATTTGATAAAAGACATCAAACACTCAACTGAAAATAACTTGCATTTAGCTTTTTGAACATCTGAAAATAGTACATATGCTCAGTCTTTCTAATAAGCTGTCTCCAGCATGGGGATTTCATTGGCATAGTTTGTTCTTTGTTGTAACATGTTAGCTGTTTCATAAGACATAACAATAGTCCTTTCTCTACATCAAAGGACTTAAGGAACTATACCTCTAACGACTAGTGTGTTGGTATTATTATCCCTACTTTCTTGGTTGTGAAACTGAGGCACAGGGTAAATGAGGCTTGCTTGAAGCCAAAGATTCCTGTCTAGATTAAATAGAGAATTATCAACTCTGGAATTTCTAAATTAAAAGAAGCAATGAGACCGGCAATATAAAACAAATACTTTAAACATAGGCTACAGAACTCTATTATGGATTTAGTCTGCTTGAAGCCTCTAAAATATACCTCACTAACTTGTTCTCGAGGAATAATCGCAGTCTGTTTCTAAAGCACACAAAAACAGCACCAATGGCTGGTTACCCCAGATAGTTAGAGCAACAGCTCTAATATGGGTCAGGATCCATATCCAAGGAGTCAGCCAGCTTTGCTTTATGTGCAGCTCACAGACCGCACCTTTACTTAACAACACTTCTTGTTCACATGGCTCTAGACATAGGACAAAAATTTCTCCTATAAGCCTGGAATTCCCTCCACTTAGAGAAAGAGATCAACAAGCAATAGCTGCACACCTGCAAGACAAGGATACTACATGAGTCCTGTTAGGAGATTTGCTCATTTCTAAGTATGTTTTACACAAAACTAATTAAGAGTTTATACATATTAAGAACCACTGAATTGTACACTTTAAAAGAGTTCTATACATACATACAACTATCTAATCTACATATAAAATTCTACATATCTGAACACCACAGAAAAGAACACCACTCAAAAAAAGAAATTTTGAAAATAGCAGACCAAGTAAACCTGGTAGAATCTTTAGAACAGGTTTAGAACTAAACGTGTTCTAAAGCCAAAAGTCTAGAGTTAGAGTGATTATAAAGACTACTAATGCTTAGTGGAGGCAACTAATACTACTAATGTACTAAAAGTACTAATTAGTACTAAAGTACTAATGCTTTTGGAGGCAATACAATAGTCAAAAAGGCCTGGGTATCTGAGATGCACAAATGCATCTTTTTTTTTTTTTTTTTTTTTTTGAGACGGAGTCTCACTCTGTGGCCCAGGCTGGAGTGCAGTGGCATGATCTCAGCTCACTGCAACCTCTGCCTCCCGGGTTCAAGCGATCTTCGTGCCTCGGCCTCCTGAGTAGCTGGGACTACAGGTGCACACTACTATGCCCAGCTAATTTTTGTATTTTTAGTAGAGACAAGGCTTCTCCATGTTGGCCAGGCTGGTCTGGAACACCTGACCTCAAGTGATACACCCGCCTCAGCCTCCCAAAGTGCTGGGATTACAGGTGTGAGCCACCATGCCTGGCCAAAAGTGTATACCATATTCTTACTTCTCTCCTAGACTGTAAAGCGTAGTTAAAAGCATAGCCTCTGAAGGAAGAGAACCGGTTCAATCACTAACTCTTCCATTAAACTCTGAAGACTCAGTCCCCTTATCTATTCACAGTAAGATATGAAAAGGCTAGAGCAGTCTTAGCCCTATGAACTCTCAAAACTAACAAACCAACACTGTCTTTAAAAATGAAGGCCGGGCGCAGTGGCTCAGGCCTGTAATCCCAGCACTTCGGGAGGCTGAGGAAGGAGGATCACAAGGTCAAGAGATCGAGACCATCCTGGCTAACATGGTGAAACCCTGTCTCTACTAAAAATACAAAAAATTGGCCAGGCGTGGTGGCGGGTGCCTGTAGTCCCAGCTACTTGGGAGGCTGAGACAGGAGAATGGCGTGAACCTGGGGGGCGGAGCTTGCAGTGAGCCGAGATTATGCCACTGCACTCCAGCCTGGGCGACAGAGCGAGACTCTGTCTCAAAAAAAAAAAAAAAAAAGAAGAAGAAGAAGCCTGGCACTAAATAGAAATTGCCAGGAGTAGAATCCAAATTAAGCAGGACAAAGACAATCCAAGAGCACAGGAACCAGAAAAGACAGATAAAACGGCGATAAAGGAACAGTGGAGGAAGATCTTAAAAGAGGGGGCTCTAGAGCTGTGAAGCTAAAAAAGCAATTCTGACTCACTCTTCTCTTCTGAAAATGTAGAAAGACCAACTTCAGATAAAAATTACAAACAGAAAACAATTACAGTCAAATCCTATACAAAGTTATTATCAAAAAAGATAATAAAGATTAAAATAACATTCCTATAATGAAAGCACATATAAGAAAGACATGCCCACAAACAGATGAAATCCATAGACTAATATTTCTGTTTTTTTGAGACGGAGTCTCACTCTGTTGCCAGGCTGGAGTGCAATGGCGCGACCTCAGCTCACCGCAACCTCCGTGTCCCAGGTTCAGGCAATTCTCCTGCCTCCCGAGTAGCTGGGACTACGAGCACACGCCACTATGGCCAGCTAATTTTTATATTTTTAGTAGAGATGGGGTTTCACCATGTTGGCCAGGATGGTCTCGATCTCTTGACCTCGTGATCTGCCTGCCTCGGCCTCCCAAGGTGCTGGGATTACAGGTGTGAGACACCATGCCCGGCCTTCCATAGCCTCATATTTCAAAATAAGCTAAAGTAAGAAAATGATAAATGTGGCTGGGCGTGGTGGCTCACGCTTGTAATCCCAGCACTTTGGGAGGCTGAGGCAGGCAGATCACTTGAGGTCAAGAGTTCGAGACCAGCCTGGCCAATATGGTGAAACCCCATCTCTAATAAAAATACAAAAATTAGCCAGGCATGGTGGCTCACACCTGTAGTCCCAGCTACTTGAGGGGCTGAGGCAGAGGAATCACTTGAACCTGGGAGGCAGAGGTTGCGAAAAGCCGAGATCCCACCACTGCACTCCAGCGTGGGCAACAGAGCGAGACTCTGTCTCAAAAAAAAAAAAGGCCAGGCGTGGTGGCTCATGCCTGTAATCCCAGCACTTTGGGATGCCGAGGCAGGCGGATCACGAGGTCAGGAGTTTGAGACCATCCTGGCTAACACGGTGAAACCCTGTCTCTACTAAAAATATAAAAAATTAGCCGGGTGTGGTGGCACATGCCTGTAGTCCCAGCTACTGGGGAGGCTGAGGCAGGAGAATCGCTTGAACCCAGGAGGCAGAGGTTGCAGTGAGCCAAGACTGTGCCATTGCACTCCCGTCTGGCGACAGAGTGAGATGCTGTCTTCAAAAAAAAAAAAAAAAAAAAGGCCAGGCACGGTGTCACGCCTGTAATCCCAGCACTTTGGGAGGCCGAGGCGAGCAAATCAAGAGGTCAGGAGTTCGAGACCAGCCTGGCCAACAGGGTGAAACCCTGTCTCCACTAAAAGTACAAAAATTAGTCAGGCGGGGTGGCACATGCCTGTAATCCCAGCTACTCAGGGGGCTGAGACAGGAGAATCGCTTGAACCTGGGAGGTGGAGGTTGCAGTGAGCCGAGATTGTGCCACTGCACTCCAGCCTGGGCGACAGAGTGAGACTCCATTTTGAAAATAAATAAATAAAAATAAAAATAAAAATATAAAAGAAAAGGCCTGGTGCAGTGACTCTTGCCTGTAAATCCCATTACTTTGGGAAGCTGAGGCAGGCAGATCATTTGAGTCCAGGAGTGTGAGACCAGCCTAGGTAACAAGGCAAAACCCTGTCTCTGCAAAAAAGAAAAATAAATTAGCTGGGTGTGGTGGCATGTTCCTATAGTCCCAGTCACTCAGAAGGCTATGATGGGAGGATGGCTTGAGCCCAGGAGGTCAGGGCTGAAGTGAGTCACGTTCGGCAACACTCCAGCCTGGGCGACAGAGTGAGACTCTGCCTCTTAAAAAAAGGAAAAAAAAAAAAAAGACTGAAACTTCACATGAAAAGAACTTACTACATATCTAAAAAACATGATTCAGAACAATCAATAAGATACATTATATAGAAAAACCACAAGATATTAAAGAAAAATAAAAACTCCTTTGGGAATCCAGACAAAAGGACCAAGTCACTCATAAGGGAAAGAAAAACAGATTTTATCTGGACTGTTTTGACAACAACGCTGTATGTCAAAAGATAATGAAAGAATACATTTAGGCCGGTGCAGTGGCTCACGCCTGTAATCCCAGCACTTTGGGAGGCCGAGGCGGGCGGATCATGAGGTCAGGAGTTCGAGACCAGCCTGGCCAACATGGTGAAGCCCCGTCTCTACTAAAAATACAAAAATTAGCCAGGCATGGTGGCGTGTGCCTGTAATCCCAGCTACTTGGAAGGCTGAGGCAGGAGAACTGCTTAAACCTGGGAGGCGGAGGTTGCAGTGAGTTGAGATTGCGCCATGCACTCCAGCCTAGGTGACAAGAGCAAAACTCCATCTCAAAAAAAAAAAAAAAGATACATTTAATATACTCAAGGAAAACATGTCAGTCACGGATTCTATATCCAAATAAATTGGCTTTGAAACATAACGGTGGCAGATTACTTGTTGAACATTATATGCGCCCTCCTTTAGGAATCTATTAGAAATAAGCTTCAGACAAATGACTGGAGACACAAGGAATGGGGACTCGTGTGCAGTGATCATCAACGGCTGCTAACATCACAAAATGAAAGACAACCAGATAATCATGTACCTGCAGATGGAAGAACACACCACTGCCTTGCCAAAAATTCAAACCTAAACCTAATCAAGCCTCAAGTTCAACTACTAATTTACAGACTATACATACAGAGAAACACTCATTAAATCAACAAAAACCTAGTTTCTTCAACAATTAAATTACAAGGGGGAAAAAAGAAATGGAGGGAAAACCTATATATCAAGAGACTTAAAAGACATTTCAACCAATTGTAATGTGTAATCCTTATTCACTTCCTAAGTTAAATAAACACATTTGAAAAAACATGCTGAAATTATATTTATGAGGCAACTGAAAACTCAAACACTGATTAGATACTTAATGATACCAAAGAATTATTATTGATTTGGTTTTTTACTGTTTTTTAGAAGTGATAGTGGTATTTCTAAAAAGTGCCCTTATTTTTATAATATATTCTAAAATATTTACAGATAAAATTATATGTCTAAGATTTGCTTCAAAAGAATATGGGAGAAAGCAAGTTGGGTAAAATATAGATAAAATAAGATTTGCTATAGGTTGTTAACTGTTGATGCTGGGTGACAGATAAATGGGCAATGTTGATTACTTTTGTACAAGTTTTAAAATTTCCATATAAGAAGTTAAAATATTAACTATGTCTGGTCTACAACTTGTGTTTAACAATGGCAATTATCATTATTCTTATTAGTTGACTCTGAATATTTACTAAATGAATGAGTTTAGACATAGATAAGAATGAATGATTTATCAACAAATATGAAACATTATTATGGAGAAAATATGAAATCTAAGAGCATTCATGTTATCAACGTCAGTTGTAAGAGTGGAGCTCACTCACCCAGGGCCTGGGAGAATGAATGAACCAATAATCTCTCTTGATAAGTCAGGGAAAGAGGTTTGGGTAGCTGAAATAAAAAGTGAGAACCAGTAAATCAGTAAAATTGTGGGGTTAGATAAAGCAAAATGAAGTAGAAAATGGTGCCAGAAAGTATAAAACCAAATGAAATATGTGTCCTTTAAGTGAAAAAACATAACTTAGCAAATATGGTATCTAACTTCAATATCCTATAAGCACATGTGATGGAGGTTTCCACATATAAGTAGGACTGCAATACATTTAGCAAATATAAGGTAAAGGAAAAACATTATAAGTTAAAAATTGTTTTAACAAAAAAAAGCCAAATAAAGTGAATGTACTACTCTGGCCTTTGTCTGAGAACAGAAGTCAAACACGAAGACCTCACAATAATAGCTGGGAAACTCAATCTGGAGGAAGTGGGTAAAGATAAAACCAAAAGCCAATAAACCTCAAACTTTTAGGGAATGTTCTTATCTTACCTAAAATCTTATTGGAAACAGACCAAAAGAGCCTATTAATGTTTAGGAGCTCTTTTGTGGGCACACGGGAAGAAAAAACATGGGCTTAAAGGGCCACTGTGTCATGCATGGCACAGCTGCTCAGTGCAACTTTCTCCTTTAGAGAGATAACCGACATCCCTTAGCAAACACTGACAACTTACTTCTTAGGCTGTCTCACTTTCTTCAACTGTTTATACGCACTTCCACTGCCCTTTCTACAAGTTTATGTTAATTCTAATCAGTTAATTCTGAATTTTGGCTTAGCTCAGTTCCTAACAGCTATTTGGGCATTTATTTACGTTCTTCCAACAGTTAGCCTTGTTGCCTTCTACTCCTGGTTGGAAGGCAATCTGATATGAAGCCAGGATTTCAGGGGCTATTGTAGTAAGAAAAAACCAAGTAAAGATAGCAAAGACTTGCTGGCCAAAGTCACAGCTTGGAAGATGGCTCAGAGGTAGGATTATATGTAAGAGATTCTGTGTAAATGATGTGGGGGAACGGGTAACGGAGGAACAGAAATTAGACTGCAGAAGGACTTAGTAAAGATTCTGATTTTAGGTGCAAGGGGAAGCCCTAAAATAAGGAGTAAAAGATCAAAGTCATGGCCGGGCGCAGTGGCTCACGCCTATAATCCCAGCACTTTGGGAGGCCGAGGCGGGCGGATCCCGAAGTAGGAGATCGAGACCATCCTGGCCAACATGGTGAAACCCTGGCTCTACTAAAAATACAAAAAAATTAGTCGGGCTTGGTGGCAGGCACCTGTAGTCCCAGCTACTCGGGAGGCTGAGGCAGAAGAATGGCGTGAACCCAGGAGGCAGAGCTTGCAGTGAGCCCGCACTCCAGCCTGGGCTACAGAGCGAGACTCCGTCTCCAGAAAAAAAAAAAAAAAAAATCAAAGTCATACAAAAAGGCAGTAACTTGGAGAGTAAAATGCCCCTTTGGAGGTTACTTTACTTTCCTTCTCATGCCTTCTCTCCTAACAGTTGCCACTATTACTTCTCAAGCCTCCAAGTATTAGAGGAACTTATTTGCCTGGGACTTTCAAGATCTCTAGCTTACTGGGCCAAAAATAACTTTTCTAAAATTCAGAGATTATAGAGCAAAGAAAGTTTACACATCCATTCTAAACTTTTAGATGGTAGCTAATACAGCTCTGAGAAGACCACCAAAAATCCCAAGCTCTTTGCAAATCAAAACTACAGTAAGATACTAACTCATGCTTATTGGGATGACTACTATTAAGAAAAAAATAGGCTGGGTGAGGTGGCTCATGCCTGTAATCCCAGCACATTGGGAGGCTGAGGTGGGTGGATCACGAGGTCAGGAGTTTGAGACCAACCTGGCCAACATGGTGAAACCCCGTCTCTATACTAAAAATACAAAAATTAGCTGGCCGTGGTGGTATGCACCTGTAATTCCAGCTACTCAGGAGGCTGAGGCAGGAGAATCGCTTGAACCTGGGAGGAAAGGTTGCAGTAAGCCGAGATTGCACCATTGCACTCCAGCCTGGGCAACAGAGCAAGACTCCTTCTCAAAAACAAAAAAACAAACAAACAAAAATAAGCAGAAAATAAATACTGGGAAGGATGTGGAGAAACTGGAACCATAGGCTAGGCATGGTGGCTCATACTTGTAATCCCAGCACTTTGGGAGGCCAAGGTGGAGGATCACTTGAGCCCAGGAGTTCGAGACCAGCCTGGGCAACATAGTGAGACTCTGTCTCTAAAAAAAAATACACACACACACACACAAACACACACACACACACATATACACACACAAACACACACATGTATATACACACACACACATATATATATATATCCAGGCACGGTGGCTCATGCCTGTAATCCCAGCACTTTGGGAGGCCAAGGTGGGTGGATCACCTGAGATCGGGAGTTTGAGACCAGCCTGACCAACATGGAGAAACCCTGTCTCTACTAAAAACACAAAATTAGCTGGGTGTGGTGGCGCATGCCTGTAATCCCAGCTACTCAGGAAGGTGAGGCAGGAGAATCGCTTGAACCTGGGAGGCAGAGGTTGCGGTGAGCCGAGATCACGCCATTGCACTCCAGCCTGGGCAACAAGAGCAAAACTCCGTTTTAAAAAATAATAATAAATAAATACACACACACACACACACACACACACACACACACTGATTTTAATTTATTTATATATTTTTTTGAGACAGAATCTCCCTCTGTTGCCCAGGCTAGAGTGCAGTGGTACGATCTCAGCTCACTGCAACCTTCACCTCTCGAGCACAAGCAGTCCTCAACCTCAGCCTCCTGAGTACCTGGGACTACAGGTGTGTGTCACCATGCGTGGCTAATTTTTGTATTTTGGGGGCAATATAGTGAAACACCCTCATCTCAACAAAAAATAAAAAGTTAGCTGGGTGTGGCAACATATGCCCATGGTTCCAGCTACTCAGGAGGCTGAGATAGGAGCATCGCTTGACCCTGGGAGGTCAATGCTGCAGTGAGCCATGATTGCGCCATGGCACTCCAACCTGGATGTCAGAACGAAATCCTGTCTCAAAAACAAAACAAGAAAAGAAAGAGAGAAAGAGGTTGGAGCCCTTGTACACTGTTGGTGGCAATGTAAAATGGTATAGCCACTGTGGAAAACAGTATGGCAGTTCATTAAAAAATTAAACACAGAAATAGCATATAATCCAGCAACTACATTTCTCAGTATAAATCAAAAGAACTGAAAGAGGGTCTCAAAGAAATATTTGTACATCCATATTCACAGCTGCATTATTCACAATAGCTAAAATGTGGAGGCAACCCAAGTGTCCGTGGATGGATGAATGGCTAAGCAAAATGTGGCATATCCATAAAATAGAATATTCCTCAGCCTTAAAAACGAAGTAAATTCTGCAGTATGCTACAATATGGATGAACCTTGAGGATGTTATGCTAAGTAAGCCAATCACAAAAAATAAATACTGGAGGCCAAGGTGGGCAGATCACTTGAGGCCAGACGTTCGAGACTAGCCTGGCCAACATGGCGAAACCCCATTTCTACTAAAAATACAAAAACTAGCCAGGTGTAGTAGGTAGGGCATGCACCTGTAGTTCCAGCTACTCAGGAGGCTGAGGCACAAGACATGCTTGAACCTGGGAGGTAGAGGCTGCAGTGAGCTGAGATCATGCCACTGCACCCCAGCCAGGGTGATAGAGTGAGACTCTGTCTCAAAAAAAAAGAAAGACAAATACTCTATGATTCCACTTACATGAGGTACTTAGAGGTAGTCAAAATCATAGAAATAGGAAGTAGAATGGTAGCTGCCATGGGCTAGGAGGAGGGGGATGTTAGTATTTAATGGTAATAGAGTTTCAGTTTCACAAGATGAAGGTTATAGAGATGGAGGGTGGTAATGGTTGCACAACATTATAAATGTGCTTAATACCACTGAACTGTACACTTGACCCAAATTTTCTTCTCATTACCCTAATGGAATTCCCCAAATATTCTCTAAACAAATAATCAGCGGTACTCCAGAAAGCAACACACCCCACATTATTGTATTGGAAGCCCCCACTCTAATCAGAAGCACCCAAAATCCACTTGAGAGAAAATACAGAAAAGTAGAAGGAAGGCCAAAAGTGAATGGAAATGCCTATATACATTGTACTGGAGGTCCTGGCCAGGGCAATGAGACAATTTTTTTTTTTTTTAAAGAGCTGGGCATAGTGGCTCATGCCTGTAATCACAGCATTTTGAGAGGGCAAGGTTGGGGGTATCACTTCTGTCCAGGAGTTCCAGACCAGGCCTGGGCAATACAGTGAGATCCTTTCTCTCTATATATAAAAAAAGTCCAGGTGTGGTGGTGCATGCCTGTAGTCTCAGCTACTTGGGAGGCTTAGGTAGGAGGATCACCTGAGCCTGGGGAGGTCGAGGTTACAGTGAGCCGTGATCGAGCCACTGCACTCCAGCCTGGACAACAAAGTAAGACCCTGGTCTAAAAAAAAAAAAAAGAAAAAAAAAGAAATTAGCCGGGCATGGTGGCACATGCCTGTAGTCCTAGTTACTTAGTTACTTGGGAGCCTGAGGTGGGAGGACTGCTTGAGCCCAGGAGTTTGGGGCTACAGTGAGCTGTGACCACACAACTGCACACTAGCCTGGGTGACAGAGTGAGACTGTCTCAAAAAATAAAATTAATGTAATTTAATTTTTAAAAAGAATAAAGATTAAGAAGGAAGATATAATACTGTTTTTATTTGCAGGCAATATGATGATAAGGTCCTAAACGAATCTATAATTTAAAAGGTCACAGCGCATAATGCCAAAATACAAAAATCAATTGTATTTCTATGTACAAGCAATAAACAATTGAAAATAGAAAAAATACCAGTTACAATATCATTAAAAATATTTACCTAGGAATAAATTTATCAAGACATGTTCAAAATTTCTACATTGGGCTGGGTGTGGTGGCTCATGCCTGTTATCCCAGCACTTTAGGAGACTGAAGTGGGAGGACAGCTTGAGCCCTGGAGTTTGAAACTAGCCTGAGCAACACAGTGAGACATCTCTACTAAAATAAAAATCTAAAAAATTAGCTGTGCATGGTAGCATGTGCCTGTAGTCCCATCTACTTGAGAGGCTGATGTGGAGATCACTTGAGCCCAGGAGGTTGAGGCTGCAGTGAGCCTTGATCACACCACTGCACTCCAGCCTGGACGACAGAGCAAGGCTGTCTCAAGAAAAAAAAAATCATCACTGAAAATTACAAAACTCAGTTGAGAGAAATTAAGCGAAACTTAAATAAATAGATACACAATTATGTGTTACTTAATGACAGCGATATGTTCTGAGAAATCCGGTATGTTCTGAGAAATGCATTGTTAGGTGATTTCGTTGTGCGAACATCATAGAATGTACTTACTCAAACCTAGATAGTATAGCCTACTACATACCTAGGCTATATGGTATAGCCTATTGTTCCTAGGTAACAAACCTGTATGTTATTATATACCATAGGTAACTGTAACACAATGGTAAGTATTTGTGTATTTAAACATATCTAAACATAGAAAAGGTACAGTAAAAATATGGTATTACAATCTTATGGGACCACATATGTGGCCAGTCATTGACCAAAAATCGTTATGTGGCACATTACTATATATACGATGTTCAAGGATCAAAAGATTCAATATTAAGATGTCAAATCTGAGCTGGGTGAGGTCGCTCATGTGTGTAATCCCAGCACTTTGGGAGGCCAAGGTGGGTAGGTCACTTGAACCTGGGAGCCCGAGACCAGCCTGGCCAACATGGTGAAACCCTGTCTCTATAAACTACAAAAATTAGCCAGGTGTGGTGGCACACACCTGTAATCCCAGCTACTCAGGAGGCTGAGGCACGAGAATCAGTTGAACCTGAGAGGTGGAGGCTGCAGTGAGGTGGTGCGGTGAGGAGGTGCAGTGGAGGTGGAGATTGCACCACTGCACTCAGCCTGGGTGAGAGAGCAAGACTCTGTCTCAAAAAGAATACAAAACAAAGACAAAACCATAGAAGAACATCTACACAAAGGTCAGATGGGCAGAGATTTCTTAGGCCGGACACAAAAAGCAATAACCATAAAAGAAAAAATCAGTAATTTGGATTTCATCATCATTAAAAACTTTTCTTCAAGAGACACCATTAAATAAAAAGCCACAGACTGGTGGAAAATATTCACAACACATATCTCACAAACGACTTGCATCTGGACTATATTAAGAATTCCTATAATCAATAATGGAAAGGCAAACAACTCAATTAAAAAATAGACAAATGCTTTGAACAGACACTTCATGAACATATATAAATGGCCAATAAACACATGAAAAGGTGTTCAGCATCATTACCATCAGGGAAATGTAAATTAAAACCACAATGAGATACCACTACATACATACCTACTAGAATGGTTAAAATTAAAAAGACTGACAACACCAAGTGTTGATGAAGACGTGAAGCAAACGCAACTCTTACAAACTGTTGATGAAAGTATAAAATGGTACAATCACTTTAGAAAACTGCTAGTTTCCAATAAAGTAAACCTTACAGCCTATAGAATATTTTCACAAAAAGACCTGCAGAACAATGCTCATAATAGCTTTATGCATGATAGCCAAAAATTAGAAACAACCCAAATAACTGTCAATAGGAGGATAGATAAATAAATAGTAGTATATTCATTCAATGGAATACTACTAAGCATGAAAAGGAACAGATTAGTTATACTTTCAATAACATGAAAGAATCTGAAAAATATGTTGAACAAAAGAAGCCAGAACAAAATTGTATGTTTCCATTTATATGAAGTTTATAAGCAAATAAAATTAATACATAGTGATAGAAACAGAAGAGTGGTTGACTCAGAAGATCAGAGACTTACTAGAAAGAAGCACAAAGGAACTTTCAGGGGTGATGGAATTGTTCTAGATTTGGATAATGGTAATCTAGGTGTATATTTAGTATCTGTGCATTTTACTGTGTATAAATTATTCCTCAATAAAAGGGGTGGGAAAGCCATGTACATATTTGCATTAATTTTTTGTTTTATAGTACAAAAGTCGGTTGAAAATAACACATCCGTTTAATCACCAGAAATAACAGAAGAAAGTTTGTCTCCCATTTCAAGTAATATGGCAACATCACAACGATTGAATTTTTTCCAAAGAAAAACAATTTTAGAACAATCTACAGTGGATCTTTCTCAGCTCATGGGCCACAAACCATTGGGGAGACTATGTTCTCATATCTATGTGCTCCTTAGTTTCTTAACCAAAGGTTAACTAAAAGTTCAAATATTACATGGGAGGTCTATGAATTTTTGAACGTTCCTTTGTACTTCTTTCTAGTCAATCCTCACCTGCAGAGTCAACTGCTCCTCTGATTTATACATTAACATTGCTTGTTCACAAACTTCATATGAATGGAATCTTTTGAAGTACATTTAGAGTATATCTTTTTTTTTTTTTTGAGATGGGATCTCACTCTGTTGCCCAGGCTGGAGTGCAGTGGCATGATCTCGGCTCACTGCAACCTCCACCTCCTGGGTTCAAGCGATTCTCCTGCCTCAGCCTCCCCAGTAGCTAGGATTACAGATGTGCACCGCCATGCCCAGCTAATTTTTGTCTTTTTAGTAGAGACAGGGTCTTACCACGTTGACCAGGCTGGTCTCAAACTCCTGACCTCAAGTGATCCACCTGCCTTGGCCTCCCAAAGGGATTACAGGCATAAGCCACTGTGCCTGGCCTAGAGTATGTCTTTTTTTTCTTTTTTAATAAAAATGTGCTATTACTCAAAAACATTGGAAACCAGTGACTATGACAAATTAATGTCTAAATCTTTACTAGTAACCAAATCAAAGAGCAACTGAAGAGTACATGGGTAACAAAGTATGTGATGTAAAAATATATCAGAAATAAAGTTTTGTAAACTATAATGCACTGGGGGCCAGGCGTGATGGCTCACGCCTGTAATCCCAGCACTTTGGAAGGCCGAGGAGGGTGGATCACCTGAGGTCAGGAGTTCGAGTCTAGCCTGGCCAACATCCCATCTATACTAAAAATACAAAATTAGCCAGGCACGGTGGCGTATGCCTGTAATCCCAGCTACTTGGGAGGCTGAGGCAGGAGAATTGCTTGAACCCGGGAGGTGGAGGTTGCAGTGAATTGAGATCACACTACTGCACTCCGGCCTAGGTGACAGAGCGAGGTTCTGTCTCAAAAAAAAGACTATAATGCACTGGGAAAACATAAGATATCATCTATCTTCAATAAACAAGAAGAGTCAAAAAATTGCTTTTCACCTTAAGTTTTGGATATATGTAGCGCAAAGAATCTGCAGTTCCCATGTCAGCGTCATCAGGAATACACACAATATCTGGCTTCATTTTCATCTTGAATTCTGCACATAGAGCCTTTTGAACATCCCTGGTTGTAACCACAATGACTTCTATAGGACAAAAGAAAAAAAGAAAGAAAAACAAAAACTTACTCATATAGACAGTGGTTCCATTATTTCAATTAGATTTGGTCTATTTCTAGGTGTAATAACAACTGCTAATATTATTGTGCCTTTTCAATATATTTTACCTGCATTCCCCCAATAAATTCTTTTTTTTTTTTTTTTTTTTTTTTTTTTTTTTACAGACAGGGTCTCACTCTGCCACTCAGGCTGGAGTGCAGTGGCACTGTCGCAGTTCACAGCAGCCTCAACCTCCCAAGATCAGGCAATCCTCCCACCTCAGCCTCCCAAGTAGCTGAGACTACAGGCATGTGCCACCATGCTTGGCTAATTTTTGTATTTTCTGTAGAGATGAGGTTTCGCTCTGTTGCCCAGGCTGGTCTCCAACTCCTGGGCTCAAAGGATCCGCCAGCCTTGGCCTCCCCAAGTGTTGTGATTACAGACGTGAACCACTGCATCTGGCCTCCCCCCAATTAATTCTTAGAACAATCTCATCTTACAAATGAGGAATCTTGGATTAAAAGACATGCTGGCTGGGCGCAGTGGCTCATGCCTGTAAATCCCAGCACTTTGGGAGGCCGAGGCAGGCGGATCACTTGAGCCCTGGAGTTCAAGACCAGCCTGGGCAACATGGCAAAACCTTGTCTCTATAAAAAAACTCCAAAAAACCAGAGGTTTAGGTGGGAGGATTGCTTGAGTCTGGGAGGTGGAGGTTGCAGTGGGCCAAGATCACCCCACTGCACTCCAGCCTGGGTAACAGAGTGAGTCTGTCTCAAAACAAACAAACAAACAAAAAAAAACCTCAGGTCTATATGAATGGTGCCCACACTTTAATATATTATATGCCACTTCTCCTTGATATGAAGAATTCAGAAGAACATTAATCAAAAATACAAATGGGAAGAAATATAAAAAACACTCTGGGAAGCCAAGGCAGGCAGATAACTTCAGCCCAGGAACTCAAGACCAGCCTGGGTAACGTGGCGAAACCCTGTCTCTGCCAAAAAAAAAAAAAAAAAAAAAAGGAGGAAAGAAAAATTATCCAGGTGTGGTGGCATGCATGTAGTTGCAGCTACTCAGGAGGCTAAGATGGGAGGATCGTTTGATCCCAGGAGGCAGAGGTTGCAATGAGCTGAAATCATGCCACTGTACTCCAGCCTTGGACGACAGAGCAAGACTCTGTCTCTAAAAAACAAAAAAACCAAAGGGGGCCATGCGTAGTGGCTCACACCTGTAATTCCAACACTTTGGAAGGCCGAGACAGGCAGATCACTTGAGGTCAGAAGTTCAAGACCAGCCTGGACAACATGGCGAAACCCTGTCTCTATTAAAAATACAAAAAAATTAGCCGGGAGTGGTGGTACACGCCTGTAGTCCCAGGTACTCGGGAGACTGAAGCAGGAGAATTGCTTAAACCTGGGAGGTGGAGGTTGCAGTGAGCTGAGATCACACCACTGTACTCCAGCCTGGGCGACAGGGTGAGACTCCAACATTTTAAATCTTCATTCAATACAAAGAGAGAGCTATTAAGCTACCACCCTTCCTATTGGAGGCAACTCTAATAATGGAATGAACACTGGATCACAAGACTGGGCCTCAGGCTTTGGCACCCTGATTTATTACATCTAAATATAGGACACCTCAAACTCAATGTGACCAAAGCTGAACTCATTATTTTAATGAAAATAAAATTCATTAAAACCTTTTCCTGGCCAGGCACGGTGGCTCATGCCTGTAATCCCAGCACTTTGGGAGGCCGAGGTGGGCAGATCACGAGGTCCTGAGATCGAGACCATTCTAGCTAACATGGTGAAACCCTGTCTCTACTAAAAATACAAAAACTTAGCCGGGCATGGTGGAAAATGCCTGTAGTCCCAGCTACACAGGAAGCTGAGGCAGGAGAATCACTTGAACCCGGGAGAGGTTGAACCCTGGCGGAGGTTGTAGTGAGCCAAGATCGTGCCACTGCACTCCAGCCTGGGTGGCAGCGTGAGACTCTGTCTCAAAAAAAAAACACCTGTTCCTTGTCTCCTATTCCTTTTCCTACTTAATGGCATAACTATCTACCTAGCTACCCAAGCAAAAAGTAGAGAGGATCACTAGACTTTAAAGTTCTGGAAGTCAGGGCCTGAGCTGTCTTTTCAATTCTGTACCTCCGTGTTTAATATATAACCTGGTACTTACATCAAAACAAAATTTAAAACATATATATATTGAATATCAGATAATATAAATATTACCTGGTACATAATAGATTCTCAGTAAGTACTGACTATGAGGCATTTAAGAGTCTCAATCTGCTCTTTCTGATATCTTTACAGAGTTCGTCTTGGATCATTGTGGACATCAGCTCCATAACAACAACACTTAGTGCTATCCTCTCAACCTTTTTCACACAGCAATAGAGTACTCCTACATTCCTTAAAGAAGGCAGTCTTCAGCCAACGAGTTCTAGTCACCCTCTCTCATTCTCATAACGCTGACAAATCATGGGGATCAAATCTCCTAAAAGTTTTATGAGTTCACAGCTCACTTTGTCATAGCTCACCTTCAAATCCAACACGCTCAAGCAGGTTCAATGGGTACCAAATTAAAGGTTTGTTCCCAACTGGAAGCAGAGGTTTGGGAATGCTGGAAGTTAGGTCTGTCATCCGAGATCCTCCACCTACTGCCATCACTACTGCTTGAAATTCCATTTTTACAAACTGCAAGTACAGAAAAAACAATTAACAGAAAAAAAACAATGTAACAAAAATCAAAGCACACATACTACTAGCCTATTTTTATTTAGGTTACTGATACCCACTATGTCAAATGCATAATTCCTAACTCTAGCAATCACAGTAAGAAAAGCTTAGCTGCAGATAAACATTATGTCTACCAATATGTATTCTCAGTTCTATCCTTGGTAAAAGTGGGAGGATAGGAATGCAGGGGCTTTGCCCTTGAGTTATTCACAATTAAGTGGAGAAGACAAATTCAGTAAATCACAATATATGTCATTAGTGCCACAGCAGAAAAATATCCAAGATACAGTGGGCATACAATAAAAGGAACACCTAGTTTTCATTGAAAACACAGAGAAGTTTTTATAGAAAGTGATGCTTGAGCTGACTCTGAAGAAGTAAGAGTTTACCAAGTGGACTTCTGATGTGTGAATTTTTATTCTTTGAAAATATTAGGCTGGGTGAGGTGGCTCACATCTGTAATCCCAGCACTTTGGGAGGCTGAGGTGTGTGGATCACATGAGCTCAGGAGTTCGAGACCAGCCTGGGCAACATGGCGAGACCCCATCTCTACCAAAAATACAAAAAATTAGCCAGGGGTGGTGGCTTGTGCCTATGGTTCCAGCTACTTGGGAAGCTGAAGTGGGAGGATCATTTGAGCCTGGGAGGCAGGTGTTGCAGTGAGCCGAGATTGAGATTGGACCACTGCACTCCAACCTGTGTGACAGAGTGAGATCCTGTCTCAAAAAAAAAAAAAAAAAAAGAGAGAAAAAAGAAAATATTAAAAGATGCCTGACTAGAATTAACAGCAGAAACACAAGCATGTTAGGCTTCTGAAAAGTATGAAATGACTTAAGACTCCTCCAATAATTCAGCCATCGGCTCATCTTATTCCTCCAATTTTTAAAGATATCACTATAAACACAAACGTAGGCTTGTATCTGAACCTAGATTTACAGAACACAATTATAAAAACAAACCAAACTGTTAATTCCTTTTTTCAAACTCAAGGTAATAAACAAACCTATTTGACTTTGAAAAGAATCTCTTTACAGAAACTACCACAGAACAGAGGCACAGTAGAAGGTCATAAATCTTTATTTATGTATTTATTTTTGGAGATGGAATTTCACTCTTGTTGCCAGGCTGGAGTGCAATGCCGTGATCTCGGCTCACTGCAACCTCCACCTCCCAAGTTCAAGCGATTCTCCTGCCTCAGCCTCCCGAGTAGCTGGGATCACAGGCATGGGCCACCATGCCTGGCTAATTTTGTATTTTTAGTAGAGATGGGGTTTCACCATGTTGGCCAGGCTGGTCCCAAACTCCTGACCTCAGGTGATCCACCGGAGTCGGCCTCCCAAAGTGCTGGGATTACAGGTGTGAGCCACGTGCCCATCCTATTTATTTATTGTTTATTTAGAGACAGAGTCTTGCTCCATTGCCCAGTCTGGAAGTGCAGTGGTAAGATCATGGCTCACTGCAGCCTCAACCTCCTGCACTAAAGCAATCCTCCTGCCCCAACCTCTGGAGCAGCTGGGACTACAGGTGGGTACCACCATGCCTGGCTTTTTTTTTTTTTTTGAGACGGAGTTTCTCTCTTGTTGCCCAGGCTGAAGTGCAGTGGCACGATCTCAGCTCACCACAACCTCTGCCTCCCAGGTTCAAGTGATTCTCCTGCCTCAGCCTCCCAAAGAGCTGGGATTATAGGCATGCACCACCACGCCCAGCTGCCCAGCTAATTTTGTATTTTTAGTAGAGACAGGGTTTCTCCACATTGGTCAGGCTGGTCTCGAACTCCCAACCTCAGGTGATCTGCCCACCTTGGCCTCCCAAAGTGCTGGGATTACAGGTATGAGCCACTGCACCTGGCCGCCTGGCTAATTCTTTTAATTAATTTTTTATAGAGATGGGGTTTCACTATGCTGCCCAGGCTGGTCTCAAACTCCTGGCCTCAGGCCTCCTGCCTGGGCCTCCCAAAGTGCTGAGATTAGAGGCATGAGCCACTGCACCTGACCGATCTTTACTGATTTAAACTGAAAGTACTTTCTCTTACAATGATGTAATTTTAAGAACAAATGTGTTAAAATGTAACGTTCAGAAGAAACAATCTATTCAACATCAAATTGCCAAATAATGTTGCAACTTTACTATAATTATTATTACTCCTGGGCCCAGCACATCAACATCTAAAGTGCAGCACTTAACACCTACTATACCCAAGGCACAAAGTGAAGGCTCCTGCATAACATTCACAATGTAAAGATATGGTCATGTAGATTCTAGCAAGCATTGCCTCAAAGTGTAATTTAATTTCATTTTGGTATTATATAACATCCACCACATCAAATGTTATTATGAAAAGAGCACTGGACCCTTAAGAGTCAAAAGATGAGCTGGACGTGGTGGCTCACGCCTGTAATCCCAGCACTTTGGGAGGCCCAGGCGGGCGGATCACCTGAGGTCAGGAGTTCAAGAGCAGCCTGGCCAACTTGGTGAAACTCTGTCTCTACTAAAAAAAAATTTTTTTTTTTGAAACAGAGTTCTTGTTCCCCAGGTTGAGTGCAATGGCATGATCTTGGCTCACTGCAACCTCTGCCTCCCAGGTTCAAGCGATTCTCCTGCCTCAGCCTCCCAAGTTGCTGGGATTACAGGCATCCGCCACCATACTTGGCTAATTCTTTGGATTTTTAGTAGAGACAGGGTTTCACCATGTTGGCCAGGCTGGTCTTGAACTCCTAACCTTAGGTGATCCACCTGCCTTGGCCTCCTAAAGTGCTGGGATTTCAGGCATGAGCCACTGCGCCCGGCCTCTACCAAAAACATTTTTAAAAGTAGCCAGGCATGGTGTCAGGCACCCGTAATCCCAGCTACTCAGGTGGCTGAGGCAGGAGAATCACAGGAACCCGGGAGGCAGCAGCTGCAGTGAGCTGAGAGCACACCACTCGCACTTCAGCCTGGGCGACAGAGTGAGACTCCGTCTCAAAAAAAATAAAATAAAATAAAAAAGAGCCAAAAGAGCGCCAGGCACAGTGGCTCATGCTCCCAGCACTTTGGGAGGCCAAGATGAGAGGATCACTTGAGCCTAGGAATTCTAGAACAGCCTGGGCAACATGGTGAGACCCCATCTCTATAAAAAATTAGCCAGGTATGGTGGCGCATGCCTGTAGTCCCAGATACTCGGGAGGCTGAGGTGGGAGAATCACCTGAGCCTGGGAGGTTAAGGCTGCACACCACTGCACTCCAGCCTGGGCAACAGAGTGAGACCCTGTCCCAAAAAAAAAAAGTCAAAAGATGAGTTTGAGTCATGATTCTGACACTCATAGGTGTGATCAGGGGCCTGACATTTAAAACTCTCAGTGTCCTCAGCTTCTAGAAGGAAGCCTGGTGGTTAGGTTCACAGACCATAGAGCTAGAATGCCTAGGTTTGAATTCTAGCTCTACTATTTATTATTAGCTGTGTGAACTAGGGCAAACTACGTAAATTTTCTATGCCTCAATTTTTGCATTTTATGATGGGGATAATTATAGTTTCACTTCACAGAGTTGTTGTTAAGATTAAATTTGTTATTCTACGTAAAGCAGACAAAATAATGTCCATCTTTTTTTTTTTTTTTTTTTTGAGACGGAGTCTCGCTCTGTCGCCCAGGCCGGACTGCGGACTGCAGTGGCGCAATCTCGGCTCACTGCAAGCTCCGCTTCCCGGGTTCACGCCATTCTCCTGCCTCAGCCTCCCGAGTAGCTGGGACTACAGGCACCCGCCACCGCGCCCGGCTAATTTTTTGTATTTTTAGTAGAGACGGGGTTTCACCTTGTTAGCCAGGATGGTCTCGATCTCCTGACCTCATGATCCACCCGCCTCGGCCTCCCAAAGTGCTGGGATTACAGGCGTGAGCCACCGCGCCCGGCCAATAATGTCCATCTTATGAGAAGCACTATATTTGTATTTGCTTTACTAGACAGAGACTAGATTATGGAAAACCTTCGTACTAATTGAGCCATGCTGCTTCATAATTCTGGTCTCTGCACTGCTACTGTTGCTTCCTAGTCTGCCTTTCTCTTGTGTCTAGTAATCACCTATTAAACTTTGAAGACAGCTCAAGAATCCTCTTGCCTACAAAGCCATTCCTAACCGTTCCCACCCCTCCAGAAGTGACTCCTTTTCCCGAAGTGCTTCCATTCTGCCATGTGCAGATTCTCTTAGCCTTTACGGGTTTCATTGCACGTATGTGTTTAAATGTCTACTTAAGTGTAACATTAATGTCTCTTAAATGTCTACATAAGAGTGTAAGAGTGACTTTCTTGGACTGTGTGTGCATCATCACTGTATTCCCAGTCAGATGCCAGAAATCAAAGTGGAATGAGGACCTGTGAACTTCACAACTGTATAAGAGTCAAACTCAAACATGTGCATAAGGGCATTAGAACCCAGGTCACTAGGAACTGAGGTTCCAGCTCTCAAGGAGGCCCTGGGTGAAGAAAGGCAACCTAGGAAGCATGAATAGTAATCATGAACATAACTAATCATGCTACCAGGCAGACTGTCAAATGCTCATGTCACTGCCACGACTATGGCTGACGGGAATCATGGCAACGAGTCTCGCTGCCTCCCAAGCTTTGGAGAGGGTGTTCACCGCATCTCAGACTTGCCTGCATCATAGCACTCATGCCTTTTCCAGTTGTAAATAGATAAGAAAACTGTATCAGAATTGGTCTGTCATTCCACGTGTGCTGCCTGAAGGCAGAGACCTCACTGCTCCTCCCTATATTTCACTGCCCTGCATCCAAACAACTAAAGGCAGGCTGAACAAATGAATGAAGGGCTGAGGCTGAAAGAGTGCAGGCACAGTGCTAAAGGCGTCTGGTACCGGTCTGGTGCTCGCTCACTCGCTGTGACTTTAAGCAGAACCCTCCCCGAAACTTCGTTTCTTTCTTTTCTTTTCTTTTTTTTTTTTTTTTTGAAACGGAGAGTCTCACTATGTTGCCCAGGCTGGAGTGCAGTGGCGCGAATTAGGCTCACTGCAACCTCCACCTCCTGGGTTCAAACGATTCTCCTGCCTCAGACTCTCGAGTAGCTGAGATTAGAAACTTAGTTCCTCCATCTGTTGCATAAGGTGGTTGGCTCGGATTCTCATCCCCAACCTCCCTTCTACTTCGGACACAGCTACACCGGGTCGAGCAGGGAGTCGAGCTGACAACTTCGGGGCTCAGCACCCTCTCCTACCCCTTCGGGTCCACCTCGGCCCAGTTCGACATGCCCGCCTCCCTCAGATGAGTGGCCCCACCGCACTGCTCACCCGGGTCAGCCAGCTTGTGTGCGGCCTGGCAGGGCAGAAGTCACAGCTATAACTCAGCTCCCGGCACGCCGCAACCGCTCCCAGCGATCTCCACGCCGCCTCTGACTGACAGCCCAATGGCGCAGGCGCGCGATGGCCGAGAAACTCGATGGAACGCGCAGAGCAGACCCATGGAGAAGAGAAGACCGCCGAGCGATGGATGACGGAGGGGAAGCACACTCAGCGGAGAGGAGGGAAGGCGGGCCGGAGGGGGCGGGGCCACCGAGGAGCATTCGACACGTGTGTCCCTCTGTCCATTAACACATTACCAACGCCTTTTGAGTATTCCTCCCAGTGCAGGGTGCCGGGAACCCAGACGGAACAACTCAGCCTCTTTCCTCAGGGAGTAAGTCTAAGACCTGGCTTCGAGTACATTCGGTGAAAGAAAGCTCATTGGGAGCCGCAATTTTGGCTAGCTAGTGAAAAAAATCACCGAATGCCCCTGCAGGGGTTGCCAGGACTTCCTATTTGTTTTTGTTGTTGTTGTTGTTGTTGTTTGTTTTTTGTTTTTTTTGAGACGGAGTCTCGCTCTGCGTCGCCCAGGCTGGAGTGCAGTGGCGCGATCTCGGCTCACTGCAAGCTCGGCCTCCCGGGTTCACGCCATTTTCCTCCCTCAGCCTCCCGAGGAGCTGGGACTACAGGCGCCTGCCACCATGCCCGGCTAATTTTTTTGTATTTTTAGTAGAGACGGGGGTTTCACTGTGTTAGCCAGGATGGTCTCGATCTCCTGACCTCGTGATCCGCCCGCCTCGGCCTCCCAAAGTGCTGGGATTACAGGCGTGAGCCACCGCGCCCGGCCCGGGACTTCCTATTTGTAACAGGGCCACTCACGTTAACTTTAGCCATCAAAACTGGGGGCGGCTGGGCATGGTGGCTCATGCCTGTAATCTCCGCAATTTGGGAAGCCGAGGTGGGAGGATTGCTTGAAACCGGGCGTTCAAGACCAGCCTGTGCGAGAGAGCCTCCAGTCTCTACAAAAGTAAAAATTAGCTGGGCATGGTAGTGTGTGCCTGTAGTCCCAGCTGCTCAGGAGGCTGAAACGGGAGGATCGCTTGAGCCCAGGAGTTCGAGGCTGCAGTGAGCTATGATCGGGCCACTGCACTCCTCCTGCCTAGACGACAGAGTGAGACCCTGTTTTTTTTTTTTAATTTAGTTTTTATTTCATAATCATAAACTTAACTCAGCAATCCAGTTAGGCATGGAAAGGAACAAGGAAAACATGGAACCCAAAGGGAACTGCAGCAAGAGCACAAAGATAAGATACTGCGAGCAGGCCGGGCGTGGTGGCTCACGTCTGTAATCCTAGCACTTTGGGAGGCCGAGGCAGGCAGATTGCCTGAGCTCAGGAGTTCAAGATCAGCCTGGGCAACATGGTGAAACCCCGTCTCTACTAAAATACAAAAAAAAAAAAAAAAAGAAAGAAAGAAAGAAAGAAAAAATTAGCCAGGCATGGCGGCGTGCGCCTGTAGTCCCAGCTACTCGGGAGGCTGAGGAAAGAGAATTGCTTGAACCCGGGAAGTGGAGGTTGCAGTGAGCCGAGATCGTGCCACTGCACTTCAGCCTGGGAGAGGGCGACAGGGTGAGACAGCGTCTCAAAAAAAAAAAAAAAAAAAAATACTGCAAGCAAATGGGGTGAAGGGGTGCTCTTCTGAGCTACAAAAGGAATGGTCTGGTGGTTAAGATAAAACAAAAGCCAAACTTGTTAGAGTTGTCCACAGTCAGCAATGGTGATCTTCTTGCTGGTCTTGCCATTCTCGGACCCAAAGTGCCCCATGGCCTCCACAATATTCATGCCTTCTTTCACCTTGCCAAAGACCACAGGATTGCCATCCAGCCACTCAGTCTTGGCAGTGCAGATGAAACACTGGGAACCATTTGTGTTGGGTCCAGCATTTGCCATGGACAAGATGCCAGGATGTGTATGCTTTAGGACGAAGCTCTCGTCATCAAATTTCTCCCCGCAGGTGTACTTGCCACCAGTGCCATTATGGCATGTGAAGTCACCACCCTGACACATAAACCCTGGAATAATTCTGTGAAAGCAGGAACCTTTATAACCAAATCCTTTCTCTACATTGCTCAGAGCACGAAAGTTTTCTGCTGCCTTTGGAACCTTGTCTGCAAACGGCTCGAAGGACACGCGGCCCAAGGGCTTGCCGTCGACAGCGATGTCGAACACGGTGGGGTTAACCATGGCTGATCGTACAGAGCTCCTGGCGTCGGTGGCTGCATTTGCAAAGCCGAGACCCTGCTTTTAACAAAACAATAATAGGCCAGGTGCGGTGGCTCACGCTTGTAATCCCAGAAGTTTAGGAAGTGAGGCGGATGGATCCCTTGGGCCCAGGAGTTCGAGACTAGCCTGGGCAACGTAGTGAAACACCCTCTCTACTAAAAATACAAAAATTAGTCAGGTGTGGTGCCGCGCTGTGGGGTTCCAGCTACTTGGAAGGCTGAGGCAGGAGGATCGCTGGAGCCCAAGAGGCAGAGGTGGCAGTGAGCCAATATGGTATCACTGCACTTCAGCCTGGGTAACAAAGAGACAGGATCTCTAAGTAAATAAAATAAATATTAAAAAATGACGAATAGATAATAAAATAATTGTTGTTCTAAGCTCTACGGTTTGGAGTGGTTTATCAAGTTGCACTAGATAACAGGACCAATGGCCATTCTCTTTTTCCCATGCATTCCTGCAATTTCCTAATCTTTTGAAAGCTTCCTTTTTTTTCGATTAATTAATTTTTTTTTTTTTTTGAGACAGTCTCACTCTGTCACCAGGCTGGAGTTCAGTGGCACAATCTTGGCTCACTGCAACCTCTGCCTCCTGGGTTCAAGTGATTCCTGCGTCAGCCTCCCGAGTAGCTGGGACTACAGGCATGCGCCACCACGCCTGGCTAATTTTTGTATTTTTAGTAGACAAGGGGTTTCATCAGATAGGCCAGGATGGTCTTGAACTCCTGACCTCGTGATCTGTTCGCCTCGACCTCCCAAAGTGCTGGGACACAGCCGTGAGCCACCGTGCCCAGCCTGATTCATCTCTTAAATCTTGAGTTGCTTTAGCTTCCTGCCAGTTAAAAGGTAGAGCATGATTTCTGTAATAAAAATAAAGGAGCTTGACTTCATTCAACAATATTTATTCATTTATTTTTAGAAATGAGGTCAGCTTATGCTGCCCAGGCTGGACTCAAACTCCTGGGCTCAACGATCGTCTTGCCTCAGCTTCCCAAGTAGCTAGGACTACAGGTATGTGCCATGGAGGACTGGCTTCAACAATATCTTGAGTGCCTAATATGTGCCAAGCAGTGTCTTAGATGCTTGGTGTTGCAGATACAGCAGTTAATGATTAGGACTTGTCATTTTTTCCAGAAGGAGGTCTGCTTAGACCCTGAAAAAAAAAGGGGGGGACTCATATCCTAAAACCAGCCTATCTTTGCCTTGCCATGAACTGACTGATCTGGCCACAGGAGGCCTGAAGTCTGACTACCCCTCTATAGAAACACAGAGATATTCTCTCTTTGGTATTACCTCAACCAAGACTTGGAAATTACAGCATGGGTTTGAGGTAAGAACTAATTATAAGTAAGAAGAGCAGTCAGCCCCATATCTGCCATCCATTTCAAATCCTTATGTTTAAACTAGCAAATGTTTTTCAACGAACTAGAGGGTTTTCTCTTCTATTGTGGAAAGTAGTTGAGAGATTGCTTCAGTTTAAACTCACTTTAAATTATTCCCTGAGGGCAACAATTCTCAAACTTTTTCATCTCTAGACTCTTCATACTTAAAAATTACTGAGGACCCCAGAAAGCTTTTGTTTATATGGATTATATTTATCAATATTTACCATATCGAAAAAAAATTATTTTTTTGACACGGAGTTTTGCTCTTGTTGCCCAGGCTGGAGTGCAATGGCACGATCTCAGCTCACTGCAACCTCTGCCTCCCGGGTTCAAGCGATTCTCCTGCCTCAGCCTCCCAAGTAGCTGGAATTTACAGGCATGCGCCACCACACCCAGCTGATTTTGTATTTATAGTAGAGACGGGGTTTCTCCATGTTGGTCAGGCTAGTCTCAAACTCCTGACCTCAGGTGATCCGCCCGCCTTGACCTCCCAAAGTGCTGGGATTACAGGCATGAGCCATTGTGCCTGGCCAACTACATTTTCAAAACAAAAAGTTTAGTGAGATGAATGCCATTGTTTCACCTTTTTGAATAGTCTCTTTAGGGTCTGGCTTAATAGAAAACAGCTTGATTTTTCCATTATTGTAATATATTATTTTGGTTTAATTATATCATAAAAATGTGACTTCACATAGATACATAGTTGGTAAGAGATAGAGCTTTTAATAGCCTTTTCAGATAATTATAGGTATTCTTTGACACTATACCAAAATTCAATAAGTGGTAGTTTGTTAAAGGTTTGTTGCAATGTAGAATCGGAAATTATATCAATGAACATTTTGTACCTTGTTACAGTACTTGCACTTTGAATGGACATTTTACCCATGCATGACCTTGCAACTTGGTATACAAATAATATGTAAAATATTCGTTCACAGAGTTATGCAGATCTTCCTAACATTGACTCATTATACAATATTTTAAAATCACATTTGTTAATATCACTAACAATTTCATCAGAAAAATTCTTAAATATTAGAAAGCTGGGAAGCTGATGATGACAGATACAAGTTTTATAAAATTCTAATTTTTGGCCGGGCACAGTGGCTCACGCCTGTAATCCAAGCATTCTGGGAGGCCGAGGTGGGCAGATCATGAGGTCAGGAGATTGAGACCATCCTGGCTAACACGGTGAAACCCTGTCTCTACTAAAAATACAAAAAAATTACCCCGGCATGGTGGCAGGTGCCTGTAGTCCCAGCTACTCAGGAGGCTGAGGCAGGAGAATGGCGTGAACCCGGGAGGCAGAGCTTGCAGTGAGCTGAGATGGCGCCACTGCACTCCAGCCTGGGCTACAGAGTGAGACTCCGTCTCAGAAAAACAAAAACAAAAACAAAAAACCCCCAAAATTTTAATTTTCTCTTCAAAGCTCATTGGCAGCAAATACTATTAGTGGTTTCCCTTGAAGTAACTGGCTCACTTTGTTTATACATCGGCAGGCATAGTTGGTCAGTTCTTTTTTTTTTTTAAATGAAAAACCATAATATGCCCTTCATTTGCTTTTAGCTATTTCATAAACATCACAGATAAACTGGACACAGTTTGCAATGCAACTTAGAAAAATTTCTTTTTCCATAACATAAACATGTCAATCTTTCCCTTTAGTGCCTTCTTCCACTCCTCCTCCACTGTGCTGAAGAGATATTGAGTTCTTCCAGATTTTTGCTTAGCTGGGTGGTTTCCAAACTCAATGGACTCTCTAGGTAGGTAATTCCTGCACAGGGCTTTCCTGTCACTGGATTTATGATTTTTCCAACTTTGAAAACAATCTCGGCCAGTTCATGTTTCACATGCTTTGTTCGCGGAACAGGTAAAGCTCTGAGAAGCACAGTATCACCAACTGTGCACTGCTGAAGGGCATCGTGAGCAAAGTAGGTTTTCCGCTTATTGTAATACTTTAATAAATAGGGATCCAGAACAAGCCTGGTCACTCTCACTTTAGCAGTCTTTTGCATTTTTGTCCCAATCACCTTCCCCACGATCCACTTGGCATGGGTGGATGAATGAACTACGGACATTATGTGGCTTTGGTCACCTCCGCCACGACTGTGCAGCCACCTCCAGTTGTTCTTTCGATTCAATATAGTGCTCCATGAAAAAGCAGTAGTTCAACTCGCAGCTCAAACTATCACAAAACTGTTTCTCTTGGAGACAACCATCATACTTCTTTTGTATGCACAGAAGGGTTAAATGTGTACTTCCCATCTCATCATACAGAATATTAAAAAGACACATACTCAGTAAACTAGTATATTTGGTAGCAAAAAAAAAAAAAATGGGCTGGGCACAGTAGCTCACGCCTGTAATCCCAGCACTTTGGGAGGCCGAGGCAGGTGGATCACGAGGTCAGGAGTTCAAGACCAGCCTGGCCAACATAGTGAAACCCTGTCTCTACTAAAAATACAAAAATTAGCCGGGCACAGTGGCGTGTGCCTGTATTCCCAGCTACTTGGGAGGCTGAGGCAGGAGAATCACTTGAACCTGGGAGGTGGAGGTTTCAGTGAGCCAAGATCATGCCACTGCACTCCAGCTTGGGCAACAGAATGAGACTTCATCTCAAAAAAAAAAAAAAAAAAAAAAAAGACATGTACTCAGGCCAAGGTTTAATAAAATTAATATAGTTTACTGCTTAATCAAAGACCTTCTTAAGTGTAACTGACTTTGTTTAATTTTTTTTCTTTCTTTTTTTTTTTTTTTTGAGATGGAGTCTCACTCTGTCGCCCAGGCTGGATGGAGTGCAGTGGCGCGATCTTGGCTCACTGCAGGCTCTGCCTCCCAGGTTCACGCCATTCTCCCACCTCAGCCTCCCAAGTAGCTGGGACTACAGGTGCCCACCACCACACCCGGCTAATTTTGTTTTTGTATTTTTAGTAGAGATGGGGTTTCACCATGTTAGCCAGGATGGTCTTGATCTCCTGACCTCGTGATCCGCTCGCCTCAGCCTCCCAAATGCTAGGATTACAGGTGTGAGCCACTGTGCCCGGCCTGTTTTTGTTTTTGAGATAGAGTCTCACTCTGTCACCCAGGCTGGAGTACAGTGGCATGATCTCAGCTCACTACACCCTCCACCTCCCGGGTTCAGGCAATCCTCCTGCCTCAGCCTCCCAAGTAGCTGGGATTACAGGTGTGCGCCACCTGGCTAATTTTTGTATTTTTAGTGGAGACGGGGCTTCACCACGTTGGCCAGGCTGGTGTCAAACTCCTGACCTCAAGTGATCCATTCGTCTCTGCCTCCCATAGTGCTGGGATTACAGGCGTGAGCCACTGCGCCTGGCCAATTTTTTTTTTTCTTTAAGACAGGGTCTTGCTCTGTTGACCAGGCTGGAGTGCAGTGGCATGATCTTGGCACCTCTGCCTCCTTGGCTCAAAGGATCCTCCTACCTCAGCCTCCCAAAGTGCTAGGATTACAGGGGTAAGCCACTGCGCCTGGCCTTAATGTTTATTCTAATTTTTTAAAAAGTGTATGGGACTAAAAAATAAAATGACTATTGTACAGTTTGGTGCCAATGCTTCGATTCATGCTTAATAAAGCACCAGAAGTTTTACCCACCATTGCTTTGGCACCATCAATGCAAATATCAATATGATGAAAAAGGTAAATATATTTTAATATTATTATGAAAATAGTTCTGACCTGACAGATCCCCTGAAAGGGTCTTAGGGATTCCCGGGAACCCATGGAGCACATTTGAAGAGCTGCTGCCTTATGGATTCCTCCTGGCTCTTACTGCTTCTAGCACTTACATTATGGCACTCACCATAAAGGATTGTCATCCTCTTTTCCATGTCTTCTCTATCACACTAGGAGCCCTTTGAAGATAAGTGCTATATCTTATTTGTTCCTGTCTCCCCAGGACCTAGCATAGAACCTGGGACGTGCTAAGTGAATAATATTGGATGAATTGAAATCTTACAGATTTTCCCTTGACTTCCCATTTGGTGGTGGGAAAACTGGGCTGAGAGCCAGGTCGCTGACAACATCTCTTCTCCCGAACTTTCCTCCTCACTATCAATTCATGCCTAGCCCCATGCTTATTTATTATTATTATTAAGTACACAGGAAATACTTAGTAAATACTTATTAAATACAGGGTATTCCCTAAAATGTTTGTTTCGTCTTGACCATAATTATTCTCATTTCTTCCCTAAGGGATATTTGTGTGTATATATGTGTGTGTGTGTCTGTGTGTTCATATGTGGTGGGGGAATAACTTAACAAGGGCAAGCTCTCTAAACTGTGGAAGACAAAAGAAATCTTTCAAAATTTGGGTCTTGGCTCACAAACAGTCTTCCCACGGTCTGCTAGAGATCTCTCTGGGAATTTGCTGGCCACCTCACAATATTCATCTACTCCATTTGGCCAGAGACTTGTCAGTGGGGCGGGGAATTATTGTTTTTAGAGTAGTGAATGAAAGATATTCCACTTTGGCAAACAATTGCAGGTCCTAAAATATTTGCATTTTATTGATTGATTGAGACAGGGTCTCTCTGTGTCACCTCGGCTGAAGTGCAGTGGCACAATCACAGCTCACTGCAGCCTTGACCTGCTGGGCTTAAGCGATCTTCCCACCTCAGCCACCAGAGTAGCTGTGACTACAGGTGCCTGCCATCATGCCTGGTTAATTAAAATTTTTGTTTTTCGTAGAGACAAGGTTTCACTATGTTGCCCAGGCTGGTCTCGAACTCCTGGGCTCAAGAGATCCCCCGGCCTCAGCCTCCCAAAGAACTAGGATTACAAGCGTGAGCCACTGCACCCAGCCTTGCATTTTATTTTTGTACATAGGCCCAGTAATTGCCCAATAGATCCATGATAAGTTAGAGATAAAATGATGCTACAGTATTTAACAAAAGGAGCTTGGAAAGAATCTTCATTAATTAGAACTTCAGTATTTCTTTTCAAGCACACAGAATTTTCTTCATTGGTGGTTTTAAAGGTCAGAATCTGGGCATTCATATTCTAAAATGGTGAGTAACTTTAAAAAATAAGTGATTTAATCAATTTGGTGATTTTTTTCCCCCTTATTGAAAACGACTTTTCAACTGGCTGATTTTTCCCTTGTTTTTAAATTAGAGCCTAGCACAGTGGCTCACACCTGAAATCCCAGCACTTTAGGAGGCCAAGATCAGAGGATGGCTTAAGCCCAGGAGGTTGAGGTTGCAGTGAGCCAAGATCGTGCCACTGCACTCCAGCCTGGGCAGTAGAATGAGACCTTTTCTCAACAAGCAAACAAATAAACAAGCAAAACCCAAAAACCACGACACCAAAAAAGAATTAACTTACAATCCAGCAATACCACATCTGGGTATATATCCAAAGAAATTGAAATTGGAATGTTGAAGAGATAATCTGCACTCCCATGTTCATTTCAGCATTATTCACAATAGCCAAAATAAGGAAGTAACCTAAGTGTGTATTAGTGGATAAACACATGCACACACACACACAGGAATATTATACAGCCTTTAAAAAGAAAGATCTTCTGTCATTCATAACAACATGGATGGAGAATATTATGCTACGTGAAATCAGCCAGGCACAAAAAGAAAAACACTGTGTGATCTCACTTATAAGTGGAATTTGATTTTGGCCAGCCATAGTGGCTCATACCTGTAATGCCAGCACTTTGGGAGGCTGAAGTCAGAGGATCTCTTGAGCCCAGGAGTTTGAGACCACCCTGGGCAATATGACAGAACCCTGTCTGTACAAAAAATACAAGAATTATCAGGGGTAGTGGAATGCACCCGTAGTCCCAGCTATGCGGGAGGCTGAGGTGGTAGGATTGCTTCAACGCAGGAGGTCAAGGCTGCAGTGAGCCGTGACTGTGCCACTGCACCCCAGCCTGGGCAACAGAGCAAGACCCTGTCACTGGGGGAGGGGGGAAGTAGCTTTTTCACTGACTTTTAATTATTTATTTATTTATTTTGAGCTGGAGTCTCACTGTGTTGCCCAGGCTGGAGTGCAGTGGTGTGATCTCGGCTCACTGCAACCCCGCCTCCCAGGTTCAAGTGATGCTCCTGCCTCAGCCTCCCAAGTAGAGTAGCTGGGACTACAGGCGCCTGCCACCATGCCCAGCTAATTTTTGTATTTTTAGTAGAGATGGAGTTTCACTATGTTGGCCGGTCTGGTCTCGAACTCCTGACATCAAGTGATCCATCCACCTGCCTCAGCCTCCAGAAGTGCTGAGATTACAAGCGTGAGCCACCACACCCAGCCTAATTATTTATTTATTTTTATTATTATTATTATTATTGAGAGGGAGTCTCGCCCTGTCACCCAGGCTGGAGTACAGTGGTGCAATCTCGGCTCACTGTAACCTTTGCCTCCCAGGTTCAAGCGATTCTCCTGCCTCAGCCTCCCAAGTAGCTGAGATTACAGGCGTCTGCCACCACACCTGGCTAAATTTTGTATTTTAGTAGAGATGGGGTTTCACCATGTTGGCCAGGCTGGTCTCGAACTTCTGAGCTCAAGTGATCCACCCACCTTGGCCTCCCAGATTGCTGAGATTACAGGCATGAGCCACCGCACCTGGTCTTATTTTTATTTTTAATTTTATTTCTTTTTGAGACAGAGTTTTGCTCTTGTTGCCCAGGCTGGAGTGCAGTGGTGCGATCTTGGCTCACTGCAACCTCCTCCTTACAGGTTCAAGCGATTCTCCTCCCTCGGCCTCCCAAGTAGCTGGGATTACAGGTGCCCACCACCACGCCTGGCTAATTTTTGTATTTTAGTAGAGACGGGGTTTCACCATGTTGACCAGGCTGGTCTCGAGCTCCTGACCTCAAGTGATCCACCCGGCTCAGCCTCCCAAAATGCTGGGATTACAGGCATGAGCCACCACGCCTGGCCTTATTTTTATTAAGATTATTTTTTTAGACAGGGTCTCATTCTGTCCCCCAGACTCTGTTTCATATAAACAGAGAGGGCTAGGGGGTGGTAAAAGAGAAGATGTTGATCAAAGGGTGCAAAATCTCAGTAAGACTGTAGGAACAGGTTTTAGTCAGCTATTGCACTGCATGGTGACCACAGTTAATAAAAATGTATATTTCAAAATCGCTAAAAGAATAAATTTTTCACATTCTTGCCACAAAAAATGATTAGTTGGTGAGGTGATGGATATGTTAATTAACTTGATTGACCCTTTGTGCAATGTATACATAGACCAAAACATCATATTGTAGCCCATAAATATATACAATTATTGTGAATGAAAAATAATTAATTAAAAAAATTTAAGGCCAGGCGTGGTGGCTCACGCCTGTAATCCAGCACTTTGGAAGGCTGAGGCGGGCGGATCACCTGAGGTTGGGAGTTCGAGACCAGCCTGACCAACATGGAGAAGCCACATCTCTAGTAAAAATACAAAATTAGCAGGGCATGGTGGCGCATGCCTGTAATCCCAGCTACTTGGGAGGCTGAGGCGGGAGAATCGCTTGAACCTGGGAGGCGGAGGTTGCGGTGAGCTGAGATCATGCCATTGCACTCCAGCCTGGGCAACAAGAGCAAAACTCTGTCTCAAAAAATAAACAAATAAACAAACAAATAAATTTAAAGGTGGAATCTGAGGCACAGAAAGGTTAAGCAACTTGCCCATGGTCAACAGCTAGTACGTGGCATAGCCAGAATATGGATATAGTCAAGCTGATTCCAAAGAATGTGCTCTTAACTAGTACACAACAGTATATTGCCTCCCAATGGTATATATCCAATATAGGTTCTTCCACAAAGAAAAAATTTTGAGCTCATAAACATTTTGAGGTTTAAAAATCAACAACTGAACCCATAGAGATAGAGAGTAGAAGGATGGTTACCAGAGGCTGGGAAGGGGAGTGGGGGGATTAAGGGGAGATAAGCATGGTTAACGAGTACAAAAAAGAGTTTGAATGAGTAATGCCTTGTGTTTGAAAGCACAACAGGGTGACTATAGTCAATAATAATTTAATTGTACATTTAAAAACAGCTAAAAGAGGCCAGGCATGGTGGTTCACACCTGTAATCCCAGCATTTTGGGAGGCTGAGTTGGGCAGATCACCTGAGGTCAGGAGTTTGAGACCAGCCTGGCCAACATGGTGAAACCCCATCTCTACTAAAAATACAAAAATTAGCCAGGCATGGTGGCTTGCGCCTGTAATCCCAGCTACTTGGGAGGCTGAGGTGGAATAATCGCTTGAACCTGGGAGGTGAAGGTTGCAGTGAGCCGAGATCATGCCACTGCACTCCAGCCTGCAGAGCAAAACTCTGTCTCAAAAAACCAAACCAAACCAAACCAACTAAAACGGTATAATTGGATTGTTTGCAACACAAAGGATAAATGCTTGAGGGGATGAATACCCCCATTTACCCTGATGTGAATATAACACATTGCATGCCTGTATCAAAACATCTCATGTACCCCATAAATATATAAACCTATATACCCACAAAAATGAAAAATAAAAAATTATTGGCCAGGCGTGGTGGCTCATGCCTGTAATCCTAGCACTTTGGGAGGCCGAGGCAGGCAGATTGCTTGAGCCCAGGAGTTCAAGACCAGCCTGGGCAACATGCTGAGACCCTAGCTCTACAAAAAAAAAAAAAAAAAAAAAACAACTTGGCTGGGTGTGGTGGTGCATGCCTGTAGTCCCAGCTACTTGGGAGGCTGAGGTGGGAGGATCACTTGGCCTGGAGGTGGAGGGTGCAGTGAGCCAAGCTTATGCCACTGCACTCCAGCCTGGGGGACAGAGTGACCCTGTCTAAAAAAATAATCATAACAAAAATAAATAAATTATTAAAAAATGTGGCTGGGCGCAGTGGCTCATGCCTGTAATCCCAGCACTTTGGGAGGCTGAGGCAGGCGGATCACCTGAGGTCGGGAGTTCGAGACCAGCCTGACCAACGTGGAGAAACCCCGTCTCTACTAAAAATACAAAATTAGCCGAGCGTGGTGGCGCATGCCTATAATCCTAGCTACTAAGGAAGCTGAGGCAGGAAAATTGCTAGAACCCGGGAGGCAGAGGTTGCGGTGAGCAGAGATCGCGCCATTGCACTCCAGCCTGGGCAACAACAGCGAAACTCCATCTAAAAAAAAAAAAATTATTAAAAAATTTTTGAACTTTTTACATTAGAAAAGAACATGCATGAAATTAAAAGGCAAAGGACAGACTAGGAAAACATTTGCAACACCTGACATGACGGACAAAGGGATTAGGATATAACACCTCAGTTACTGAGTCAGTTGGCTTTGGAGCTGGCAGACTACCATCCTAATCTCCATCACTTAACCACTTATCCTGGGCAAGTAATTTAATTCCTCGTTGCTCTAGGTTTCTCATCTGGAAAAGGGCATAGTAATAGTACTTACTTCACAGAGTTGTTGAAAAGATAAAACAAGACAGTAAATGTATGTTACTTAGCACAGTGCTTTGCTAAGAGGATGATCAGCAACTACCAAGCTTTTATTATTTTAGTACCATGCAAAGGTTGCTACAAATCAATAAGAAAAATATAATGAAGACAACAGAAAAATGGACAAAAATATATGAAGCATAGCTCATAAAGAAGAAAAATAATGGCTCCATATAGTAAACAAAGCAATGCAAATAAAACATAACAATTTTACCATTTTCCAGCACACTGAATTGACAAAAAACATTTTTAAGTGTTAATGCTCAAAGGTGGTGAGAGTTTAGGAAATAGACACTAGAGGGAATGAAAATTGATTCATCCTTCTTACAGGGCAGTTTCGCAGTTTGATGAAGTCATTTTAAGAAGTTATTCTAAGGAAATAAATAGATATTGCAATGGTATATGCATGAGGATGTTTATTGCAACATCTGTAGTTTTTAGTGTTGAAAATTTGTGAACAATCTTAATGTCCATCTGTAGAGGTTTTAAAATAAATACAAATTATGAAAGTTCCTTATAATGTAATACAATTGCTACCTATAAAAATAATGGTCGGCCAGGCGCAGTGGCTCATGCCTGTAATCCCAGCACTTTGGGAGGCCAAGGCAGACAGATCACATGAGGTCAGGAATTCGAGACCAGCCTGGCCAACATGGTGAAACGCCGTCTTTACTAAAAATAAAAAATTAGCCGGGCATGGTGGCGGGCGCCTGTAATCCCAGCTACTCAGGAGGCTGGGGCAGGAGAATTGTTTGAACCCGGGAGGCGGAGGTTGCAGTGAGCCGAGATCACGCCACTGCACTCCAACCTGGGCGACAGACACGCTGTATAAATAATAATAATAATAATGGTTAAAATGAGTGCCCCCTTGGCCCAGTCGTCATCATTTCCTGCTTTGATTAATCCCTGCCACCTGTATCCTTCTCAACCCATTCTCTACACAGCCACCAAGGCAAATATAGTTATGTCACTTTCTTGCTTAATGCCCTCAGGGCTGCTCATTATAAAATCCTAAAACTGGCCTTATAAGACTGGAGTCTCATTTCTCTCTTTCTTTTACACTCCAGCAACACAGTACTCAACAGTCTTCTCAGCTGGCCTCTGTGTTGAGTTACATGCCTTAGGAATTTCGCATTTCATTGAGCTGCATTGGTTAGAACGATCCTGTTCTGTCCCCTAACAATTTTCACTTCTTTGTAGCTTTTACAAAAGTGTTCTTAAGTGTTGTTTATGCAACTCTTTGTTTGTATGTCTTTCCCATTAGAGTTTAAATCCCATAAGGGTAAAAATTATCACTGCTTTAGCCACGATTTTATCCATTCACCTAGTGCAGTGCCTGACCTAGGGGCTTGATGCATATTAGTTTATTGAATGAATGAAGGGTTAAATGAAATGCAGGCTACAAAATATACAGTGTGAGTAAAAAAGGGACTAAAGAGTTCATGTGACCATACCAGGCACAGAAACTGGCTACTTCCTGTAGGAGCACGTGGCCTGGGCCCTTTCCTGAGGGGAGAGAAGGGAGAGGTGCACCCTGACTTGGGAAGAGCAGAGCTGGGTGGAAGTGGTGGCCTTGGGGGTTTCTGTGCCTTCTGCTTCCTGGAAGGGAAGGGGGTTCACCACCCAAGGTGCAGGGGTACAGGGGAGGCGGTGGCAGCCGAGAGACTGAGCTGTCAAGTTCCGTGTTTTGGGATAGGTCTCAGGGTGCACACAGTGCAGGCAGAGATCAACCTCTTGCACAGTAAGTTTCCCAACTAGGGCAGTGTCAGGGAGTGCCCTAGAGGACAAGAAGGGGAAGAGTTGCCAGGGCGAGACTCCGCCAAGCCACTTATCTGGACAATCAGCCACCACAAGGTCTCACATTGTACCTGGACTCTGAGACGACTGGGACCCTGGGGCTGTGCTTGAGAGCGTGACTGGCCACTGTGGGGGTGTAGGGGGACTGTTCGTACACAGGGTTCTCCCTGATACTCCTTTTTTTTTTTTTGGATAGAGGGTCTCACTCTGTTGCCCAGGCTGAAGTGCAGTGGCATGATCTTGGCTCACTACAACCTCCACCTCCTAGGCTCAAGCGATCCTCCCACCTCAGTCTCCCAACTGGCACCACAGACACGCACCCAAGCCCTGCTCATTTTCGTATTTTTAATAGAGAGAGGGTTTCACCACGTTGGCCAGGCTGGTCTCCAACTCCTGGGCTCAAGTGGTCCGCCCACCTCAGCCTCCCAAAGTGCTGGAATTCCAGGTATGAGTCGCCGGCCCCAGGTACTTGTTCTTGAAGACTACTCAGGCCTGTAATCCTAGCACTCTGGGAGGCTGAGGTGGGAGGAATGCCTGAGGCCAGGAGTTCGAGAACAACCTGTTCAACATAGGGAGACCCCTATCTCTGCAAAAAATTACCCAGAAGCGGTGGCATACTTGTGGTCCCAGCTACTCAGGAGGCTGAGGTGGGAAGATCACTGGAGCCCAGGAGGCCCAGGCTGGAGTAAGCCGTGACTGCACCACTACACGCCAGCCTAAGCAACAGAGACCCAAACAAACAAACAAACAAACAAACACCCAAAAAGGACTGCAACGGGTTGGGGGCAGGGTAATAAAGACACTACTTCCTCCACTTCTGTCAACAACCCTGACCTGGCTGGTTTGTCAGCCCTCCCGTCTCTGTCTTCTATGATGTCAAATTCTTCTGCCCACTTGGCTCCAGAAGTGGACTCCCATCCTCCAAATCACCATATCCATGCCAGAAAATGCCAGGCCAGCCTGTTTGCTTGTTTTCCCTTTTCTGCGCAGTGGGGCCCTTACGTCTCTGCTCAGCCCCAGATATGTAACTGTGCAAAGTCTGTCACTGAGAAACCTCTACTTGCATTTCACATCCATCTTCTTGGCTCCGAGTAGGACACTAAAGTCAATTTCTCCTTGTGACCCTGTGCCTAAGCCCAGGGCCCAATAAACACATTCTGAAGGAATGAATTCATCCATTTATTCAACTTTCCGGTATGCAAGAACTTCTTTTCATGGAGTGTCACGGAGGCCCTGAGGGAGGAACGGTAAACTGGGGCAGGGGTGTGCATAGCTCTAGGAACAGGTTTAAGGTCTAGGCTTTAGAGTTGGGGAAAGGGGAGCTATTACAGATTTCAAAAAGGCCATAACTGGCCTTAACCTGTGCAAAATCTTGGGGGTGAAAGGGCAGACAGGGAGTCAGGCTGGAGGTGATGGAGAAGTGAGGAATATGGGGAGGTCGTGGTAGTAGAGTTCACATTGAGTGGATGTGGGTTCTGAGTCAGGGAAGGTGGTGGCACTTTGTGTGTTGAGACTGGGTTGGTAGAAGAACAGAGCTCACCACATCTCTGGTATGGAGGGAGAGGGGAAAAGAGCAGAATGTGAGGGCAGGTGCTCAGCTACTGCTTCCTTCTTGGAGCAGGTGACCAAGGAGTTTGGCTATCACTCCCTGCCCATCCCAGGCTCCCTGCTTGGGGAGGGGCCTCCACTAACCTCCAGTGTTTTATGTTTTTAGTTGTGAGTCATGGCTGAAGAAAGCCAGAGAGAAAATAGGAGAAAAAAGGCGGAGCTGAAAATGGAGGCAAAGTCCATGGGTTGGGGACCTAGATGGCCCCCTTCAAGTAGCTCAGGCCTGGCAGCTTGTGCTGGGCTTGTGGAAGATTCCCTCTTAAGAGGTGAAATACCTCGGGAAGCAAGCCCCAGCACGGGTAGGGCTTGTGGGTCTGCGGGGCTGGGCCACTAGTGTTACCTGACCATGCCAGCTGCCCCTACCCCAACTGCACACAGGAGCAGGGCACATGGGGTTTTGCTGAGCACGTCAGCCAAACCAGGGCAGGGAAGGTGTCTTCGCCCTGGGCAAGGCCAAGAGGGACACGTGCAGTCTTGCTGGTCCCACAGCCGGCGGCACGCCTCACTCCTCCCAAGGGCTCATGTCAGTGTCGATGGCCACGCAGTTGTAGGCCGCATAGCGGAGCTTCTCCTCGCATACCTTGGCACTGTGGGAATGGGGACTTGGTCAGGTCCCTACATCGCTACCAGGGGTGATGGGGTCCCCTGGGCCCCAAATCGAGCCTAGGAAAAAACCCACCTGGCATAGTGTGGCAGGAAGAGGGTGCTGGAGCAAGTGGAAGACTCGGGCAGCGCGTCTGTGGTCTCGTAGCTGGGGGCATTGAGGGACCATAGGTCAGGAAGATGTGTTGGGGCACATGTACGTGTGTGGGGAGGGAGGACAGAAGGCGGCCATGGCACCTTCAGGCCTCCCTCCAGCACTCACCCCAGCTTGTCTGGGTAGATGTAGATCCGTGCTGGCAGGCGACTGCGGCCCGTGACAAAGCGCAGGAAGCGGCTCCGGTCCTCTGGAGGGAGAAGGAAATCAGTGCCTGCATGGATGGTGAGGGAGGGTCTACAACTTCTACCCTGCCTCTGCAACTCAGCAGCAGAGTCCAAACCCAGGTGTCACCCTGCCCTCCTCCACTGACCGTTGGTGAAGTTGTTCAGTGCCTCCCAGAAATACTGCACCCGCGAGTCAGATGGCTCGAAGTCCTCAAACCGGGCTGGTGGAGACAAGGCCAGCATTCATTCTTGGGTCTCATCTTGCCCAGTCCTTGAGCCCCAACCCCTGTGCTGTGCTGTGCTGCCCTGCCCTGCCCTGCCTTGGGGAACTCACTGAGCTTGCGCAGAGCATCCACAGTGACCTCTGGATCCCCACACACTTTCTTCTCCAACTCTTGCCAGGTCAGCAAGTCCAGCACAGCCTGTGGTACCACCTTCAGCAGACCTGCCTGCATAGCTGCCACCTGGGGAGTGGGTAAAAAGGCTTGGCTGGGGAAGAGGGCACACCTCCCGCCTCACACTGGGGGGCATCACTGTGGCCTTTTAGCAGCAGAAAGGTGGCACTGAGGAATGGTGGGGGCCAGAGTTCTTGGAGTACTGGTGGCTTACAGGCTGTGTTCTGGGTCCCAGGAGCTGGGGCTCAGGAGGGGCCAAAGCTCTCTGCTCTACTAGCCTCTGGGTACTACCTGCTCCTTGCTCTCCTCTAGCCGTGCCTTCTGGACCAGTTGGATGAAACGAGAACGGTCCCCATATCCCACGACGATGCCTGCACCCCCAGGGATCAGCTCCACCACCTGTTGGTCACTCAGTACAGTGGTGAATGTTAGTTCCTTCCCAAACTTGAACTCAAACGTCTCCTTGTCCATTCCTTCCATCACTTCCAGGAGCTTCACCTAGGGGTTGGAGAGAGGCAGGGAGGTAACCTTTTCACTGTGGAGATAGTCCCTGTCTTTCCACAAGATGCTCACAGGGAAGCAGAGACAGCCAGGCAAGGCAGTCCCCATGGAGGCAGCAGGGAATGAGGGTGTCAGTACAAGAGCTGTAAAAGCATCAAGACAACACCTAACCAGCCTTGGAGGCCAGAGGAGGCATCCTGTGGAAAATGGTGTCTCAGCTGAGACCCAAATGATGGCTGGGACATAAGGGAAGTTAGGAGAGAGAACATCTTGGAGAAAGCTGGAAAGAGCAAAAGGCCTAAGGAAACTGTGTGGCTGGAGCCTGAATGTGAACCAAGTGGCTGGAGACACAGGGTTCACGTAAGGCCTTTACAGATTCTGCATTCTATCCTAAGCCCAGGGCCGAGCCATCAATGAGTTTAAATAAGGAGAGTGAAATGAATTACTGTGGCTGCATGGAGACCAAACGGGTAAGAACGGAGACAGGGACACCAGCTTTTTAGTAAGTGATTAGCTAAGGAGGAAAGGTGTCCTCAACCAGGCAGGGAGACAGTAGTGAGACAGGAAAAGCAAACAGATTACAGAGGAAGACTTAAGAATATGGTGGCGAGGGAGAAGAAGGGGTGAAGGATGGCCCTGTGGGCTTTGGGATGGGGAGGAGTGGGACATGGTGCCCTTCTGAGGCAGGAGCCCTAGAGGGGAGTAGTCTTCGGAGAAGATAAAGAACACACTGAGCCTGAGATGCCATCTTGGGGCAAACGTCGAGGGTACAGATACATATATGGCCCCAGGCTTAGGAGAGGCTGGGGCTAGAGGTCAGGATTTTAGGGGTCACGAGTCTACAGACAGTAGTTGAAGCCATGGGAGTGGATGGATTGGAGAGGGATCTTGTGTGTGGTGAAAGAACAAGGTACAGAACAGCCTTAGGGAGGACCAACCTTTAGGGGCTGGGCAGAGGAAACACTGGTTCCAGGTCCTACTCACCAGCACAGAGTCCACAGCTGGGAAGTCCTTGCTCCAGCTCACCTCCTCACCAGAAAGCTGCTTCCACACAAAACCAGGCAGGGCCAGGACCTGTGTGACAAACACTCCCCACTGTCTTCTCACCCTGAGCTGCCCAGGTTTGGCTGGCCTTTCCTTCCAAGGGCCAGGGCTGATCGGACGGGGGTGTGGATAAGGCTACTCACCAGGAACTCCTTACCCCGAAGGGCAGCCCCCATCAGCTGTCCGATCCATTCATACTTGGCAAAGTCTCGGCAGGAGGGGTTGGGTACATACATGTCCCGAGCCTCACCAGTGCCATTGCCCTGCCCCAGAGACAGAGCTGTGAGTGTGGCATGAGATACACCCTATTTTCCTGGCCCAAAGACTTCCCTGAACATTTTCCACTGGGAACATTTTCCACTAAATGATCCCTTCAAATGCACAGTGGCTCCTCCTCTCCCTGTCTGCCCAGAGGTTGCCCTGAGCAACTCAGTCCCTCCTCTGCCCTATTTCTATTTTTTTTTTTTTTTGAGACAGAGTCTCACTGTGTCACCCAGGCTGGAGTGCAGTGGCGTGATCTCGGCTCACTGCAACCTCCGTCTCCTGGGTTCAAGCGAGTCGCCTGCTTCAGCCTCCCATGTAGCTGGGACTACAGGCGCGTGCCACCACGCCCGGCTAATTTTTTATTTTTATAGAGATGGGGCTTCACTTCATTGGCCAGGCTGGTCTTGAACTCCTGACCTCGTGATCTGCCCGCCTCGGCTTCCCAAAGTGCTGGGATTACAGGCGTGAGCCACTGTGCCTGCCCCCTTTCTAGCTCAATCTGGCCCCCTCCTCTGCCCCCTTTCTAGCTCAATCTGGCACCTGGGAGGTTTGCAGAGATGGAAACGGAGATTACCTGGTTGGCTGTGCGTACAAAGAAGGGCAGGGGCACGGGGGTATCCGCTGAGCTAGGGCACAGCTCTTCTGACATATCTGCCAGGCTGTCCCGGAAACCACCCCCTGAAATGACAGATGCCCTCAGCTGGGCACTCAAGAGCCCAGCTCCCATAATGGGGTAATGAATAGGTCCCCCATCATCATTAGCTGGTGAAAAGCCTCTACCACTTTGATAGGGCAGCAAGCAGGACCCTTGAGATCCTCCCTCAGGGCCTCACCTTGGTCAATGATGCCTTCTGCAATAAATTTACACTCCCACCACTGGTCATAGCGCATGGGCCACCTGCAAAAAACGTGGGCAGATTTGTCATTATGTGGGGCCAGGTGCAGCACAATTCATCAGCTCAGAGACCACCTGGGAAAAGCAGTCATGGCGAGGGGTGCCTCGAGCAGTTGTGTGTGTGTGTGTGTGTGTGTGTGTGTGTTTGTGTGTGTTTGTGTGCACAAACAGGTGTCCCGAGTAAGTCCCTCACTCTCATGCCATACCTGTAGTCCAGGGGCTTTTCATATTTGTCAGAGGGCTTGAGGCCTTCATATACCTGGAGGCAAGGAGGAAAGGAGTCATAGGAAAGCAAGACCTGGCCCTATACTTGCCCCAAGAACTTGTTCAGGTCCCTCTTGGCCTAGCCCCCTTGGCCCTTGACTGATCCTATCTCAGTCGGACCCTAGGTGGTGCAGACCTGGGTGAAGACTGCATTCTTGCAGGCAGGGTCTCGAGAGGGGCAGGCACGGTGTTCCATGGCAAGACGGCGGTTGATGTATAGGCGTGGCATGAAGCTGGGCTTGCTGCTCTCAGAGTCACGCAGGCACTGAGCCACCAGGCCTGGCCGCTGGCGGGACAGCAGTAGGAACTGCTTCACTTGCTAGTGAGGAGAGGTGGCCAGAGCAGGAATGAGTGGGCAGTCAGCCTCCGTCCAGGCCCTGGAACTTTCCCCTCTGCCTGTATCCAATTCCACCGTTTCAGTTCAAGTCTAGTCCATCCCTGTCTTTGTCTCCAGTCCCCTCCTTAGTTCAGCCACCAGGGAGAGCTTTCTAAAACAAAAAAATCTAATACTGTCATTACCTTCCTTACCTTTCCAACAGCTCCACTACCCTGGGACAAAGTCCTTGCTTCACAGCCTGGCCCACAGGGCCCTCTGCAACCAGGACCTGTCTCCTGCCCACATCCTTCCACCCTCATCCCTCTGTCATACTCACACCTACTGGCACACTTTTCTCAAGACATCTTGAGCTGCTGGTAACTCCCTGTATGTACCTTTCACGCAAACTGCCCTGCCTGTGCTGTCAATAGCCCTTGGGTATTCCACACACTCTGGAATACCAAGGAGGCTGGGGAACAGCCTCCCAAACACTAAATTTGGACCATTTGTTCTGGCTTTCTTCCTATGTTCCCAGACCCAGCAAAGGTCTTGCCCTAGAGTAGATTTTAGGAACTCTGCTAAGGAATGAACAACTACGTGAGCAGGAAGGGGAAATGCCAAGACCAGCACTGGCTGGGTCGGCTCACCTTAATCTCACTGAAGGTGCCCAGTGTGTGGTCCCAGGCAGGTACCAGGTGGTGCAGGACACTATCGAGGATCTTGATGAATCTGGCATGGGTAGATAGACTGCAGCTAAAGAGTTTAGCATACCTGTAACACCCCCAACT